>NW_003571054.1:314793-614793 GCF_000001405.40 Homo sapiens | reverse complement strand
CTCTCATGGATGGGATGAAGAAGTTGGTCTTGTTCCTGGGCTCTGGTGGGCTCTGTTGGTACCAGGTCATGGGGTTTCCTTCCTTGGTGAGATAGTAACCCTGGGTATCCAGGGTCCCCTGGCACCAGAGGGTCATGGGGCTCTCCCAGGTAATCACAGAGCCTGGCTCAGCCCAGAGGCTGGGTTTGGGGAGGGTCCCTGGAAGAAACCACAGGCTGGGGTCCACAGACCTCCCCCGCTCCTCATTCCCAGCTCAGGTCACAGACCCTCTTGATTTTCTCACCCTCAGTTCAGAAGCCCCTGAGATGAGAGTCCAGGTGCTGAGTGTGAGGTCAGGCATGGGAGGTTAGCAGAGACTCACCTGCAAGTGCTTGGGCTTTCTGGCCCAGACTCAGCCATGGAGAAGAGTTTCCTGTGGGGGATTTGGAACACAGAGGTGTGGCTGCTTCCCTTCCTGTTGGAGCACCAGTAGCCACTGGAGCCCTGAGGCTCTCTGGTGAACAAGGCTGCTGTGGGACCCTCCCCACCTCAGCCCAGTGCCCCTCCTGTCCCTCGTCTCTCCACCACTGACTGAGGCACAGAAGAACAGTGAGGATGGACACCATGATGCCTGCTCTGCGTGCTCCAGCTGTGGGACAGGTGACCACATGGCCCTCCATGACAGACAGATGCACGGATGTGGTTAAGTCAGAGCCTGCTGCCGCCTGCCTGGGTCCCCACAGCTGTGAACCCACAGGAAGTGGACAGCCCCTTGCTGGGCCTGTCTCTTATTCCCCCCCCAGTGCAGGGGCTCAGGAGGACCCAGGCCCTCTGCACACATCTCAGCCCAGACCTGAGGTGTCCCCTGATTGCCAGGGATCCTTTGTCTGAAAACCTGCCCGTGGAGGGTGGACCCAACATCATATCTATGTCAGCTCCCAACTTAGCTGGGTCTAAACTGAAAACACAGCCCTTATTTTCTCAGAGCCTCCACTCATGACATCGGCTTTCTTTTTCCCCACTGATGCAAAGACAAATATTTCCCAGCAGAAAGTCATCCTGATCTGGAGAGACCCATTTCCTGCGTTCAGTAAATAAAGTCAGTTTCATTAGGGGAGGCTCTGGGAAAATAAGGGGATGCAGACTAGCAGAAGATGAACATTTAGCTACTTGTTTCTCAATTAATTGATTTATTACCAAAGAGAGAGAAGTGGAAACATGAGAATAGGGACCATGACTAGAATGTGGTTGAGGGAATGGTTTCTATCTTATTCCCTGGCAGAGAACTAAGGGATAAGAATGAGAAAGCTGGCTGGGTGCAGTGGCTTACACCTGTAATCCCAGCACTTTGGGAGGCCGAGGCAGGAAGATCACAAGGTCAGGAGTTCAAGACCAGCCTGACCAACATGGTGAAACCCCTGTCTCTACTAAAAATACAAAAACTAGCTGGGTGTGCTGGCATGCGCCTGTAATCCCAGCTACTAGGGAGGCTGAGGTGGGAGAATCGCTTGAACCTGGGAGGTGGAGCTTGCAGTGAGCCGAGATCGCGCCACTGCACTCCAGCCTGGGCAACAAAGCCGGACTGTCTCAAAAAAAAAAAAAAAAAAAAAAAAAAAGAAAGAGAGAAAACCCAGCAGTGAGAGGTAGTTGTGAGAACACACTAAAGAGGAAAGATAATCCAGGGCTGGGAGTGGTGGCTCATGCCTGTAATTCCAGCACTTTGGGAGGCTGAGGCTGGCAGATCACAAGGTCAGGAGTTCGAGACCAGCCTGACCAACATGGTGAAACCCTGTGTCTACTAAAAATGCAAAAATTAGCTGGGTGTGGTGGTGGGTGCCTGTAATCCCAGCTACTCAGGAGGCTGAGGTGGGAGAATCGCTTGAACCCAGGAGACGGAGGTTGCAGTGAGCTGAGATTGCACCACTGCACTCCAGCATAGGCAACAAAGCCAGACTCTGCCAAAAACAAAAACAAAAACAAAAACAAAAACAAAAAACAAGAAAGCTCAGTGAGAGGTGGTTGTGAGAACACACTAAAGAGGAAAGATCATTCAGGGCTGGGAGTGGTGACTCACGCCTGTAATCCCAGCACTTTGGGGGGCCACAGGCGGGTGGATTACCTGAGGGCAGGAGTTCAAGACCAGTCTGGCCAACATGGTGAAACCTCGTCTCTACTAAAAATACAAAAACTAGCTGGGTGTGATGGCGGGTGCCTGTAATCCCAGCTACTCGAGAGGCTGAGTCAGGAGAATCTCTTGAACCCAGGAGGCAGAGGTTGCAGTGAGCTGGGATCGTGCCACTGTACTCTAGCCTGGGTAACAGAGCAAGGCTCTGTCTCAAAAAAATAAAAATTAGAAAGAAAAAAGGAAAAGGAGAAGAGGAAGGAGACAGAAAGGAGAGAAACATCCCTGAGGTGGAACATTACATGCAACATGGAGTAGGCAGGGAATCCGATAGAGCACTGAAACTCTCACTGGGTACGGTGGCTAACATCTGTACTCCCAGCACTTTGGGTGGCCGAGGTGGATGGATCACCTGAGGTCAGGAGTTTAAGACCAGCCTGACCAACATGGTGAAACCCCATCTCTACTAAAAATACAAAAGGCTGGGTGTGGTGGCTCACGCCTGTAATCCCAACACTTTGGCAGTCTGATACAGGCGGATCACATGAGATCAGGAGTTTGAGACCAGCCTGGCCAAGATGGCAAAACCTCATCTCTACTAAAAATACAAACATTACCTGGCTGTGGTGGCAGTCGCCTGTAATCCCAGCTATGCAGGAGGCTGAGGCAGGAGAATCGCTTGAACCTGAGAGGTGGAGGTTGCAGTGAGTCAAGATCGTGCCATTGCACTCCAGCCTGGCCAATAGGAGCAAAACTCCATGTCAAAATAAAATAAAATAAAATAAAATATAATAAAATAAAATAATAAATCAAAACAGGACTGGACATCTCCTGTGGGTTGTCAGTGAATGGAACTAAGCAAGCCACCGCTCTTTCCCTTTTGTCCTGCAAGTGTCTTTCTTGGCCTCCAGGAAGTGAGTTCCATCATGTCAGACCCTATGTTTGTTCCTGCTGGGTTCACTGAGGCTCCTCCCTTTCCACCTGTGGCTCCCCATGGGTTCCCAGTCCCCAGCCAGTGTTGTGAATCGAGCCAGGAAGACCAGCCCTATCACACCCCTCCTGATGGAATTCCCACAGTGTCATCCTGGAGAACAGGGGCTGGGGGCTGGGGTAGGATCAGAGACCTTTTCATGTGGGCCAGGCCCCTCCCTCCACAGGAGCTCTGACACGAAGCTCATCACCATTCATTTCACCCTGACGATATTCTTCCTGCCCAGACACCCCCGTTCTCCCTATGTCATCATGGGCACCTCAGTGAAATCCATGGTTGAGGGTCTCTGTCACTTACTCTGCCCTCTTCTTGGAAAATTTCCTTGGATCCTTCCAGAGCCCTTCCTGAGTGTGCTGCAGGGTCTCTGCCACATGACACACTCTCAGGAACCCTCATCCTCCCCTTAATCTACTGCGCCCACATAGCCAGGTGCAGGCTCCGTTTCTTCATCTTCCCTTCCCCACAGGCCCCGATGGAGAGTGGATTAGACTCGCTCCTGAGTAGGGACTCAGGTCACTCTGACCCCTTCCTCCCCGTGGACGAGGCCTCTGTCCCAGAGCATTGGAGGCTGAAGGGCCTTGTGGATTCCCACACTGGCCACAGTCTCCGATGCAGATGGGGAACTGGGGACCTGGGAGGGGTTGCCTAGCCCAAGGCCACATAGCTGGGCGGTGGCACAGCCTTCACTCACACAGGGACATTCCATCTTCCCAGGGACTTCACACTGGAGGCTAAGAGCCCCACTTTGCACACCACATTCAGGGGTAGATTCTGTGTGTGACTAACAAGTTCTCTTAGGGTTCCGAGGTAACAGGACAGCAAATGGATGAGTGAGAGTTTCCCTCACCCCACTGAAGTAGGACCATTCTCTGTGGAGGGTTGGTCCCCTGACTTCCTCTACTCTGTCATCTCCCTAGTGACTGATAGGGGTCCTGGGGTCTCTTCCCTGGAATCCCATGAGGGACAATTCCTTTCCTGAAGGGAAGGTATAGAGAGGACTAGCAGGTGCCTGGTGATGGAAAGTCCCCATAATCAAGAGACATTGCCTCCCCCCCCCGGCATGATAAATATCTGGGTTTCCAAATGGGAAATCTGTCTGTGATGAGAGCTCAGGAGGGGCTTCTGGAAGATGGAAAAGGGCTAGAGGCTGAGGCCACTGCTTATCTCCCCACACTGTATCTGGCTTCACCTCCTGTGTTTGTCCTGACCTCTTCCTTCACTCACCTGGATAAGTAGGACCCCAAAGTGGGCCTCCAGACAGGAAGCAGTGGAGAGTGTGGAGCTGCCCTGTCTACCACCCTACACCCTGACACCACTGTCATACTCAACCTCTCTTTTCCTCTTTGTGTTTCTCATTGCTTCATTTTGTCTGGAATCCCTAAGATTCCCATGTCTCCAGCAGGCTGTCCCTCAGACGTGGCTATATGATTTAGTGTTTCACAGGGCATGCAGCAGGCATGGGCTACCCCCAGTAACAGTGGTCATCTAGGGCTGATCACTCACAGGCAGAGCCATCGACAGAGAGCTGCAGCATCTAGAGGTCCCATCACCAGCCCCAAGACCCAGAGAGAAGTTGGCCTGAATGCCCCACTCTGTCTCTGCACCCCAGTGAGCCAGTGTCCAGGGGCCTTACCTTCCTCGTTAGAAGGCACAGGTCAAATGAGCTTCCAGAGCTGCAGAGCAAAGTCACATTCTCTCCATCATTACTTACTGCAGGGCACAGTTGAGCTGAGAAGGAAGGTCTCTTGTAGACGCCTGGGGAAAAAAATAGTCCTTGACTGTCGAGCACAAGCCTTACCCAGCCTATCCTCAGGGCATGAAAAAGGCATTCTCTCCACCTGTTCTGGGGAGCACACTCTGTTACCCACTCGTGCCTCTCTCCATCTCAGTTCTAGCTCTACAAGCTGGCTCATCATGTGTGTGTTTTCCTGTCTGTCTTTGCTCAGCTTTTCCTTGAATCTCTTGCTTTTTGCCGGTGCGTGTGTGGCTTTCTGCCCTTAGAACCATATGAGATTTAGGGTTCTCCTGGCACATAGAACTGTTTACTTTGAGGACCCTCAGAAAACATAGCCCTGGGCTAAGGCTCCCTGTCCTGGAACTAGAAGGTTATGGGTGTCACCATTTCCCAACAGCATGTCTGAAAGTGCCAGAATCTTCAAAGAGTCTGCAACATGTTTGTAGGATCTTTATAGGGTCTGATATTGCAGGGACCAACCAAGGTGCCCTCACACCCCAAGACGCTGGAAGTGACCCCTTGCTGAAAGTGGTTGGAAGTTTCACATAGAAGTTTGAGTTAAGCCACATTGCTGAGCAATGCCTCAGCATCCCAGTCTTCATCCAGACCTTCCAGGAGCCTGGCTGGAGGGGGTGTCTCTGGTGTGTCACTGAGCCTTATAGCAGAGGAAGGGGGCTATGGTGGAAACTACCTCCAAGATACCACTCAGTCCTAAGCTGGGGAACAAGCTGAGCTTGGATTCTGGTAGTGAATGAACCGGGGAACATTTATTTGAAGGGTTCTAAGAGTAGCATCGTGTGGGTGCGTTAATTGTATGTGAAGGGGAAGATCCTGAGAAAACAAGAGCTGCTCCACTCTGTGCCTGGGTTTACCAGAGGGACCGATGAGGTCCTCACAAGACCCAGGAATCCCACCGGGGGAAGGAGGCTTAGGGAGATGTGTTTAAGACTGTTAACTGAGTCACAGACAGAAGCAGATCAAGCCATCCCACCACCTAGGTTTGTGGTTTTGTTTCTCCTAAACTTCCTTTCTGTAAGTAGCAGAACCTTCTCATCACCATCCTTCAAAACCTCTGCATTGTTTGAGCTCCTTGTATTTTCTGGAGATTAATCTCTTGCTTGCAAATATTCTTTCCCATTCTGTAGGTGGTCTCTTCACTCTGCTGTTTGTTTCCTTGATTGTGCAGAAGGTTTGCAGTTTGCTATGATCTCATTTGCCTATTTTTGCTTTTGCTGCCTGAGCTTTTGAGGGTTTTTTTTTTTTTTTTTTTTTTTTGAGACGGAGTCTCGCTCTGTCACCCAGGCTGGAGTTCAGTGGCATGATCTCAGCTCATTGCAACCTCCGCCTCCCGGGTTCAAGTGATTCTCCTGCCTCAGCCTCCCTAGTAGCTAGGACTACAGGTGAGTGCCACCACACCCGGCTAATTTTTGTATTTTTAGTAGAGGCAGGGTTTCACCACGTTTGGCCAGGCTGGTCTCAAACTCCTGACTTCAAGTGATCCACCCACTTTGGCCTCCCAAAGTGCTGGGATTACAGGCGTGAGCCACTGCGCCCGGCGTTGTATTGGATTTTTAATTCAGCCCTATTTTCTCCGACATTTGATATTGGCATTTTTGTCTTTTTTGGATATGCTAGGATCATGGTGTCATAATTTAATTTTAATTTTTATTTTTATTTTAAGTTCCGGGGTACATGTGCAGAATGTGTGGGCTTATTGCATAGGTCAATGTGCGCCATGGTGGTTTCCTGCACCTGTCAACCCATCACCTAGGTATTAAGCCCAGCATACATTAGCTATTTTTCCTAATGCTCTCCCTACCCCTACCCCACCCCCCCCCGACAGGCCCCAGTGTGTGTTGTTCCCCTCCCTGTGTTCACGCATTCTCATTGTTCAGCACCCACTTGTAAGTGAGAACATGCAGCGTTTGATTTCCTGTTCCTGTGTTAGTTTCCTGAGGATAATGGTTTCCAGCTCCATCCATGTCCCTGCAAAGGACATGATCTTGTTTCTTTTTATGGCTTCATAGTATTCCGTGGTGTATATGTCTCACATTTTCTTTATCCAGTCTATCATTGATGGGCATTTGGGTTGATTCTATGTCTTTGCTATTGTGAATAGTGCTGCGATGAACACATGTGTGCATGTATCTTTGCAATAGAATGATTTATATTCCTTTGGGTATACGCGCAGTAATGGGACTGCTTTTACCTGTGCCAAAATACTGAAGTAGAAATGATTATTCACTCTAAAATGGAAGGTAATAAGATGTATACGTGAGCTATCAGATGCCTGGTGCTTATGAGTGAAGACAAGTCTGTCCAACGCTTCCCAACCCTGCATTCAGGGATGTCTCGTTGGCATCTTGATTATGGCCATGAAAAAAGAATTTACGTCAAGGAAATTGGTAAATGCCACTAATCATAGCATTTCAAAAAATGTCTTTTTCAGAATTAGCATACCATTGGGTCGTGACTTCAAATGCCAGTGTGTTGATTCCAGGTGGTGATATTTCAGGAGAAACTACACAGATAGCATCTGATAAGGAGGGAAGAGCTCATAGGGTCCACACAGGAGGTGAGGGCATCACGGTGCATTTATCTTTTCCTGGTCGGACTCTGATCTTCTCCCGTTGAATTAGTTCCTAAACCAGGTGCGGAACTCTGAACTGAAGACATGAAGACCCAGTAAAGTACACCAGGAAGTGTGGCAATGAGAAATGAAGAGGACTGTGTGACACGCCATGGACCAGAGCATGCAGGTGTGCAGAGGTGTGGACCCAACGCTGCCATGTGGGATGGAGCCTCATGTCTAAGTGTGGGAAAAGAGGCAGATCCAACCAAGGAAAGTCAACATTAATGGAGAGGAAAGGTATCACATTTTAATGGTTCTCCATGGATCACCCCAGAAAATGTCCCTGCACTCGGACATTGATTCCTTCCTCTGGAAATGACCAGCAGACAGTCCAGATAGCATCGGCCCTAGATTTTCTTCCAGAACCTCCTGGGATCATCAGATCTGTTCCTGAGGCTTCACGACTCTATAAAGTACATTATCCTCTCTGCTGTTCACCTCCCGGCTGCATCTTGGGAAGCTTCTCTGGCTGTGCCAAGCCTCAAATGACAGAATCCCGAGGACCACCAGGATCAAGCCAGCCACGCCCATGTGGATGAGATTCTCCACTGCGTAATCCTGAAGGTGTGAGGCTGGGGATGGTGGACAAAGAGGTCACAGAGGTCAGGGTGGATCAGATTGTCCACCCAGGGCACCCACCTCCCCTTCACAGGACCCAACCCTCAGTGCCAGCCCCATCACTGAGAGTATCTCCTCACATACCAGTCTCAGAGTCAGACTTGTTTTGTGATGGGCTGAGGGTATCAGCTGCTCCAGAGAATCAAAACAGAGAAAAAGAGACCTGAGCCCAGCCTCTCACCTGGGCTCTGCAATTTTTTTTTTATTACTTAATGTCTCATGATGTGACTTTTACAGAATTTCTAAAAAAAAAAAAAAAACCTCTTCCTCCGCTAGCAGGATTCCCTCTAGTCTCCTCATTGAACGATTTCAGTTTTCCTGTGTTCTATGGATTTAAACATTGCTCCTGAGTCATCTGGGAGAGAGTTTTCCTGCATCCTGAGAGCTCAGGATCTGCAAGGAAAGTGGTCCCCAGTACAGAGGTCACTGAGGCCTGTGTGCTCTCTGTGCAGCCTGGGACACAGGAGAACATGAGCCAACTCCCCCGGAGATGAGAGTTTCACGGATCCACCAGCTGAGGACCCAGGCTCCGTGGATGAGGGTTAGTCATCAGGGGAGCCTCAATGTCAGAAGCACAAAGGGGTGAAAGTCTGGGGCTGCCTCCCCTTCATGCCCTCAGCCACTTCACCTGGAGTTTCATCGTCCATTTAATCTCTAGGTAGCTAATTATTCGTATAGGCAGCAACAGGTAGAATGTGATACACACACAGAAAAACACAAACACAAATATATATCTGTTTTATATATATAGTGGGCCTTAAAAACTATCTCTGCCTTCTTGAAGTGTGGGTTCACCTGGAGACAAACAGCAAACATATAGAAACACAGCAGTGGAAATTTACTAGTCGTAGCAATGGTTTTAGATATATTGGTAGAGACCTATATTTATGTGTGAATATATATTATTTGTATAGATATACGGATAACTAGGTTTCAATGTCACGTAAGATGTCGGTGTGACCACACACGCGCGCACACACACACACACGTATGTGCAGAGAGTGGAAGAGAGAGAGAAGGAATTCAGCCGCATGGTGTAGGTTGGTTAATTACTTGACATAAATGAGAAGCAGGCAGGACTGGGCTGAGCTGTGTCGTCAGTGAAGGTCACACTTGGAGGTGACATTGAAGCTGATTCCTCAATAGGAAAAAGGGCCAGGAAGGAGGCGTGTGGAGACCCAGACAGGGAGCAACAGAGGCTCCAGAAAGAGCAGGTCCCAGAAAGGTCTCAGCCTGTTCTTCAGAAAGGAATGGCCGCTTGTCTACAGGGTGGAGGAGGAGGCAGAGGAGGAGGGGAGATGAGCTTCGGGGCCTTGGTGGATTGAGAATAGGCCAGGATGAACCAGCCAGGAAAGAGCGGCCCCAATATCTCTCTCTCTGTCTCTCTGTCTCTGTCTCTGCCTCTCTCTCCCTCCCTCTGAGGTCTGGAAAGTGCTGTAGGGTTTCAAGGAGTGGTACCAGTCATTTGACTTTTTCTGAAAAGATAAGCCCTACCCCCTCCATAGCAAATGTCCAGAACGAAGGAAGTCCACATTTCTACCTGAAGTTTACAAAACCTCAGGGAGCACATGAGATCAGGGCTATTACGAAACCGGGTGAGAATAAAAATAGGTGATGCTGCAAATCTACTTTCACCAGCTTGGACAAAAAGGCCAATATGAGATTTTAAAAACCCAAATAAAAAATGTCAACGGCGCAGAAGAGGAGCGGTGCACATTCCCTGAGCTGCTGCGGGAGCACGTGCAAGTCCCTGTGAGGCTCAGGTGTGCGCTGAGTGCTGGGGAGGCTGCAGGGGAAAGCAGGAAGTGGGGCGGGGTGGGGGGGGGGTCGGGGGTGGATGCAGGTGGCACCGGCAGCCTGGATGCTTCTCTCTCCAGGAGGGCGTCTGTTGGGGACTGGGACACAGAGGCTCTGATTCTGAGGTGGAGACACCAGGATGGGAGCAGGTGGGGCCTCCGTCTTCCACCCTCAGTCTAATCTCAACTCCTTTGAGGTTCACCCCCCGTCTCCTCCCAGCCCTCCCTGCACTTTACTCTACTGAGACTTCAGGGGTGGGAGCCAGGGGTGGGAGGTCCCTGTCTATTTCCATCTTCCCATGGGCTGGACCCTCCCCTGCGGACCCTCTCCCTTCACTCCCCTCTTTCCTTAGTGTCCAGAGCTCTGCTGGGGGCAGGGCCTGAGCTGAGCCTTTGAGCTCAGAGAGGACAGGGTCAGCGCCCTCACCTGAGACCACGAGCTCCACGGGGCCACTGGGGTGAGACAGCAGGTAGGGGTCGGAGCTGAGTGAGCCGTAGCACCTGTAGGTCCCCGTGTGGGCTGAGGTCACAGGACTCATGGGGAATTCAGCCTGGTACTTATGAGCTCCGTACTTTGATCTCAGACACAGCAGGGGATGGGCTGCCCCCTCCTTGGTCAGAAGGAAAGTGTGCATCCACTCTTGTGATTGACACAGCAGGGTCACGTTCTCTCCTGAGGCCACTGTGGGCCACAACTGCACCGAGAGGGAGGGTCTGCCAGGGATCTGTCCTGGACAGAAGACAGATGGGTGAGGGGCTGCCCCACCTTGTTCTGAGCTGAGACCTCCCCAGACCTCTCCCTGGGACCCTCAGTCTCTGTGTCTGTTTTCTGAGTCTTCCCCTCCCCCCATCCCCTGTCTCTGTCTGTCTCTCCCTCCCTTGGGACCCCCACCCCTCATCCCGGCCATCACCACCTGGGCTCCCCCGGCAATGCCTGTGCCGAGCCCGGGTCCCTGACTGAACCCGCTGGGCTCCTCACCTGCGATCAGGATGTCCAGGGGGTCACTGGGGGCCGACCACTCGGAGGAGAGGTTGTGTGCACCGGAGCATCTGTACTGGCCCCCGTGGGAGCCCCTCACAGGGCCCAGGGTGAAGTTGGCCTGGGAGAGCCCAGCCTGGGGCTGCTGGCCAGGGCGCTGGAGGAAGTCACATTCCCCCTCCTTGTACAGAGTGAATCTGTCGTAGCCGACATCAGAGCCACACTGGAGGGTCAGGGTCTCTCCAGGGGCCAGGACAGGGGGAGAGCTCTGTCCTCCCATGTCAGAGCCTCCCCATGGGGTCTCCCTCATGCCTTCAGCCCATCCATCAACACATCACTCTGGGTCCTTTCCAGATTCAGTCACCAGCCAAACTCCCCACAACCTGTCAGCTGTCCGGAAAGTGTGTTAGAGAAGGCCGTGGCTCCCTCACCTGAGGGCAGAATCTCCAGGGGGTCACTGGGGTGGGACCACACCTGGGGGGTGTTCATATAATAGTAATAGCATGTGAACCTCCACCTGTGGCTGGGGGTCACGGGGCCCACAGGGAACAGGGCCTGGAACCCCCCACTGTGGAGCTGCTGTGAGTCCAGGGTCCGGGGGAGCTGGTGTTCTCCTTCCTTCATCAGAACAAAATGGTGATATCCCTTCTGTGAGCCACATCGGAGGGTCACTTTCCCCCCTGAGGCCACCACAGGGCTGGGCAGGGCTGAGAGGGTGGGTTTGCTGTAGAATCCTAGGAGAGAAGGAGGCACCATGTTAAATGGGGCTCCCACCTCCCACATCATCCCCAGGGCTGGGCTGTGAGAGGGAGACACCCCTGAGAGCCAACCCCCTTCCTGAGGGCAGAGCCTGGGGCTGGGACCCCTGAGTGTCCTCTCACCTGTCATCACCAGCTCCAGGGGGTCACTGGGCTCTGACCAGCCTGCAGGGCTGAGATAGTAACACTGATATCTCACTGCATGGTGCTGTGTCATGGATGGGATGGAGTATCTGGCCTTGTTCCTGGTCTCCAGTGGATTCGTTCTGTCCCAGGGCTCTGTGCTTCCCTCTTTATACAGATGGTACTCCTGGGCTTCCAGGGTCCCCTGACACCACATGGTCATGGGGCTTCTCCAGCTGATCACAGAGCCTGGCTTAGCCCAGAGGGTGGGCTTGGGGAGAGTACATGGAAGGAAATCAAAGCCTGGATCCCAAGACCTTCCCCACCCCTCAGATCATCCCAGCTGCCTGCCCAGAACTGCTGTCTCCATCCCCAACTGTCCAGGGTGAGGAGGAGGGACCTGGGAGAGCTGGGGACAGACTCACCTGCCTGCATGCGGGTCCTGGGGCCCAGACTCAGCCCTGGAAGAGAATTCCCTGTGAGGGATTTGCCCCCTGAAGCCTGAGCAAGTCCTCCCCTGCCTGGGAGCTCCCTAAAGCCCTGGGATCTCTTGATGGACCAGGGCCTGTGGGGTTTCCTCTCTCCTCTTCAAATCTCACCAAAGCAAAGCAAAGCAAGGCTGTGAGGGCGGCGGTCATGGCGTCTCCTCTGCCTCCTTTCAGCTTTGCAAATGGATGAGCCGTTGGTGCTGGCAGGACAGAGAGACACACAGGGTGTGGCCCCTCAGAGGCTGGGTCCTTCTTGTCATGGGGTTATCTCATCCGCAGCCCACAGGAACGGAAACTGCCCTCCCCAGGAGGCTGGCTCTCATTTCCCCAGGGCTGAGATGGGGGTGGGCACCAGGCTCTCTGCAGACATTTCAGAGAGAAATGGGGTCTCCCTGCCCCCAGGCCACTGTCTGCCTGATCTGTCTTTATCTTACCGAGAGCCGGGACACAACAGCCATTAGACCTGATGCCTTCCGGAGTCAGCCCCTTTCAGGCGAGGGTGACCTCCTCCCGCTCAGAGCCTCCCCATGGGGTCTCCCTCCCTCCTTCAGCCCATCCATCAGCTCAGCGTTGCGGGGTCCTTACCATGGTCAGTGATTCTCCAGCCCTGGAGATGCTTCAGGGAAGACCCAGGTCCATGCTGCAGGCAGACTCAGATCAGCAGAGACGCACCTGACACCTGGCTGTGCAGCCGAGGCTGAGCTGCATGTGGCAGTGAGAACACAAGAGAGATGCAGGGAATAAAGAGAATAAAACATATGTTTTTCTGTCCCTGGAGTGTGTGTTTCCTTTCTGCCAAACAGTCCCTTTCTTGTCCCTTCAAGAACAGTCTCTTCCTTTCTACCAAACTTCCTATTTTTTTCCTTCCTTCCTTCCGTCCTCTTCCTCCCTCCCTCTCTCCCTCCTTCCTTCCCTCTGTCTTTCCTTCCTTTCTTTTTGCAGCAGCATCCACCCCCCACCCCTGAGAACAAACCTCTAAGTCATTCCTGCCTTCTCAGTGCCCCTCACTTCCTGGGCCTTCCTCTGTGCCTTAATCCACGTTTAAGGTTTTTGGAGCAATTACGTTAGGTTTGAGCTCTGATTTCGGACATTGGGTTGGGAGGTGACTTTTATTTAATTCCTGATTATCATCCCCTGCCTGTGTGACCTTGGGAAGTAATATCCCATCCCTGAGCCTCAATTTCCACGTTTGGAGCCTGTTGTCATGATCCCCACTCATCACAGTGGCTATGGGGGTCAGTGGTGCCCAGGACATGGGAGGGGCTCAGCCATGGTTAATTTCTAGACCAGTTAAGACAGGAGGGTGGGGATGGGAGAGGATCCTGATGTTGGGCTCCACAGTGGAGGACGATGATTGATGCCCCCATGAAGAGCCGACGTCAACTTTGAACACTGAGAAACCTAGTTACGATATTTCTGAATCCTGTAGTCATGGTCTTAATGTAGAAAAAGTTAAATAACAAATTCCTGAAATAGACAGGGTGCCGTAAGACAGATCATAGACCAGAGCTGAGGGACCACTGGTGCCTGGGACCACCCAGGGCTCATTAGTGGGGGAGATTTCCACCTCTGTGTGTGGGACAGAAGAGGAACCCCAGGTCCTCACAGGCAGGGAGGAGTCAGGGCTTTGGGTGAGGCTGGAAGCTGTGGTTCCTCCTCCCCTGTGTGTGTGGACAGGCGCTGGAAATATCTCTGCTCATTGACATGGGCCCGTGGTCCACACTGAATCATCTCCCTTGTTTGTGTGAAACAGATTCACCGCGACATTGTCAGATATGGGTGTCTGTCCCACGTGTGAGTGTGAGGTTCACACTAGACCCTCCTGTGCTGGGCAAAACCCTAAGCAGATGATATGTTTGGAGGAGTTGAGATCATGCAGCAGGGATAGCTGGAACAATCCCCTCTTTTTCAGTCTGACCCCCAGGAGAGCACTAAGAACTACCTTCCATGGATAATTAGGTGTGTAAGAAATGAACCATTCAACAAACACGGACAGCAAAGAGTAATCCCTATAACCACAAGAAGTGCCACCAACGACAACCTATTGACTCATTAAGAGTTTATTGTATATTTTCAGATAGCTAGAAGAGAGGATTTTGAATGTTTTCAACACAAAGAAACGATAAATGTTTGAAATGGCGGATATGTTCATTACTCTTATTTAACCATTACACATTATATATATGTGTTGAAATATCAACTCTATACCCTACAAATATATACAATTATTATGTGTCAATTATAAGTTATAATAAAGACGCACTTAATCCCAGCACTCTGGGAGGCCAAGGCAGGTGGATCACTTGAGCCCAGGAGTTCTAGCTCTTTGAAAACATACAATAAACTCAAAACCACTATGAGATACCATCTCACACCAGTTAGAATGGCAATCATTAAAAAGTCAGGAAACAACAGATGCTGGAGAAGATGTGGAGAAACAGGAAATCTTTTACACTGTTGGTGGGAGTGTAAATTAGTTCAACCATTATGGAAGACAGTGTGGCGATTCCTCAAGGATCTAGGACTAGAAATACCATTTGACCCAGTAATCCCATTACTGGGTATATACCCAAAGAATTATATATCATGCTATTATAAAGATACATGCACACGTATGTTTACTGTGGCACTATTCACAATAGCAAAGACTTGGAACCAACCCAAATGTCCATCAATGATAGACTGGATTAAGAAAATGTGGCACATATACACCATGGAATACTATGCAGCTATAAAAAAGGATGAGTTTATGTCCCTTGCAGGGACATGGATGAAGCTGGAAACCATCATTCTCAGTACACTATCACAAGGACAGAAAACCAAACACCGCATGTTCTCACTCATAGGTGGGAATTGAACAATGAGAACACCTGGACACAGGGCGGGGAACATCACTCACTGGGGACTGTCTGGGGCTGGGGGGCTGGGGGAGGGATAGCATTAGGAGAAATACCTAATGTAAATGACGAGTCGATGGGTGCAGCAAGCCAACATGGCACATGTATACCTATGTAACAAGCCTGCACGTTCTGCACGTGTACCCCAGAACGTAAAGTATAATAATAATAAAAAAAGAGTGGTCTCTGGGCTATAAGTTCCCTGCAGAGGGTTGCATCATTTATTTTTTCACTGTCCCCCACCCTAATGTTTGTAGGCTCATATATTATGCCAGTTAATATGCAAAGACTTTGGGATTCAGTACTGAATAAAGCTTCTAGGATACGCTAGAACTTAAAGTATAATAAAAACATCTAAAAAAGAAAATATACAGTAAACTATTGTTAACTATAGTCACCCTACAGTGCTGTAGGATACCAGAACTTATTTCCTCCATCTAGCTGTACAGTAAACTATTGTTAACTATAGTCACCCTACAGTGCTGTAGGATACCAGAACTTATTTCCTCCATCTAGCTGTACAGTAAACTATTGTTAACTATAGTCACCCTACAGTGCTGTAGGGTACCAGAACTTATTTCCTCCATCTAGCTGTACAGTAAACTATTGTTAACTATAGTCACCCTACAGTGCTATAGGATGCCAGAACTTATTTCCTCCATCTAGCTGTACAGTAAACTATTGTTAACTATAGTCACCCTACGGTGCTGTAGGATACCAGAACTTATTATTTCCTCCATCTAGCTGTACAGTAAACTATTGTTAACTATAGTCACCCTACAGTGCTATAGGATACCAGAACTTATTTCCTCCATCTAGCTGTACAGTAAACTATTGTTAACTATAGTCACCCTACAGTGCTGTAGGATACCAGAACTTATTATTTCCTCCATCTAGCTGTAATTCTGTATCCTTTAACCAGCATTTCCCTCTCCCCTCTTCCCACCCTTCCCAGCCTCTAGTTACCACGACTCTGCTCTCTGCTTCTGAGATCAACTGTTTTAACTCCCACACATGAGTAAGAACACGCTACCTTTGTCTTTCTATGCCTGGCTTATCTCACTTATTTCCTCCAGGCTCATCCGTGTTGCCACAAATGACAGGATTTCATTCTTTTTAACGACTGGGTAATATTCCATTGTGTAAATGTACCACATTTTCCTTATCCATTCATCTGTACATAAACACTTAGGTTGCTTCCAAATCTTGGTTATTGTGAATAGTGCTGCAGTAAACACCAGGGTGAAGCTATCCTTTCAATATACTGATTGCCTTTCCTTTCGATCTATACCCAGAACTGGGCTGGCTGGGTCATAGGGTGGTTCTCTTTTTAGTTTTATGAGGAACCTATGTACTGTTTCCTGTAATGACCACACTCCTTCTTGTTGCCTTCAACAGTGCACAAGAGTCCCCTTTTCTCTGCATCCTAGCCACCACTTGTTATTTTTTGTCTTTTTGATAATGGCCTTTCTAAGTGGTGATAAAGAAGTGCTGGGAAGGGAAGGGTGTAGTCCCTTTAAATAATACAGAAGAGGGAAGGGAAGTGCTGGGCAGAGGAGGGCGTGGTCCCTGGCTAGGGCTCCACCCTCACAGACCTAGGTGAGGACGGGCACTTCCTGCCCAAATGTTGCATTTCCCAAGACCACCCTGGCCTGCCACGCCCCCATCCTGTGCCTATAAAACCCCCGAGACCCTAGCACGCAGACACACAGGCGTGAGCCACAGCACCTTGCTGAAGTACATCCACACCGTTGCGCAACCATCATCCCCATCCATCTCCAGATCTTTTTCATGATCCTAAACTGAAAATCTGTATGCATTAAATACCAATTCCCATTTTCTCTCCCCCAACCCCAGCCCCTGGAAGCCAATATTCTACTTTCTGTCTCTATGGGTTTGCCTATTCTATGCACTTCATATAAATAGAATCATACAATACTTGTCTTTTTGTGATTGCCTGATTTCAGTCTGCATAACATCTTCAAGTTTCACCCGTGTTGTAGAATGTGGCAATCATGATTTCATTCCTTGTAAGACATACATACTCTACTGTATGTCTACACTACAGTTTATGTCTCCACTCATCCATCTATGAACATTGGGTGGTTTATTCTTTTTGTTTGTTGTAAGTAATGCTGCTGTGCACATGGAGGTATAAATATCTGCTCAAGTATTTGCTTTGACTTCCCCTGGATATATACACAGAAGTAAAATGGCAAGATTACATGGCAAGGCTATGCTTCATTTTTTAAGAAGTCACCATACATCTGGGTAATTATGTACACCACGTTCGGTTTTGGCAGTCTCATAAGCAATATGAGGCCATGGCCATTCTCATTTTTATTCAGTACTGAATCCCTAAGTCTTTGCATATTAACTGGCATAATATATGAGCCTACAAACATTAGGGTGGGGGCAGTGACAAAATAGATGATGCAATCCTCTGCAGGGAACTTATAGCCCAGAGACCACTCTTTTTATTATTATTATTATTATTATACTGTAAGTTCTGGGATACATGTGCAGAACGTGCAGGTTTGTTACATAGGTATACAAGTGCCATGGCAATTTGCTGCACCCATCAACCCGTCGTCTACATTAGGTATTTCTCCTAATGCTATCCCTCCCCTACCCCCCTACCCAACCCCCTGACAGGCCCTGGTGTGTGAAGTTCCCTCTCTGTGTCCATGAGGACACATATATATCATATATATCACACCTGTAATCCCAGCACTTTGAAAGGCCGAGGCGGGTGGATAACTTGAGGACAGGAGTTTGAGACCAGCCTGGCCAACATGGCAAAACTTCATCTCTACTAAAAAAAAAAAATACAAAAACTGGCCAGATGCAGTGGCTCATGCCTGTAATCCCAGCACTTTGGGAGGCTGAAGTGGGCGGATCACAAGGTCAAGAGATTGGGACCATCCTGGCCAACATGGTGAAACCCCGTCTCTACTAAAAATACAAAAATTAGCTGGGCATGGTGGTGTGCACCTGGTAGTCCCAGCTACTCAGGAGGCTGAGGCAGGAGAATCGCTTGAATCCGGGAGGCAGAGGATGCAGTGAGCCGAGATCACGCCACTCCACTCCAGCCTGGCGACACAGCGAGACTCCATCTCAAAAAACAAGACAAAACAAAACAAGACTAGCTGGGTGTGGTGGTGCATACCTGTAATCCCATTTACTCGGCAGGCTGAGGCACAAGAATTGCTTGATCCTGGGAGGCGGGGGCTGCAGTGAGCTGAGATAGTGCCACTGCACTCCAGCCTGGGTGACAGAGAGATTCTGCCTCAAAACAAAGAATAAGATACTGTCATTTTCAGCCACATTAATGGACCTGGTGGTCATTATTCTAAGAGAACTGACACAGAAAAAGAAAGCTGAATACTATATGTTGTCACTTATAAGTTGGAAGTAAATACTGAATACATAATGGACACATAGGAGGTAATAACACACAGTGGGGCCTCCTTGGTAATCACACACAGGGGGACCTCCTTGAGGGTTGAGGAAGTGGGGAGGGTGAGGACAGAAAAACTACCTATTTGGTACTATGCTTACCACCTGGATAACAAAATAATGTGTACTTCAAACCCTTGTAACACACAATTTACTTATATAACAAACCTGCACATGTACCTCTGAACCTAAAAGTTAAAAAAACACATTTATTTGCCACATATTTAATTTAGCACCATATTTTCACTTTCCATAATGATTCTTCTGATGGCAACTTTTCATTTTCATGTCTAGACAAAAACAAAATAAATTAATAATGGTTTCTCAGTTTGGCATTATCTAAAGTAGGATGAGAGTAGAATTCTATTACACTTACGTAATGCCATGCAGTGAAAAATTATTATTTCTAGCCACATTCAATTCGAAAAAAATTTTAATTTCCTAAAATTTAGACATTTTCCAAAGAATATAAATTAGAAACTATCAAAACATAGTTTTTATTTTTGCATTTTTTACTTGTTTAATAATTAACAAGTTGTTAAATTACAAAGTAAAATAATTGGTGTTAAAAATTGAGAAATATTAGATTCTTGGAAATTACAGATTAGTTCAGAGAAATAGATACTTTAAAAACTCAAAGCCATTTCTTGGTGGATACACAATAATCCATAACAGTTTGGCCCAAGTGTTGTAGAGGATGGGGAGAAAAATAAGAGAATAAGAAAAGAATATGAATTTCATATATGGTGTGCACATGAACCTGTTGAAAAATTTTCTTGGAAAGAAAATATTTTATAACAACAACTAGAATATATTTAGCAAATTTGTATCAGAGATCAACAAACCAACAAACACAAGTTAGAGAAAGGGGCATGTTGCCCATTAAGTCATAGAGAAAACATACAAATACATTTAAATTATACCAAATAAATCATGTAAGCAGGAGTGAGAATGACACAATTATGGTAAATAATGGAGACGAGAAAATACCTGTGAGTCCTAGACCCGTTGTGATTACGGGCCCCATATGTCCTTCAGTAACTACAATCATTTATGAAAAAGTAAATACTGGTCTTTGTTTCTTTTATCGAATTCTTTGTTTTTCTTATGGAAACACAATTAGGAAATAATGAGGCTATATTTTACTTTCTGGGATGGTGACAGGAAATTCCTCACCTCACGCTCCCGTGGCTAGGATCTCAGCTGTCAGAACAGACCAAGCGTTCACCACTTAGGGGCTGAGAGGAGGAACAGTTTCAGAAAGCTTTGGCTTCAGAACCCAGTGAATCTGGAGCAGATGAAAAGGTTTCGGAACTCTGAAAGCGCTTTTAAATACGGTTAAGGATCAGAGTTGCATTTATTAGACATGAACACCCATATAGTCCCTGATTATTCCTGCTCTCTAAGCCTTGACAATTCTTAGTCACGTTTTGTAAAAGTGAGATTTATATTTTTCTAAATGAAAGATATAATTTACCTTCTTCACGCCGATCTGAGAAATTGTCTATAGACATATATTACTGGTGAAATCAAGTGCATTCGGCTCCCCGGAACCCATAAGAAAGGAGATGAAAGTGTACCGTTTTGCAATCATCACAGAAGGTTTTCAGAGACGTACAGCCATTGCCAACCAAAGTGCAGCATGCAGCCACCAGAGATATTTCAAATGTCCTAAGTACCAGTTGCCATTAGACAACAGGTGTGTGAACAGGAGCCAAGACCTGAACACACTCTTACCCCTCGTACAAAGAGGAGAGCTAAGACTATGAGGTTTGGTATATTTATTCAGACAGAGTCTTTCAGATGGGGCTATGACAGAGAAGGTAAACAGGAGATGCCAGGCAGCCCTGAGTGGGAAGGCTGGGGTGGTTCTGTGTCTCAGGAACTCTCAGAAAATACCCCTGCCCCATGTTTCTTTTCCATGTTCAGTTTTGACCTTAGGGGAAATAGACCGGGATGTTTACACCATATATATATATATATATATATATATATATATACACACACATATATGTTGCAACAAATATTCTACATCTCTAAGAATATGGCTCTCTAACTGAAAGAAGGTCCACTTACCAAATGCAGTTTCTTGCTGGGAAAGCAACTGCCATAGTCACAGTCTAAGCACCTCCACAAAAGGGGGCATCTTAACCCTGAGATAAAGGCTTAAGACTACCATGAGATCCTTTTCTTGCCGGGAAGTGATTATCATTTCATCTGCAAGTACAGTGACAGTGTTTGCATAGGGATTTCAGTTGATCTAGAAAAACATCCGTGAAATGTTCAAATTACTGAAAGCTATTCGTAGCTATTAGTTTTAGTCGACTGAGAAAGTTGGAGCAAGAAAGAGAGAGATGGAAAGAAACAGAACAATAGAGAGACAGAGACAGGAAGAGACAGAGAAACTTAGAGAGGAAATCATATCTGGGAAGCTTGAAGTAGACTAGGTAGAGACGGCATTGCAGCCAAGGACATTGAGATCTAACTGAGAGAAGGAAAGTAAGGATAAGGCTGGGGTTTGTTTCTTGCCAACCTTAAGGTTTTGCCTCCCCCAAGAATATTTTTCCATTCTGAGGACTTTGCACTAAAGGCAGCCTGGAAGGGAGAAAAAAAGAGAGAATCAAGTAGAAATCATTTGCTCCAGTGTTAAAAATAAACTTGGAAGAAGTGGAGACACTTTTATTCACTGTTTTCATGGGCACACATTAAGTATCTAATGGGTCAAACGTGATTCTTGGTGTATAAGATGTATCAGAAAAAAGACAGAAAGACTTCTAAAAAAGTGTCTGTATTGAATCAATATTATAGTTGAGAAAGATGGATATTAGACAACAACAAAAATTAATAGAAAATCCAATATGTTATAGGATGATACATGTCTTGTGAGCAAAATAACAATAAAGTAATAGCAGAGAGCTCCCCTGAGCAAGAAGAAATTCTTCCAGCAGATTGTCTTTGGATTTTTTAGTTTGCTACAACTCTTTCCTGAGTCTCCAGGATACTCTACTGTCCTGCAGATTTTGGACTCACCAAGCTCCTACAATCACATGAGCCAATTCCTAGGTAAATGAATAGATAAACAAATAAATAGATAGATAGATAAATAGATAGATACATAGATACATGGATAGATACATAGATAGATACATAGATACACAGATAGACACATAAATAAACATTCTGCTGGTTCAATTTCTCTGGAGAACCCTTGAAAAAAAAATCATTTTGGTTCCAGGGATGATTCCAAAGGAACAGAATTTTTAAGGATGAGTTTTCTGAATTGGATCCAAAGTTTCTGAAATCGGCTTTCTAATTTGATTAGATTTAAAAACACTAATGACTCCATTTCCAGTAGTGTTGATAGTGCATAACATGATGTGGCCATAGGGATACACCAAATGTCATCATTGGAAACGCCTAACAAACATTTATAAGAATCTGAGTGGGCCGGGTGCGGTGGCTCACCCCTGTAATCCCAGCACTTTGGGACGCCGAGGCGGGTGGATCACGAGGTCAGGAGATCGAGACCATCCTAGCTAGCACGGTGAAACCCCATCTTTCCTAAAAAAAAAAAAAATACAAAAAAATTAGCCAGGTGTGGTGGTGGGCGCCTGTAGTCCCAGCTACTTGGGAGGCTGAGGCAGGAGAATGGCATGAACCTGGGAGGCGGAGCTTGCAGTGAGCGGAGACCATGCCACTGCACTCCAGCCTGGGCGACAGAGCAAGACTCCGTCTCAAAAAAAAAAAAAAAGAATCTGAGTGATCATGTACATAATACTTTTGAATGTTTTTGAAAACTAATGAGCATAATGAGATTGGCTGGGTTGTCACTGGACAAAGTTGGGGAAAGAAGAGGATGAATTCAAAGATTTGAATTTTCAGTTCAAGTGCAAACATAAATGAGCTAAGACTTCTATATCTGCCCTAAAAGATACTCATCATTTGTAGCCACAGGGCTGAGGCCTTTGAAAAGTCAAACCTGGGGCCAGGTGCGGTGGCTCACGCCTGTAATCCTAGCACTTCGGGAGGCCGAGGTGGGCAGATCATGTGAGGTCAGGAGTTCGTGACCAGTCTGGCCAACTTGGCGAAATCCCGTCTCTACTAGAAATACAAAAATTAGCCAGGTGTGGTGGCTGGTGCCTGTAATCCCAGCTACTCAAGAGGCTGAGGCAGGAGAATTGCTTGAACTCAGGAGGTGGAGGTTGCAGTGAGTCGAGATCGTGCCATTGCATTCCAGCCTGGGGGACAAGGGCAAGACTCTGTCTCAAAAAAAAAAAAAAAGAAAAAGAAAAAGCAAACCCAGAAACTCACCCTTCAAGTGGCTAAATTACAATACAAATGGAATTCCCAGCCTCAAAGGGTGTCTACTTTAAGGGTATTGATTCGGAAGGTGTGGAATCTTGACATTTGGAATAGGGATGTGTGAAAGACACTGATGAAGGTAAGGACAGTGAGTTCCTTAATCATGCTCTTTGACAATGGAAGCATTCTCTCCCCGTGCATCTGAGGAGATTAACCCTGCACTGTCTGAGGAAACAATAGTGGCCTCCGTGGAGGCAGTTGCCATGCAAGACAGTGCTAATTTTCCTCAGGATCCGCCCCCACTACCCATCTTTGCTTCTAAGCCATAGGTTCAATGTGTGATCCATGGGGAAATGTGCTACACTCCAAAGTGACTACTAAGTTCTTCTGATTTATACACCTAGAAATCTAGGGAACATGTGTGCGAATGGACATTAAGGGTGTTGGATAATGGTGAAAGGAAGATAAAGTTGAGCCAGGCCAATGTTATTGATATGGACCTACTAAGGAGAGATCCTGCATTTAATGTTGCATCTCAGTGAGCTAGACATGGCTCTAACAGTTTGTCTGGTTCATTGGCTAAAACATGGAACAAACGTTGGCCCACAGTAAGAGGGGCCATATTGTATTCATAATGCACATTCCTAGAGAAATAAACAGATAGCTAGATAGACAGAGGATAGGTATATACATAAATAAACATCTGATTGGTTCCATTTCTCTGAAGAAAACTCTTGCAAAAACAGATTTTAGTCTAAGGGATAATCGCACTCAAACTTTATTGCACTCATAATATACACTCATGAGCAGCCAAGGAAACTCAGTATTCTGTATGACGAAGGAAGTTCCAGGATGCTTCCCTCTTGGCTTCCTGTCTGCCTACCCTGGTGTAGAGTACAAAAATAATTGCCTATTTAGATAGCAACATTCCATGGTCCAGCTAGACGTCATCAACCTCTTGAGCTTCCCCACATCCTGTTCAATTTTGGCTCCTATTCAAGGTCTCCAACAGACCTGGCCCTGTATCTAGACACCATTCCTATTTCCTCTATCAGGCCCCAGCCCCAGGAGAGTGGCTCCTGTGGTCGCTGTCCACAGCACTGACTGGGATGTTGCCATGAACTCTAGTTTCAGCACCATGGTCAGAGTCCAGGAAGCAACAAGGCTTCCACTGTTTTCTGGTGTGTTAGTTGATACATTTGTATGAGCTGGGCCCCCTCTTAGAGACTCCTAAATAGAGATTCCCTGAAGGTGTCTAATAAATATTTAGCGAATGCATCAGAATAAATTGGAAAAAGACACATCCACTCCATGGATTCTGAATAGGAATGGAATTCAGAAGCTTATGATGTTAGCCGCTCACCCAGCAGGACAACCACTAGCACGGCCCAGGGTGGCATTTAGAGTTGGCTCTTCCTCATCCACCTCAGGTCATCTCTTTCCAGACCATGTTCAGGAAACCAGTTTATAGGGTATTGACTAAAAAGCAACAGGCTTGGGGCCAGACACAGTGGCTGACGCCTGTAATCCCAGCACTTTGGGAGGCTGAGGAGGGATGATCATGAGGTCAGGAGATGGAGACCATCCTGGCTAATATAGTGAAACCCTGTCTCCACCAAAAATACAAAAAAAAAAAAAAAAAGAAAATTAGCCAGTCGTGGTGGCGGGTGCCTGTAGTCCCAGCTACTTGGGAGGCTGAGGCAGGAGAATGGTATGAACCCAGGAAGCAGAGCTTGCAGAGAGCTGAGATCACGTGACTGCACTCCAGCCTGGGCAACAGAGTAAGACTCGGTCTCAAAAAAAAAAAAAAAAGCAACAGGCTTGGAGTTACATCACAGTACTTTCAAAACCTACATCTGCCTCTTGCTATCTCTGTCTCCTTGGGAAAGTCACTTTGCCTCTCTGAGGCTCACTTTGCTTTTCTATAAAATTGCAATAATAAAAATGTCTTCTTTGTAAGGATATTTGGTGGGTTGACAATCAGAGATTATTATATTCTACCTCTCATAGGAAGCAATCAGTTGAACTAACAGGGAAGACTCTGGAGCCAGGAAGCCTGAGATTTGATCACAGCTCTGCCCCTTTTAACTTCGTGAGTTAGGGAAAGTTACCCACATTGCTATTGTGTCATATATAAACTTAGTATAGTGCTAGTATCTACCTTACATGGTTTTGGTGGGGAACTACATAGTTAATACATGTGATGTACAAAGTGAAATTCTACCATGTTCTTAGCAGTCATTCAATAATGTGGGCTATTTTTTACTATGATTATTATTTTCATTATATGCCTAGAGATAACCTGATGAACTATGCTCAGTAAATGACAGCTGCTTTTATGAAGAATTGCTAGAATTGCTGTGAAGGTCCTTAGGCATCTGACACATTCCCTGGTTTATGTTCTAACATTCTAGACTCTCCATCTGAGGTTTATAGACTCTTTATCAGCCCTGAGGGATGCAGGTATTTGTTTATTACTAGATTCATGCAGAAAACATCCCCTGGGTCTCTGGCGTGCCATATCCCGTGCAGGAAATGGGTGATGTGAAAGATGGATATTAGAAGCTTAGAATATCTTAGCTTAGTTTAGATAGCTAAGCTTCTAAGCTTAGAAGATTAGAAGATAGCTTAGAAGACTATAGCTTAGGTAGCTTAATGGCTTAGAATCTTCTAAACTTATTAGAAGATAGTTTGGAAGCTTATCTAGCTTAGATAGTTTAGAAGAAGCTTAGCTATCTTCTTAGCTTAGCTTAGAAGAAGCTTAGCTATCTTCTTAGCTTAGCTTAGAAGAAGCTTAGCTATCTTCTTAGCTTAGCTTAGAAGATAGCTTAGAAAATAGCTGCATTTTTTAATAAATAGCTTAGAAGGTATATAAGCTCTGGGAAACTTTGTAATTTTGAGTTGGTCTGGCAATGTTTTCCAGGCCTTCTCCCTGTAACCGGTAACAGAAATAAAAACTCTCTCCCTCCCCAGTTCATCCGCATCTCATTATTGGGCCATGAGAAATAGCAGCCCCACCCTCAGTTTGGTCTGGGAACACTTTGGGGGTAAGATTAGGACTGTAACCCGCAAGTGTTCTTGGGGCAAACAGGGTCACTCTCTGTCAAAACATCTGAGTCATTTCTCCTTCCTTACTACCTCTTTTCTTCCCTGCTCACAGCCCTCAGCTGATACCATGGATTCTGTCTCCATGCTTTGGGCAAGAGTGATCCCCGGAGGAAATGAACAGGTGTTAATGTAAGACATGAGGGTGGAATTTACTGATGGTTGACCTTGATCATGTAACACCTCTTTCCCATTTTCCTCCTTATAGAAGAAGATAATGACCCATATCTCAGGGTTGGTTTGAGGATGAGTATTGCCTGAGACATGTAAGGCTCTCAATCTCGTGTAATCTCTTTTACCAGATCCAGACACGTGGTGTAAGAGCCTTTATGTTCCAAAGGTAAGTCAGGAACAATCCGTCATCACGGGTGGAATGGTAAAGTGTCAGAAAAAGTTACAGACTGCAGGAATCCTGGAGCTCATCCCGAATTCTGTACTCAGCCACATTAGAATTTAAGATGTAAGGTGAAAAGATCAGCTTCATGTCTGAACACTGTGGGACTTAGGACGTCTCTCACTTATTAGGAATCTTACCTCACATTAAAAAAAAAAAAACACTGGGTCATGTTGCAACTTTTTAAGATAAAAGAAATCTGCATAGAACCATGCTCTTTTTTCTTAAATTTCCATTCACTGAAGTAAAATACAGATAATGTAAAATTGACCCTTTAAAAGTATACAACTCTAGGCCGGGCGCAGTGGCTCACGCCTATAATCCCAGCACTTTGGGGGGCCGAGGCGGGTGGATCACCTGAGGTCAGGAGTTCAAGACCAGCCTGGCCAACATGGTGAAACTCCGTCTCTACTAAAAATACAGAAAAATTAGACAGGTGTTGTGGTGGCCACCTGCAATCCCAGCTACTTGGGGGGCTGAGGCAGGAAAATCGCTTGAAACTGAGAGGCGGAAGTTGCAGAGACGCGAGAATACACCACTGCACTCCAGCCTGGGCAATAAAAGTGAAACTCCGTCTCAAAAAAAAAATACATATATATATATATATACAACTCTGTGGCATTTAGTAGATTTTCATTGCAGCAACTGCCACCTCTAGTTCCCAAAGATTTTCATCACCCCAAAAGGAACCCCGTTCCACGGAGCAGTCCCTCTCCTCTCCCTACCCCTGCTCAGCCCCAGGCAACCATCAATCTGCTTTCTGTCTCTGTGGATTTCCAGCTGCTGGACATTTTATATAAATGTAATCATATAGTATGTGACCTTTGGATCTGGCTTCTTTCACTTAGCTTCATATTTTGAATCTCCAAATTGCAGCATGCATCAGTACTTCATTTTTATGGATGAGTAAATTTCTAACATATGGATGCAACACGTTGGTTGGTGGACATTTGTGATACTTTTATCTTTTTATTGTGAATAATGCTTCTATAAACACTTGGGCACAAGTGTTTGGATATTGTCCAATGAGATAAGTCTCTTATCATTTCAGGAGATTTATTTGCCAAAGTTAAAGATGTGCCTGGGAGACAGATCTATGCCTTTCTCTGAAGATGATTTTGAGGGATCCAAATTTAAAGGGTAAAGGGCGGGATATTGAGAAGCACACAATTTTCATGTAAGAGGAGGGTAAGGAAAAATAGTTACGCATGCCTTTGTCTAGCTCAGTGAATCTGTATTTTTTTTAAAAATAGTCATTCATGCCTTTGTCTGGTTCAGTGAATCTGCACTTTTTACATCAGACGACAAAAACAAATGGGGCAGAGGAAAATATGCAGTGAATCTGCATTTTACATAAGATAAACATAGACAAAATTGGGTGGGGGAATGATCAGATATGCATTTGTGTCTGATGGGCTGGGGAGACTGTACCTGGAAAGATAAGTTATCAATATACACTGGAAAGATAAGCTATCAATATACACTGGAAAGATAAGCTATCAATATACATTGGAAAGATAAGCTATCAATATACACTGGAAAGATAAGCTATCAATATACACTGGAAAGATAAGCTATCAATATACACTGGAAAGATAAGCTATCAACATACACTGGAAAGATAAGCTATCAGTATACACTGGAAAGATAAGCTATCAGTATGCACTGGAAAGATAAGCTATCAGTATACACTGGAAAGATAAGCTATCAGTATACATTGGAAAGATAAGCTATCATACACTGGAAAGATAAGATATCAATATACACTGGAAAGATAAGCTATCAGTATACACTGGAAAGATAAGCTATCAATATACATTGGAAAGATAAGCTATCAATTTACATTGCCATGGTGAAATTTTAACAGCTCACTAGGAATCTTCTTGTGGGCAAAACGTGGGGGAGGCATGTAGCTTTTCACCTTGTAGCCATCTTATTCACGAACCAAAATGGAGAGGCAGGTTTGTGTGACCCAGTCCCCAGCTTGACTTTCCCCCTTAGCTAAATGAGTGTGGGGTCCCAAAATTTAATTTCCTTTCACAATATCTACTATCAGTCTTTTTTTTTATTGTGGTAGGAAGAGTTAATTCTCCTACCAATTTTTAACTTCATGATGCAGTATTGTTAACTAAAGACAAAATGTTGTAGGGTACATTGCAAACTTCATTCGTCTTGTATAACCTAAACCTTTAGTCACATACCTAGAAGTGAAATTTCTAGATCATAGAGTAATTCTAGGTTTATTTTTTATTTTATTTTATATTATTATTTTATTTTATTTTATATTCAAAAGGTACATGTGCTTGTTTGGTGTATGTATGTGTGTGTGTGTATATATATATATAAATAGATAGATAGATTTTTTTTTTTTTGAGATGGAGTTTCACTCTTGTTGCTCAGGCTGGAGTGCAGTGGTGCGATCTCTGCTCACCGCAACCTCCACCTTCCAGGTTTAAGCAATTCTCCTGCCTCAGCCTCCCGAGTAGCTGGAATTACAGGCATGCACCACCATGCCCAGCTAATTTTGTATTTTTAGTAGAGATGGGGTTTCTGCACATTGACCAGGCAGGTCTCGAACTCCTGACCTCAGGTGATCCCCCCCATCTCTGCCTCCCAAAGTGCTGGGATTACAGGCGTGAGCCACCGCACCCAGCCCTAATATATTTTTTTAACCTCTTGCCCTCCTCCCACCCTTCCCCCCTTTTGGGTTTCCCTGTGTTTATCTCCATCTTTATGTCCATGAGTGCCTATTGTGTAGCTCCCACTTGTAAGTGAGATCATGCAGTGTTTGGTCTTCTGATTCTGAGTTAGTTCACGTAGGATCATGGCCTCCAGCTCCATCCATGTTCCTGCAAAGGACATGATTTCACTATTTTTTATGGCTATGCTGTATTCTGGGCTATATATTTACCACTTTTACTTTATCCATGCCACGATGGATGGACATCTAGGATGGTTCCATGACTTTGCTATTGTGAATAGCACCACGGTGAACATACGAGTGCGTGTGTCTTTTTTAATATAATTATTTCTTTTACAGTAGTGGGATTGCTGGGTCAAACGGCAGTTCTGTATTTAGTTCTTTGAGAAACCTCTATGCTGTTTTCCATAGAAGTTGAGCTAATTTACCACCAACAGCATATAAGCCTTCCTAGGTTCATCTTTTAAGGAACTGTCAAACCGCTTTTTTCTTTTTCTTCTTTCTCTCTTTTTCTTTCTTTCTTTCTTTTCTTTCCTCTCTCTCTCTCCCCCTCCGTCCCTCCCTCCCTCCCTCCCTCTCTCTCTCTCTCTCTCTCTTTCTTTCTTTCTTTTTGATGGAGTCTGGCTCTGTCACCCAGGCTGGAGTGCAGCGGCACGATCTCGGCTCACTGCAACCTCTGCTCCTGGGTTCAAGCTATTCTGCCTCAGCCTCCTGAGTAGCTGGGATTACAGGCACCTGCACCGTGCCCAGATAATTTTTGCACTTTCAGTAGAGAAGGGGTTTTGCCATTTTGGCCAGGCCGGTCTCAAACTCCTGACCTGAGGTGATCCTCCTGCCTCGGCCTCCCAAAGTGCTGGGATTACAAACGTGAACCACCACGCCCGGCCTCCAAACCACTTTTCACAGTCACCGAAAAATTTCACAATCATGCCAGCAGTGCGTGAAGGTTCTCTTTCCGCACACCCTTCCTGACATTTGTTATTTTTCAGAATATGGCCAATCCAGTGTTTGAAGTAGTGTCTCACTGTGGATTCCTATGAATTTTTATAATAAGTAATGGTTTGGGTGTCTTTTGATGTGCTCACATTTATTCCTATATCTTGGGAGGATGTTGATAGAGGGGTCCAAAATTCCAGTTTGACAGAATAACTTCCAGATCTATGCTACAACATGGTGACTATAGTTAATAACGATATATTCTATTCTTGAAAATCACTGTGAGAGTAGATTTAAGAGTTCTCACCACAAACAGTAGTATGTGAACTGATGTGTATGTTTATTAGATCGATTTAGCCAACCCACAAATAGGAATGTTGCAATACCACATGTTGTATACAGTAAAAATATACAATTTAGGGAAACTTTTTTTTTTTTTTTTGAGACGGAGTCTCTCTTTGTCGCCCAGGCTGGAGTGCAATGGCACAATCTTGGCTCACTGCAAGCTCCGCCTCAATTTAGGGAAACATTTTAAAAGCTGTGTTACTAACATGAAGTTCTACATTCACACGACTAATGCCAGCTTCAATGGACACGGGTTGGAGGTTTCTTACCTGAGACCATGAGCTCCAGTGATATGGCTTTGGTGACTAGGGTTTTTGGTCTCATGCCAGTTTAGATAAAACAATAAGGACACACGTGGAGTGGTTTTAAGGAGCAAAAAGTTTAATAGGCAAGAAAGAAGAAAGAAAGAAGAAAAGAGCTCCTCTGTACAGAGCCAAGGGAGGGGAGCTTGGAACAAAGAAGAACCCCGTGTGTGGTGGAAAAGTGGTTGCTTATATTGGGAGGCTGGAGGAGGCAAGTGTCTGGTTTGCATAGGGCCCAGGGGATTGGTTAGGCCAGGTGTGTCATTTACATAGCCCTCGAAAAACTTGTTCCTCCCACCTTAGCCTTTTAATATGCAAATGTGGGCCACCATGATGCTTTGTGTTATTTGGAGGTGGCCATCACGCTTGGCACAGGTGGTGATAAGAAGATGGCAGAAATCACCATATTGCATGAACCCATGTTTTAATGGCCAGCATTTGAATTTTAAAGCTTGCCGGCCAGGCTCTTTAAGACAGCTTCTCTGTTAGAAAAGAGATGGTTCAGGGGTTGTTTCTTATTACAGGAAAATTTCCACCAAGAACCTTTACCCTTACTATGTGCCTAAAATAATTCCTTAATAACTGCTGTATTATTCCTCCCCTTAAAGAGAGGCAAAGCTAACTGCTGTTAGTGCGTGTTGGATCATGTTTCTTTCTGGCTACTTCCTGCTGAAAAGGGGTGTTGTGTGGGGGAACAGCAGTTGGGCCTTTTTCTGAGGTTGATTTAAGGTTTCTCAAAAGAATGGCGTGTCCATGTGTGGCTTTGCTTGCAGCACCATTTGGAGTTTAATTACTTTTAGGCAAAAAGAGAGAAATTTTACAAGAAGGTTTAAAATATAGGGTTAGAATATGAGTATTAAGATTACCACCATTGGGGCTGGGTGTGGTGGTTCATGTCTGTAATCCCAGCACTTTGGGAGGCCAACGCGGGCAGATCACCTGAGGACAGGAATTCAAGACCAGCCTGGCCAGCATGGTGAAACCTCATCTCTACTAAAAATACAAAAATTAGCCGGGCATGATGGTGAGTTCCTGTAATCCCAGCAACTTGGGAGGTTGAGGCAGGAGAATCACTTGAACCCGGGAGGCGGAGGTTGCAGTGAGCTGAGGTTGTGCCACTGCATTCCAGCCTGGGCAACAGAGCAAGACTCTGTTTCAAAAAAAAAAAAAAATACCATCGTTAGTGGCAGTCCTACAGACCCTAAGTGACAGTGGAGTTTGACACCTGTTGTTGTATCAATGGATTGCAATACAGGTTTTCCTCCACTAGATGTCGGTGTACATTACCAGGAACGTTACTGTAAAAGTAACTTTTTCCTAGAGAAAAGCATATGTTTCCTCCTTAACGTGCCAGTAGAGAATAACTTTAGGCTTAGGCCATTTTTACTACTTGCAGTATGATTGGGAGAAATACATTATTGGGTGGCTAAAATAACTTTAGCGTTAATTTTGACTTTTTTTAATTATTAAATTTTTTATGACTTTCACAGACTCTCTTACAACACACTTAAACTTTTAGACTTGTCCTAAACATTCTTCCTTTAAACAACCAGTTATTTTCTTTTAGGACAAGTATTCACCATACAAAATCCTTTTTTATGTAAATGTTTTTATAACCTTTTTATAGCTTACAGTGCATTATATCACCAACCTTTGGTAAAAAGTTTTATTACACTTAATGCTAGTAAAACTTTAATGCTTGCTTTTTATTCGTTACTATTACTTCTGCTATAAGCAAAACAACCTTGATTAAATTTTTTCTGCAATTATTAATTTTGTTATAAGGATGATAATCAGGCAAAATATTACCACAATTACAATTTTACAACCAGAATTCTACATTGTGGGTGCCACAGAGTATAGTTTCATTGCAAATAGCAGTGTGACTACAACAATTTTCACAAGAATGGCTTTTTTTTTTTTCTGGCCAGTAATTTTTGTTTAAAACTTTACTTGCTGGCCGGGTGTGGTGGCTCACACCTGTAATCCCAGCACTTTGGGAGGCCCAGGCGGGTGGATCACGAGGTCAGGAGATCGAGACCATCCTGGCTAACATGGTGAAACCCCGTCTCTCTAAAAATACACAAAATGAGCCAGGCGTGGTGGCGGGCGCCTGTAGTCCCAGCTACTCGGGAGGCTGAGGCAGGAGAATGGTGTGAACTCGGGAGGCGGAGCTTGCAGTGAGCTGAGATTGCACCACTGCACTCCAGGCTGGGCAACAGAGCGAGACTCTGTCTCAAAAAAAAAAAAAAAAAAAAAAAAAAAAAACTTGCCAAGATATAACATTTTCCTTTGGGGATTCAGAAAGTTACAAATGTGATTTTATGAATATTTAAATTTTGCTGCAAATAAGTGTTAAAAAGAAGTTTTAATATTTGGCCGTGAACTTTGTGAGAAAAGGTTAGAAATAATAAAACATATTTGGTGGGTAGGAGTGGGACTGAGTAAGATGTGTAGCCCTTACTTAGTTACTTATCTTCTATGATTTTTAGCTTAAGATCTTCTATTTTTTTACATTAATATTTAGCTTTTTTTTTTTTTTTTTTTTTTTTTTTTTTTTTTTTTTTTTTACTGTTAGGGGTTGGTTTTTTAGCTTTTTGGCTTTGACTTGAGTGTGATGCATGTAGAAGTTGATTCCTGTAACTTTTACTGCCGAGGAGGTTGAAAGACGAACAGTGTAGGGCCCTTTTTAGCTTGGCTTAGGGAAGGAGACAGAGATGAGAGTTCTTACTAATACTAAATTTCCTGAGTTAAATAAAGGTGGTTTTATTTCCTAGGGCTGGGCTTCTGCTATTGTGTCAATTTTTGTTGGAAGTGAGCTAGAGAGGTTACGTGGTTAACCATTCTAGAGGTTTCCCGTCTGAAAACAATGTTTGAGCCCATTGATAAGTTTTATTTTTTCCTGAGTGAAAAGCTTAGGACTTCAAGAACTTTCTGTTGGCTGGAGGCTGACCAATAAATTTGCCATCCTGACTGTAGCCATCCTGAGGGCTGAAAAGTATGCCCTTGAGAAGTGGCTTATTCTATTTTTTCAGGGGAATACTGAGGTGTGATTTCTCTTATGGAGCCTTTTTAGATTAGAAGGGGCTTGAAGTGCATTAAGGCCTTGAAGCTTTTATGCCTTTGACTTAGCTGCCCGATTGGCTAACTTATTTCCTTTGGCTACCTTATTGTTTATTCTTTGATGTTTCTTACAATGCATCCCTGCTACTTTTTGTGGAAGAAAAAATAAGAATAACTTGCTAATTTTTTGGTGATTTTTTATAGGAGATTTATTAGCAGTAAGAACATGTTTTTTTGTTTTAAATGGCAGCATGAGCATGGAGAACCAAGAAAGCATACTTGGAGTTAGTGTAAATGTTAGCTGCCTTTTCCTTGCTTAATTTAAGTGCTTTTTAAAGAGCTATTAACTCAGCTAATTGAGTGTTTGTGCCTGGAGAGAGTGACTACTGCTTATTCTGCCTTATTTACTTTTTGCTTTACGGGCTGTTTACCAGCTAAGAGCTCCCCCTAGAGGACAGTGATTCTGCTACATTATGTGGGCTGTAAACAGTTAAATTATTTTTATTTTCTAGGGTTAACTTGCAGGCTTTTCTGACTAGTAGAGCTATCATGACAATGGCTTCAATGGCTTGAAAGCATGTTTTTTTGATTTTTTGTTTGTTTGTTTGTTTGTTTTAGATGGAGTTTCACTCTTGTTGCCCAGGCTGGAGTGCAATAGAGCGATCTCGGCTCACTGCAACCTCTGCCTCTTGGGTTCATGCAATTCTCCTGCCTCAGCCTCCCAAGTAGCTTGGATTACAGGCATGTGCCACCACACCTGGCTAATTTTTTGTATTTTTAGTAGAGATGAGGTTTCTCCATGTTGGCCAGACTGGTCTTGAACTCCCAACCTCAGGTGATCCACCCACGTCAGTCTCCCAAAGTGCTGGGATTACAGGCGTGAGCCACCGTGCCTGACCGAAAGCATGTTTTAACTAAGATTGAGAAAATATTGGATTAGACTTTTTCCTAAGATGCCCCTTACGGTTGTGATGAAGGAAGAAGGGAGGCCTGGATTAGAGAATAGAAAAGAGAGAGAGACTAGCTTTAGTGTTTAGAAGGAGGTCTACTTTCCTTCCTTTAATTTCCAGAATTATCCAGGGCTCTTGTGCTATAATGGCAGTTTGAGCTACTGGAGCCTAGGTTCAAGCACCAGGATCCATCAGTTTTGCTGGACCATCTGTGAGACTGGTTTTGAACTCAGTGACCTCCATGTCTGGGGGCAGTTCTGTTTTCAGTGGTTTTTGCCACAGGCTGGACAGAGTGGAGGTTGCTTCATTTTGCTGACTGGACATTCTGGCCTGCTACACTAATAGCAACTAGAGGATGCATCTTGGTGATCTGGGACTTTGCGAGCCTTCAAAGCTGCTGCTAGAGACTTTGTCCTTCTCCTGAGCTTTTTTTCTTTCTTTTGGGACTCCTCCTGGTCCATATTATAAAAGACCAAAGTGGCCACCTTCAGGAGGTTTTTTAAGGTGCTATTTGGTCCTGTAGCTTTCTTTTGTAGTTTTTTTTTTTTTTTTTAATATTGGGAGCTGCCTGTGTAATAAATTTGTCCCTCAGGATGAGCTGTTACTTAACTGGATTAGAGAATAAAAAGATATACTTTTTTAGTGCCTCTTTTAGCCTTTTTATAAAGGCTACAAGATTTTTATTTGGCTTTTGTTCCATTATAGACAGTTTAGAGTAATTGAGAGGTTTGGCCCTGGTTTTCTGTAGGCCTTTAAAAATGCATATTAAAAAGGGCTTTTTCATTCATTTGGGTCACCATGATGTTTTGAATACATGGTGTTGTCTGGAGGTGGCCATCACACTTGGCACAGGTGGTAACAAAGAGAAGACAGTAGGAATCACCATATTGAGTGAACCCAGTTTTTAATGGTTGGCATTTGCACATTAAAGCTTGCTGGCCGGGCCATTTAAGCTGTCATTTCTGTTAGAAAAGAGATGGTTCAGGGATTGTTCCTTATTACTGGAAAATTTCCACCAAGAACCTTTACCCTTACTATCTGCCTAAAACAATTTCTTAGTAACTCCTGTATTACCAGGAGGTCACTGGGGGAACAACAGCTTGGGGTAAACACTCTATGAGGCATAGCACCTGTAGGTCCCCGCATGGGCTGAGGTCGCAGGACTCATGGAGAATTCAACCTCTACCACGGAGTAGGGTACTTTGATATTAGATACGAGGGTGGGGTCTTGTCAGCTGCATCCTCCTCAGATAGAAGGAAAGTGTCTGTCCACCCAGCTTTGCATCTGACACAGCAGGGCCATGTTCTCTCCTGAGACCACAGTGGGGCCTGGTTGCACCAAGAGGGAGGCTGTCTCACGGATCTGTCCTGGAGAGAAGAAGGATGGGTGAGGAGCCGCCCCACCTTGTTCTGAGCTGAGACTTCCCCAGGCCTCTCTCTGGGACCCTCAGTATCTCTGTCTCTGTTTTCTCTGAGTTTCCCCGTCCCCGCCCAATCCATCCTCTCTCTCTCTCTGCCTCTCCCTCCCTTGAGACCCCCACCCCTCATCCCAACCATCACCACCTAGGCTCCCCTGGCAGGGCCTGTACAGAGCCTGGGTCCCTAACTGAACCCGCTGGGCTTCTCACCTGCGATCAGGATGTCCAGGGGGGTCACTGGGGGCTGACCACCTAGAGGAGAGGTTGTGTCCACTGAACATCTGTACTGGCCCCCATGGGAGATGCTCACAGGGCCTAAGGGGAAGTCATCTTGAGAGAACTTCTGGCCAGAACTCTGGGGAAGGTGATGTATCTTTTTCTTGGACAGAGAGAATATTTTGCAGCCAACATCAGAGCAACACAGGAGGGTCAACCTCTCTCCATGGGCCATGACAGGACCCTGTGGAGTCAAATGGGAGGGCTCCCTAGGCACACCTGGAGTGTGCGAGGAGCTGGGACTCAGAGGGCTGGTTCCTTCCAAGCCTCTTCTTTCACCAGGTTGCCTCCAGGTATGGTCAGAATCTAGTGAGCTGCTGGAGCTCTTGGTCTCAGGTGCTAAAGTCTGCTAAACCAGACTGGTAAACCTCCACCTGTGGCTAGAAGTCATGGGGTCTGCCAGGATCAGGGCTTGGAACTGTCCATCGGACTGTTTTTCGGGGTCCAGGAGACAGAATAGCTTGTGTTCACCTTCCACGGTCAGAATGAACCTGTCAAATCCCAGCCGTGAAGGACATAATGGTGTCACCTTACCTCCTGAGGTCAGGACAGGGCTGGGCTGAGCTGAGAGGGTGGATTTGCTGTAGAATCCTAGGACAGAAGGAAGCACCATGTTAAATGGGGCTCACACCTTCCACATCATACCCCAGGGCTGGGCTGTGAGAAGGGAGACACCCCCTGAGAGCTGAACCCCTTCCTGAATGCAGTGCCTGGGGCTGGGATCCCTGAGTGTCCTCTCATCTGTCACCACCAGTTCCAGGCGGTCACTGGGTTCTGACAAGCCTGCAGGGCTGAGAAAGTGACAGCGATATCACTGTGCATAGTGCAGAAATGCAGGGAAATAGGGGAAGAAAACATAACTCCTCCACTGACCCTGGGTCGTGGGTATTCTTTCTACCAAACAATTCTCTGCTTGGGCTTCCCTTTTTTTGTTACTATTTTCTAACAGTCTCCTCCACATCTCCCTGGATACAGCACTTGATTCATTTCTGCCTCCTCAGTGCCCCTTGTCTAGTTCTCAGAACCTTCCTCCTCCTCTTTCCATGGTCCTGCCCTGAAGCCTTAGGGACATTTGGTGGGTTAGCACTCCAACTTTGAAAGGAAAGCTAATCTTTATTTAAATAATCATCTGTCATCCACTGTCTGTGGCCAGGACTTAGCAGCAAATACATCTGGTGCCTTCCTCAGTTGGACCCTTTCCAATGAGGCTGACTGAGGGCTGAGCACACAAGTGCATGAGAAGTGCTAATAGTTCAGCCAGAGTGCAATTAGAACCTGCCCTTTCTGTAGGAGGAGGATGGAAGAATCCTTGCTCAAAAGTATATGCTCTCACTTCTTCTATTCAGCATAGTAATAGAAGTCCTAGACACAGCAATTAGGCAATAAAAATACACAAAAGCACCCAAATCAGATAAAAAGTGATATTGTCTCTGTTTGCTGACATGATTTTATATATAAAAATCTCTAAAGACTCAACCAAACAACTTTTAGAACTGATCCACGAATTTAGTAGAGTTGCAGGATACAAAATCAACATGCAGAAATTGGTAGCATCTCTATATACTAAAAACAAACTATCCAGAAAGAAATCGAAAGAAAAATTACACTTATAATAGCTAAAAAATTACTTAGAATTAAATTTAACCAAGGAGGTTTAATATCTCTGCACTAAAATCTTTATAACATTGATGAATGAAATTGAACAAGACGCATATAAATGGGAAGGTAGCTTATGTTCATGGTCTGCAAGAATTAACATTGTTAAAATGTTCGTATAACAATGAGAACACATGGACACAGGGAGGGGAACAACACACACTGGGGCTTGTAGTGGGAGGGCGGATGATGAAGGGAGGGAGAGCATCAGGAAAAAGAGCTAATGCATGCTGGGCTTAATAACTAGGTAATGGGTTGATAGGTGCAGCAAACCACCATGGCACAAGCCTACCTATGTAACAAAGCTGCAGGTCCTGTACATGTGCCCTGGAACTTTAAAAAAAAGTTCATACCTGCAGACTCAATGCAATTCCTAACAAAATTCCAAGGTCGTTTTCCACAGAAATAGAAAAACAATCCTAAAATTTGAATGGGACTACAAAAGGACCCCAAATGGCCAAAACAATCTTGAGCAAAGGGAAGAAGGGGATATCACACTATGGAATCCCCAAATATCCTACAAAGCTACAGCCAGGAAGACATCATGGAACTGGAATAGAAACAGGTACAGTGATCAGTGCAACAGGGATGAAAGCAAAGAAGGAAACACACATATTTATGGTGAATTGATCCTCAACAAAGTTTCCAAGAACAAGAGAGGGCAGTCCTTTTGAATAAATGGTCCTAGGAGAACTGAGTCTCCATGGAGTGTGGAGGTCTGGGTCCTCCCTGGGCTAGTGGATGGCCAGAGCAGTATACACACTCGGCTCAGCTGAACGTCCCCTTTCCTGGGAGGAAGAAGGCTTCATTATTTTCTGTTTGAGGGTAAGCTGTGCAGCTGGGCATAGGACACATCCTGGGGATATTCATATGAAGAAGAATGAAATTGAACCCTTATCCCATATACAAAAATGGGTGGGAGAAAAGCTTCAAGACGTTGGTCCGGGCAAGGTTTTTTTGGATATGGCCCTGAAAACACAAGCAACAAAAGCAAAAATAGACAAAAGGTGTGGCTTCTAAACAGCTTCTGCAAACAGAATGAAGAGACAACTCAGAAATGGGAGAAAATAGTTGCAAGCTGTATACCTGATAAAGGGTTAATATGCAAAAATATGTAAGGAACTAAAACAAAGCAACAGCAAGAAACCAAAAACTACTTGAAACATGGGCAAAGTAGCTGAACAGGCATTTCTCAAAAGAAGACATACAAATGGTCAGCAGCTATATGAAAAGGTGCTCAGACAAAAGCTTTGTCTATTGAGATGATAATTTTTCATTCCTTTTGTTAAAATACTGAATTACATTGATTGAGTTTTTGAAAATTAAGCTATCCTTGCTTTTCATAAACAAAATCAAAGGATAACAAAAAACCAGTGTGGTCATGATATACTGTCTATTTTATAGAGACATGAATCTTACTTGTTAATATTTGTTAAGGGATTTATATTTCTGTGAGAGATCTTCTATGACTTTCCCATTCTGTAGTTTCCTTTTCAGGTTTTGGTATCAACTTGTTCCTAGTCTGATCAAATGTATTTGTGTAAATATATACAAAATATTCTCAGGGAAAATTTATGCAAGTTTGTGTGTGTGTGTGTCTGTGTGTTTCATGAGTGCATAAGAGTTTGAAAAAACCACCAACAAACCTTGCTGAAGTGGCATTTACTTTGTGGGAACATTTTTGATTACAGGATCAATGCATTTTATATATGTTTATGTATGATGATTCAGTTTTTCTATTTATCCTTATGTTCATTAAGTAAACTGTAATTTTTCGTATTTCATCTATCTCATCTACATTTTCTGTTATGTCAGCATAGAATTGCTGACAGTTTTCTTTCACCTCTGTAAAGCTGTGTGTAGGGTCTGTAGTGCTGCCTCCTATTTTGTTCCTGTATGGAAATGGATGCCTGCTCTTTTTTCATTTTTATTTTTCTCATTGTGGCCAAGATTCATGTATCATTAATGTTTTCAAGAATAAACATTTTGACTTTATTAATTTTTCTCTATTTTTTGTTTGTCCTCATTAGAAGCTCCCATTTTCCCATGTCATTGGTTTGATGTGTAATATTTACATGATCATTCAATTTAAAACATTGTCTGACTTCTGTTTTGTTTTATCAGTTAACTCATTGTGAATTGAGAGGTCTGCTACTTTATTTTGATAATGCAGGGATATTATTTATCTTTGCAGAATCAGGTGACTCCCAACGTTCCCGGAATCTTCTAGTGGTCTGTGTCAGGGGTCTGGGCTGGCTGGGGTTCAGTGATGTCTACTGGAGGCAGCTTCCATGCCTTCTGGGGTCCTGAGTCTCCATGGCTTGTGGGGTCTGGGTCCCCCCTGGATTAGTGGATGGCCAGAGTGGCATAGACACTGGGCTCAGCTGGAGAGGCCCCTTCCTGGGATGGAGGAGGCTCAGTTGCCTTCTGTCTGAGGGTAAAGCTGTGCAGCCGGGCGTAGGTCACATCCTGGGGGGCTTCAGATGCAGCAGCCTGCAGCGGGGGAGAGTGAGAGGGAAGGAACGTGGTGGGGGTGGGGGAGGCCTGGGGGCCTGGAGAGGAAAGGACTCACCTCAGTGTCCATCTGTCTGTCCTCTTCTGCCTGTCTGTCCTTTGTGTCCAGGAATTCCCCAGACAGTGGGGAGGGAGGAGAGGCCATTTCTCTCCTAGGTCTGGAGTGTTTCACCTTGGCATACGTCACTGCCTGGGGGTCTTCATCGTGTGGGCTCTGCTGGAGAGAGACAGTGGTGGGGGGTGTCCTTGAATCCTCCTGACTCCCTGGAGTCAATTTTCCCCACTGTTCCCAGGGTGATCCGATTACATCCCTTTCCTGATGGAATCTCAGGGACGCCCTAAGGCCGTGGAGGGTCTGGCCGCTCCCTCCCTGTGGTTCTGGTCTCTGCTCCTCACTCTGACCTTGCCCATTTGGCTGCAGCCTCACGCGGCCTTCCTGCAAGAGCTCGCTGCTGCCTCGGGGCCTTTGCACGGCTGTTTCCTCTGCCTGCAGGGGCTCGTCCATTAGAGGATCACGTGGCCCTCTCCGTCCAGGCTTCTCAGATGACAGCTGAGCAGACAGCCCTCCCCTTCCATTCAGACTGGCCCCACTGCCCCACACTCTCTGCCCTTTACCTGGTTTATGTTCCTTACAGCACGTTGCACTCCTGGACACGATGCATTTATTTGCATTTTGTCTCCCACCACGAGGTGAGCTCAGGAGGCGGGGGCGGCTTTGCTCCCTGCTGTGTCTGCAGCTCCCATGGGGAGCCCCATCCACAGTGAGCTCCCTGGGAACACTCACTAGATGAATGAATGAAGGGGAGCCCAGGGGACTGGAGTGGTTCATTTATTCGTCATCCTCCTGAGGCCTGGGGAGCTCTCTAACAACCAGATGGCCAAACAGAGGATGAGGAGCAGGAAGGGGACCCGGGAGGAGGCCCATGAGGTCCCAGGACAGCAGGAGAGAGTGAGGTCCCAGCAGGCAGGAGGCAGCGTGCTGGACAAGGAGGGGTCCACCGTGACGATGCTGAGAGCCGGGGGAAGGAGGACAGAGAAGTCCTGCAGGATTAGATCTGGCACCAGGAGGCCTTTGGTGCCGGGGACAGGGGCGGGTTCTCACCCGAGTGTCCATTTCCACCCCGTCCTCAGGCTGTGTGTCCTTCACGGCAGCACCTGCTGGGGTAGAGCAAGGGGTTCATCTCCTGGGAAGGTTCCCTGGGACCTCTCATTCCTGCTGGTCCCTGCCCTGTTCCCATTAGTGCCACTGCAACGCAGGGAGGGGCTGTGATGTCCCCGAGGTCCCACAATGTGGGTTCAGACCACTTCTCCCTGAGTCCCTGACCAATCCTAGCCTGTGCTCCTGCCCCCATTGCTATTGAAATTTTGGGACCCCCAGCTCCACCCCAGGTGCACCTTCTCTGCCTCTCACTCACAGAAGTTTTCTCCCTGGACGTCAGCAGCTGGGCTGGACCTGGGGGAGGATACGGGAGTGTAAGGGGACAGTGAGGTGGCTGTTGGGATGGGTGGGAGTCTGAGGTCTTTGGGCAGAATTACCTCCTCTGTAGGCCCCCGTCCTTGGGCTCTGGCTCGGCAGCCCCTGGAGGACGTTGGAAATCAGCCTGTCTCTGGGCTGGGGGAAGATGGACAGAGTCTCAGCTCTGGGAACGTTAGAACCACCTGCCTTGCACATGCAAGTCAAGAGGAAAGGAAACCTGAAAATACACTTGCAAGGATGTTTTAAATACTTTCTAAGTTTAGAAAAACCGAAAGAATAAAGCACTTCCATTACTCCCTCATTCATTTTCTTCTTTCTAGATTTTCTCACTGGGAATTTCTGGAGCAGAGTTTCTAAGATGACCTCTCCTATCTGGAGTCCCTTTGGCTGGTGCCCTGAGCCCACCCTCCATCAGCCCACGGGTCCCCCAATTTCCTACTTACCCAATGTCCTGTGTTTTCCCTGACGCCAGTGTTGGAGGAGGAGGAAGAGGAGGAGGGAGAGAAGCAGGATGGAGACCACCAAGACCCCGATCAGTACCTCCCAGTGCCTTCTCAGACCTTGGGCGTGATGACATCAGGAATGGGGATGATGTCATTGATGTGCACACCTACTGTGTGTGCACCTACTGTGTGTGCTGGGTCTTTCTTTCATTACCTCCAACCCTCACAGCAGTTGTGCAACCTGAGATTGCCACCCTCTCTCCACCCATTTCACAGATGCACAAACTGAGGCTCAGAGAGGGGAATCGCCTGCCCCAGACCCCTCCAGCCAGGAAGCGGCAGAGCTGGGAAGGAAACCCGGGAGTCTGAGCTGCAGCCCTTGTTCCTGCACCAGAGCCAAGCCCCAGAGTTGCAGGGAAAGAGCCTGACTGTCTTGAACCACCGCCCTGCTCCCCTCCCCTGCCCCAGGTCACCGTCTCTGCTGCAGGTGGGACCGGACAGGCCCCTGCGGAATCGGGTCTGGGAGGTTCCCTGGGAGGCCTCCTCTCCCAGGAGGGCACAGCTGGGAGTCAGAGCTGAAAGGAACTTTCCCACCCACAGGCCTCTCTCCTTTACACTTGGAGAAACTGAGGCCCATGCAGGGGAGGGGCCTGTCCACATCACCACCTCCAGAGGAGCCTGAACCTAGGACAGAACCCACCCTTGGCTCCCCTAGACCCTGCCCACCTCCCACTCAGAGCCCCTCACTCACCACTGTGGGGGACTGACCCTGTAGGCATGAGGGGCTGGTCCTCAGGGCCTGCTGGGTTAGAACAGGGATGTGAGGGCTGGGGCTGCCCTGCTCCCCGCATCAGCTCGGCTTCTCCCCGCAACATCTCCTTCAGCCTTGACCCCCTCACCCCTCACCAGCCCAGCCTCAGGGCCTTGGGAGCCTGTGGTGCCTCCCAAGTCGCTGCCCGACTCCCACACCCGTGGAAGCAAGCCCAGCTGAGAATTGGAACGAGGACTTAGATCCACTGAGCATGTCTTGAGACAGGCCTCGGGCTTTGGAAACTCTCTGGACAGAGGCCTCTGAGACTCACCAGCTGTTGAGACGGACCTTGTGGGTGAGGGCCTGGGACCCTCCAAGGATCCTGGGTAGAAGGACAAGAGGAGGGTGAGAGTCTGGGGTTGCCCTTGGGTCTCCACATCAAATTGAACCTCTCCCTATATCTGCCCTGCAGCTTCCCAAGGACCATTTCTCTGTCCACCTGGCACCTTCTGGACCCTAGGTGAGGGAGAAGAGCATGGGCATGCCTGGGAGGGCCCCTGTTGTCCTCCTCCCCTCTGAGGGCTGAGTCCCCCACTGGCTGAGCCCCTCTCCCTCCATCCCTGCCCAGAGCTCTCCTGGCAGCAGGGCATGAACGGAGCCACTGAGCTCAGAGAGGACAGGGTCAGGAGCCTCACCTGAGACTATGAGCTCCAGGGGGTCACTGGGGTGTGACAGCAGGTAGTGGGAGAAGCCGTGTGAGCTGAAGCACCTGTAGGTCCCCCCGTGCACTGAGGTCACAGGACTCATGGGGAATTCAGCCTGGTGCTGCTGAGCTCCGTGCTCTGATCTCAGATGCAGTAGGGGATGGGCTGCCCGCTCCTTGATCAGAAGGAAAGTGTCCATTGGGCTCCGTGACTGACACAGCAGGGTCACGCTCTTTCCTGAGGTCACAAGAGGACTCGGCAGGGCTGAAAGGGTGGGTTTACTGTAGGCTCCTAGGAGAGAAGGAGGCACCGTGTTAAATGGGGCTCCCACCTCCCACATCATCCCCAGGGCTGGGCTGTGAGAGGGAGATGCCCCTGAGAGCTGACCCCCTTCCTGAGGGCAGAGCCTGGGGCTGGGACCCCTGAGTGTCCTCTCACCTGTCATCACCAGCTCCAGGGGGTCACTGGGCTGTGACCAGCCTACAGGGCTGCGATAGTAACAGCGGTATCTCCCTGCATAGTCCTCTGTCATGGATGGGATGGAGAATCTGGCCTTGTTCTTGGGCTCCAGTGGGTTCTGTCTGTCCCAGGGTGCTGGGCTTTCCTCTTTATCCAGACGGTACTCCCGAGCCTCCAGGGTCCCCTGACACCAGATGGTCACAGAGTTCCCCCAGCTGATCACAGAGCCTGGCTCAGCCCAGAGGGTGGGTTTGGGGAGGGGCCCTGGAAGAAAATCAGAGGCTGGATCCCAAGACCTTCCTCAGCCCTCAGATCCCAGCTCTCAGCCCCAGGACCCCCCCGTCATCCTCATCAGTCACCCAGAACTGCTGTCTCCTCCCCCAGCTGCCCATGGGTGGCCCCTTGTCCCAGTGAGGAGGAGGGACCTGGGACAGCTGGGGACAGACTCACCTGCCTGCATGTGGGTCCTGGGGCCCAGACTCAGCCCTGGAAGAGAGTTCCCTGTGAGGGATTTGCCCCGGAAGCCTGAGCAGGTCCTCTCTTTACCCTGAGATTTTTTTTTTTTTTTTTTTTTTTTTTTTTTTTTGAGACGGAGTCTCGCTGTCACCCAGGCTGGAGTGCGGTGGTGCGATCTTGGCTCACTGCAAGCTCCGCCTCCCGGGTTCACGCCATTCTCCTGCCTCAGCCTCCCGAGTGGCTGGGACCACAGGCGCCTGCAACCACCCCCGGCTAATTTTTTGTATTTTTAGTAGAGACAGGGTTTCACCGTGTTAGCCAGGATGGTCTCGATCTCCTGACCTCGTGATCCGCCCGCCTCGGCCTCCCAAAGTGCTGGGATTACAGGCGTGAGCCACCGCGCCCGGCTACCCTGAGATTTTTGAGTCTCCTAAAGAACCAGGGCCTGGCTGTGAGGCAAATTTCCTCCAAGACTCGGGTCTCCCCTCCCCCTCTTTAAATCTCACCGAGGCAGAGCAGAGCCGTGAAGGTGGGGATCATGGCGTCTCCTCCCAGGGGCCCCAGCTGTGCAGATGGATGAGTCCTCAGTGCCGGCAGGACAAAGAGACACACAGGGTGTGGCCGCTTGGAGGCTGGGTCCTTCTCGTCATGGGGTTGTTCCATCAGCAGCCCACAGGAAGGGAAACTGCCCTCATTTGAACCCCAGCCTGGCTTTCATTTCCCCAGAGCTAGGGCTGAGGCAGGCACCAGGTTCTCTGCAGACATTTCAGACAGAAATGGGGTCTCTCTGATCCCAGCCTGCTGTCTGCCTGGTCTTAATTCCTCTCTTGACCAAACATCAACCCGTATGTATCGTGTGTTTGCAAAGCGCCTGACACTGGGGGTACATCATTGAACAAGTGAAAAAAAAAAAAAAACCAAAAACCTGCATTTTCAGGGTACAGATGAACCATAAAGCTTCCTTTTGCTGCCATAACAAATCACCACAAGCTTAGTGGCTTCACATAATGTAGGTTTATTGACTTACCGTCCCGGAGGTCACAAGTCCAAAATGGGTCTCCCTGGGCTAAAATGAAGCTGCTATCAGAGCCGTGTCCTCCTGGAGGCTCCAAGGAGAATCTGTTCCCTCGCCTGTTCAAGCCTCTGCAGGCTCCCGCATTCCTGCCTCTCCATTCCCTCCAACCTCAAAGCCACCAGTCCCGTTATCTGCCGCCTGCTTCCATGCACTCACCTCCTTCTCTCACTCTGACCCTCCTGCCTTCCTCTTTCACTTACTCAGCCCCTTGTGATTACATCAGGCCCACCTGGGTAATCTCCCCAACCCAAGATCCTTGACTTAATCACATCTGCAAAGTCCCTTTTGCCACATAAGCTTCCCCAACTCACAGGGTCTGGGCCTCAGGAGGTGGACATCTCTGGGAGGTCACTATTCTGCCTCCCACAGGCCTTCAGGGACTCCTTTAACCAAATCTCACATAGAGCACTTCTCTGCGATGACGGAGAGCGGCTGGGCACGCCAGTCGAATGCCTGGTGGGCCAGTACGCAGCCAGGTCATGGTCGGCTACTCATGTCCCATGGGACCTGCCCACTTGAGGCCAAACATTCCATCTCCACCAGAGCCCGGTAGACATCTAAAAACTGTGTCGCAAAACAAAACTCATTCTCTGCAGCGCTAGCACGATGTAGCTCCAAAATATATATATATATTTTTTCTTTTCTGAGATGCAGTCTCACTCTGTCGCCCAGGCTAGAGTGCTGTGGTGTGATCTCAGCTCACTGCAACCTCCGCCTCCTGGGTTCAGGAGACTCTCCTGCTTTAGCCTCCTGTGTAGCTGGGATTACAGGCACCCGCCACCACTCACAGCTAATTTTTGTATTTTTAATAGAGATGGGGTTTCACCATGTTGGCCAGGCCGGTCTCAAACTCCTGACCTCTGGTGATCCGCCCATCTCAGCCTCTCAAAGTTGCTGGGGTTACAGGCATGAGCCACCACGCCCAGCCAAGCATAGATTTTAAATGTTTTCACAGATGTTAGTATGCGGAGTGATGGACATGTTAACTGTCTTGATTCCATCATTCCACAGTGTATACATTTATAACACATTGTACCCCATAAATATATATAGTTGGTGAATTAAATATTTAGTAAAATTATTTTGAAAAGGAAAAAAGCCATAAATACATAACAAGCAAGCAAAAAGGCCAGATAGCTTCAACCCTTAGATCACTGCCTGTGTAAAACACTTCAGGTGGCCAGCTCTCAATAATCATCCATTTGAGTGGGCACGTCCTGCAATGATCTGGAATTGTAGTCTGTCCTAGATGGTGACTAACCATTTTCTGTCTCTGTTCTTCTTAAAAGGATGAGAGGACCTTCTAACTTTAGAACTGAAACATAGGGTGGGAGGGGAAAGAGGAAGCAGAAAAAACAAACCCCAAATTAATCGTATCTAACGGTCAGGAAGGCAAAGAAGGAGAGGCTTGCAGGAGGCTGAAAGTCAAAGTGCCGGGAAACGCATGAACACCACTGCCCTCAGGTTTCCAAGCACCTGCTTTTAGTACCTCATTCCGTATCCTTTTGGGTCACTCTCAGAATCACGGGACAGTATCTCATTTCGAGGATTTCCATGTGTCTCTCCACATTTGTGTGTAAGGACCTTATTGGAAGCTATTTCAGCCAAAGCTTGATGCGTCTGACAGTGGCTGGGGAAAAAGAAACTCCCAGAAATGGGGGCTAGAAAGCCATACACATATTGGCGAGTATCTCCTGTTTTGGCGGGAAGTTCTGGATGATGGTCTGCACATTATCAGAGATCCTGGTGTGGACCTGTCCATATTACCTGCTGTAGTGGTGTCCGCAATGCATGCTGATTTCAGAAATTCCTCTCCTTCTCTCTTTCATAAGGGAACCCTATTCCCTTAAACTTGGTTCCCAAATCAGTTACCTGCGCTCATATCCTTGTCTTAAGTCCTGCTTTCAGAGTAACCTGTGCTAGGCAAGGACTGGGAAATGCCAGGAGGTTTTTCGATGTCATCACCCCTTTTCTAACCGCTCAACATGCCTTGCCTTTACCAGTCCTGGACTTCTTGTATTTTGCTTCTTTTTTTTTTTTTTTTTTTTTGTGACAGGGTGACACTCTGTCATCCAGGCTGGAGTGCAGTGGTGCAATCTTGGCTTACTGCAACCTCAGCCTCCTGGGTTCAAACAATTCTCCTAACTCAGCCTCCCGAGTAGCTGAGAGCTGAGATTACAGGCAGCTGCCACCACACCCGGCTAACTTTTGTATTTTTAGTAGAGATGGGGTTTCACCATGTTGGCCAGGCTGGTTTCGAACTCCTGACCTCAGGTGATCTGCCCGCCTTGGCCTCCCAAAGTGCTGGGATTACAGGCGTGAGCCACCGCGCCCGGCCTCATTTTGCTTTTGTATTCGTGCACTCACCACTCAGTAAATCTTATCCATCCTCACTTAAGAAACATTTAAACATGTCAACCTGTGGCCATCCCAGGACACAAGAGATAAAGGCGAGCAAAGCAGATATACTGGATTCACAGTAACCCAGACTTCATTTCAAATTACCTCCCCTCCTAGAAAATCTAGCATCCTAGCAAAAATTAAGTTGATAAAATCACTACGCAAAAAGTTTAGAGATAGGACCAGTCCCGGGAAGGAAAGATTTAACGCAATAGGACAGGATAAAAGAAATACCCACTGGGTCCTGCACTCACCACCTGGGTGCAATAGTTCCATGTAGCAAACCTGAGCATGTATCCTCGTATCTAAAATAAAAGTTGAAGTTCAAAAAATAAAGAAGAAAAACAGAAAGCAATTGAGATGGAGGGTGGTGAAGAAGCTGAAGGAGAGGTCAGATGGTGATGATGAATTGGTATTATCTGAATGAAGGGATGCCTGGAGGTGGAGAGAGAAGCATTGCAGGAGGTCCTGGTCATAGGTATTCAAACGGGTGGATCCTAAAGCCTTACAAGAAGTAAAAAGACCACAAGAGTCGTTCATTCATTTCCAAGTATATTTCACTCTAGAGTCAAGCTTTTGTGAGATACTGAAAACAGGACCTAGTTGGAATGAATCATAAATTTCCATCTTAACTTGGGGTCACGGGTGTTCTGTGATTCATAAGAACCCATGTTTCATTGTTTCGTTTTCTTTTTTTTTATTATTATACTTCAAGTTCTGGGATACATGTGCAGAACGTGCAGGTTTGTTACATAGGTATACACGTGCCATGGTATTTTGCTGCACCCATCAACCTGTTGTCTATATTAGGTATTTCTTCTAATGCTATCCCTCCCCCAGCCCCCCAGCCCGTGACAGGTGCCGGTGTGTGATTTTCCCCTCTTCGTGTCCATGTGTTCTCATTGCTCAACTCCCACCTATGAGTGAGGACACGTGATGTTTGGTTTTCTGTTCTCGTGTTAGTTTGCAGAGAATGATGGTTTTCAGCTTCATCTGTGTCCCTGCAAAGGACATGAACTCATCCTTTTTTGTGGCTGCATAGTATTCCATGGTGTATATGTGCCACATTTTCTTTATCCAGTCTATCATTGATGGGCATTTGGGTTGGCGTATTTGATTTTATCCAGGGTTCTACAGATGCCAAGGAAGGGGTGCAGCTCTACTTAAGTTTACCTCTTGGTCTCTCCTTGGGACCTCCTCTGACTGTGCCATGCCTGAAACACCAACCCCTCTGTCACCACCAGGATCAATTGCAACTGCTCCATGCACATGAGACTACTGCATAGTCTGGGAGCAGTTGGCCTGGGGACAGTGGGATTGGAAGACCATGGAGGGTAGGAGAGCTCGCAGTCCACACAGCAGCCAGAAGGGAGGATATTTCAACATTCTCAAATCAATAGATATGATATCTCATGTCAACAGAAGGAAGAACAAAAAACATATAATCATGGGCAGGCGCGGTGGTTCATGCCTGCAATCCCAGCACTTTGGGAGATTGAGATGGGTGGATCACTTGAGGTCAGGAGATCGAGATCAGCCTGGCCAACATGATGAAACCCCATCTCTCTCAAAAATGCAAAATATTAACTGGGTGTGGTGGTGTGCACCGGTAGTCCAGCTACTCGGGAGGCTGAGACAGGAGAATCTCTTGAACCCAGGAGGTGGAAGTTGCAGTGAGCCAAGATCGCGCCACTGCACTCCTGCCTGGGTGAAGGAGAGACCCTCTGTCTAAAAAAAAAAAAAAAAAATTATATGATCATCACAATAGATGTTAAAAAAACATTTGACAAAATTCAACATCCCTTCATCATTAAAACTATCAACAAATTAGGCCTAGAAGAAACACACCTCAACAAAAAATCCCCAGATAATTCCATTAACAAGTATGCAAAGCATCTGAATAGTTGCTTCTCAAAAGAAAATGTACAGATGGCCAACAGCTATATAAAACACTAATCATCGGCCAAGCGCGGTGGCTCACACCTGTAATCCCAGCACTTTGGGAGGCCAAAGCAGGTGGATCACTTGAACCCAGGAGTTTGAGACCAGCCTGGGCAACATGGTGAAACCTCATCTCTACCAAAAATACAAAAAAAGAAAAAAAAACAGCTGGGCGTGGTGGCATACACCTGTAGTCCCATCTACTGAGGAGGCTGAGGCAGGAGGCTCACTTGAACCCAGTAGGCAGAGGTTGCAGTGAGCCAAGATCACACTACTGCACTCCAATCTGGGTGACAGAGCGAGACTTCATCTCAAAACACAAACAAACAAACAAAAACCCACAATCATCACTGGCATCAAATCGAAACTACAATGAGTATCATCTTATTTCAGTTAAAATGTCTATTATCAAAGAAACATATAAAAACATGCTGGGCTGGGCACAGTGGTTCACGCCTGTAATCTCAGCACTTTGGGAGGCCGAGGCAGGCGGATCACGAGGTCAGGAGTTTGAGACCAGCCTGGCCAACATGTTGAAACCTCGTCTCTACTAAAAAGACAAAAATTAGCCGGGCGTGGTGGCGCTCGCCTGTAATCAGGAGGCTCCTGCTACTCGGGAGGCTGAGGGAAGAGAATCGCTTGCACCCAGGAGCTGGAGGTTGCAGTGAGCTGAGATGGCACCACTGCACTCCAGCCTGGGCGACAGAGTGAGACTCCATCTAAACAAACAAACAAATAAATAAATAGATCAATAAAATAAAATAAAAACATGCTGGTGAGGATGTGCTGACAAAATAACTCTTAGACACTGTTGGTGGGAATATAAATTAGTACAGCCATTATGGAAAACATGGAGATTCCGGCCGGGCGCGGTGGCTCACACCTGTAATCCCAGCACTTTGGGAGGCCAAGGCGGGCGGATCACGAGGTCAGGAGATCGAGACCATCCTGGCCAACAGGGTGAAACCCTGTCTCTACTAAAAATACAAAAAATTAGCCAGGCGAGGTGGCAGGCACCTGTAGTCCCAGCTACTCGGGAGGCTGAGGCAGGAGAATGGTGTGAACCCCGAGGGGCAGAGCCTACAGTGAGCCGAGATCACGCCACTGCACTCCAGCCTGGGTGACAGTGAGACTCTGTCTCAAAAAAAGAAAAAAAAAAAAAAACACGGAGATTCCTCAAGATACTGAAACTGCAATTATCGTAAAATCCAGTGAGTTCACTACTGAATATTCATGCAAAGGAAAAAAATCTCAGGACATCACAAGAGTCCCTGCACCCGTGTGTTTATTGCAGCACTCTTCACAAGTCAGCATACGGAATCAACCTAAGTGTCCATCAGTGGATAAAAGGGTAAAGAAAATGTGGTATGTATACACAATGGAAGAGGGGTCATCCATAAAAAAGAATGAAATCCTGACATTTACAGCAACATAGTTGGAACTGGAGGTCATTATGGTCAGTGAAATAAGCCAGGAACAGAAAGACAAATCTCGAATGTTCTCACTCATACGTGGGAGCTAAAGAAGTGGATTCCTAAACAGAGAGAGTAGACTGGTTGGCCAGGTGTGGTGGCTTGTGCCTGTAATCCCAGTGATTTGGGAGGCCAAGGCAGGTGGTTCACTTGAGGTCAGGAGTTCCAGACCAGCCTGGCCAATGTGGCAAAACCCCTTCTCTACGAAACATACAAAAATTAGTTGGGCGTGGTGGTGTGCACTGTGGTCCTAGCTACTCGGGAGTCTGAGGCAGGAGGATCGCTTGAGCCCTGGAGGGTTGAGGCTGCAGTGAGCCATGATTGTGTCACTGCATTCCAGCTTGGGCAACAGAGCAATACCTTGTCTCAAAAGAAAAAAAAAAGGCCGGGCGTGGTGGCTCATGCCTGTAATCCCAGCACTTTGGGAGGCTGAGGCGGGTGGATCACTTGAGGTCAAGAGTTCGAGACCATCCTGGCCAACATGGTGAAACCCTGTCTTTAGCCTGGCGTGGTGGCATGCATCTGTAATCCCAGCTACTCAGGAGGCTGAGGCAGGCGAATCTCTTGAACCCAGGAGGCAAAGGTTGCAGTGAGCCAAGATCACGCCACTGCATTCCATCCTGGGTGACACAGCAAGACTCTGTCTCAAAAAAAAAAAATGTGTAGACTGGTGGTTACTAGAGCTGGAAAGGGTGGGAGATAAGGAGATGTTAGTTACGGAGTATAGAAATACAGCTGGATAGGAGAAATAACTGAGTATTTGACAGTACAGTAGGGGAAGTATAGTTAACAATAATATATTGTGTATTTCAAAACAACTAGAATAAAAGAATTGTAATGCTCCCCAACAAAAAGAAAAGATAAATATTTGAGGTGATGGATATTCTAATTACCCTGATTTTATTATTACCCATTGCATACAAGTATCAAAATATCATAAGTACCCCAAACCTATATACAACTATTATATATGGATAAAAATAAATAAATGGAACTCTGGCACCAACTTTAAGGCATAACGTGTACAAATCCAGGGGATCTATTTAGGGCACTGGTTGTCCTGAGTGTGCTAATTTGATTGTGGCAATCATTACACAATGTATACGTATATCAAATCATCATGTTGTACACCTCAATATATACAATCTTGGTTGATTAAATCATTTTAAGGATAAAAAAGGATTTTTTAAAAAGATAAAAAGGAAAACACTGAACTTCTCTGTGGCTCTCCTTTTTCCCTGCTCAGCTTTGAATAACTGTGAAGGCAAAGACTGGATGCAGGTGACCTGTGCACCCTAGGACCTGGCGTGGGATTGCCAGACTTTAGGTCTTTAGGATTATTTGTTGATGTACAAAGGAAAGCATGGCCCAGAGAACTGGGCTCTGCTCTCAGTTGCATAAATATGGCCCATTCTTAAGGTCAGCAATTAAGCTCCAGGAAGATCCCTAGAGTCAGCTGAACAGAAAATTACAACAAAGTCTCTGGGGCAATTGGGGATTTCCAGGAGACATAGGAGCAGCTGGGGACTGCGTCAGTGATAATGAAATCAGCTGGGTGGATGTAGCCGGGTCTCTAGAAACAGCCAGCGGATGTAGCCGGGTCTCTGGAAACAGTCAGGTGGATGTAGCCGGGTCTCTGGAAACAGCCAGGTGGATGTAGCCGGGTCTCTGGAAACAGCCAGGTGGATGTAGCCGGGTCTCTAGAAACAGCTAGGTGCATGTAGCTGGGTCTCTGCAAACAGGCAGGCAGCTATGGGGGATTGGGGGTGGTCACTGGAAACAGCTAGATGACTGTAGCTGACTCTTTAGTAACAGCCGAATGTAACTAGGTCTCTGGAAAGTCACCTTGAGGACTGAGCTGGGAGATGGGAGGTGCCTCGTGGGAGCTTATGTCATGGGTAGAGGAGCACAGTTTATTGCCTGGCAGGGCGTACGTGTGGGAATAGATTCCCCGGCCTCTCTCTCCTCTCACCCTCTGCTCTCCTGACAGTGCCTCCCATGGCTGAACTCAACCAGACACTAGACACAAGAAGATGTTGGTGATGCAATCCATAGAGTCAGCCTCCAGGGCAGAGACAAGGTGGGAAAGGACAGAGGGTGTATTAGGAGAGGCCAGAACTTCCAGTGGGAACTGCTGCCACTGAACCGAGAAACCTAAATGTAAGGGGAGTAGTTGGATCCTAGAGTGGCAGGACTCAAGTGTCAGAAGTCAGTCGACAAAGGTGAGAATCTGGTGTGTTGAATTGGGTGTGGTTATCATAGAACTGGGTGTGGTGATCATAATGGAAAGCAGAATCAAGGCAGTAATCAGAATAGACTGTCTCATGCAGCCCTTTAGTGTTGTCTAGTTGACCGCAGCGTTCTAAGACGTGAAATAGATAGGAAACTTACTTCATTCTTACTTGATTTGTATAAGCAGAACATTTCTTGGCAAAGAGAACAAGAATCTAATTAAAATCATAAAATAGACAGTTACAGTCTCTTAATCAATTACTAGAATTTCACCAGTTTATAGACCCAGAACCCCTTGAATTAAAGGGAAGACCAGGTATCCTTGAAGGCGCTGCCCCGGTATATACTATAAAAAGTTAAACAATTATATTTATCTCAGCTTCCCTTAAATGGACCTATGGCCTTTATCATGGTAGCTGTGTACTGGGTAAAGGAAATGATCAGATATTTTGGGTGCAACTAGACACTGGCTCTGAGCTAACACTAACTTCAGAAGACCCAAAACATCATGGTGACCCTCCAGTCAGATTAGAAGCTTATGGAGGTCAGGTAGTCAATGAACCTTTAGCTCAGATTTGTCTCCTGTTGAATTTTCTTGGCCACCAAATGCATCCTGTGGCTTTATTCCTTGCTCTGGAATGTATAATTGGATTAGACATACTCAACAACTATCAAAATCCCCACAAGTGGGGAAAAAATAGGACAAGCTGTGGGGCATATGTAAGACTAGTGAATGTGTTGATGTTTGCATAGTATTCAACTAGTAATTGCTCCATAGGATAAGCTGATTGAGTTATTGTTGAGTTTTTTAAAAAATATTCTTTTTCTTGTATAAAACGACATTTAAAAATCCACTCTGTTACAAGTATGCAGGTTTCTTTTCTGTTATTTTATTACGATATTTTAATTGAAAAATAATAATTGTATATATTTATTGGGTACCATGAGATGCTTTGATATATGTTTACCTTTGCAATCCGGCCAAAGGCATGCCCATGGTAAGTGTGTTATTGTTTATTTTAAATGTGCACAAAAATTAATTCAAATGAGGTACTGTCTCCCCCTAGTGGTTCTCAAGTAATTTTCCGTTTTAATCTGAATAGGGAGAGCATCTAACTTTCTAAGAGGGGTGGAGACAACCAAGTCCCAGCGCACAGAGGATTCAGAGGTCTCCTGACATGTGTGAGTGCGTTCAGGTTTGTGCATGTGTGTGCATGTGTGAATGTGTGAGTACATGTGCATATGTGTGTAAGTGCATAAGTGGGATTAGCTCTCTGTCTTCACCCATCCATGCATCCGCTCAGACACCTTAATTGATCCCTGATCATATGCTCCATCTTGGAGGCCTAAGATGAGCAAGTTCAGGGGATCTTATGTACAGCGTAGCTGGTGATGGATGCGCTGATTCATTTGACCGTGGCTATTATTTCACAATGTATATGTATATCAAATTATCACCTTGTGCATCTTGAATATATGCAATCACTGCCAATGAAATCCTTAAAAAAATACTGACACCTCCTTTGTAGCTCTTGTTAACCCCATGTAACCTTGAACAACATGAAGGCAGAGATTGGGTCCAAGTGATCTATACACCCCAGAACATGACACAGGACTGCCAGATGTGAGGTCTTTAAACTATTCATTGGTGCATGAAGTAAAGCATGACCCAGAGGACTGGTCTCAGCTCTCAGATCCATATGTATAGCTCATTCTCAAGGTCAACAACTAAACTCTAGGAGAATGTTCAGGATCAGCTGAGTAGACGATTGCTGGGGCAGCTGGGGGGATTTACAGAAGACATTTGGAAACTGCAGGGGGATGCAACATTGTTAATGGAATCAGCTGGGATGGCTATAGCTGAGACTCAGCAAACAGCCAGGAGACTGGAGCTGGGTGTCTTGAAACAGAGAAGTGACAGCAGCTGGATCACTGGAAACAACCAGGTGACTGGAACTAGGTGTCTGGAAACAGCCAGGTGATTGCAGCTGGGTTTCTAGAAGTAGCTGCAATGCCACCTCTTTGAGGTGCTGGTCAGTTGTGGAAGGAATCACCTGGTTAATGAACTTTCTAGATGCTGACTAGAGAACTTTGGGCTCTACCTCTTATCTCCAGAACAGTTGACTGGTTTTGCAGACCAGGATGATTCCAAGGGGAAGCCCTCCAGATGGCTTCTTGAGGCTTTTCCAAGCATGACTTCCTCAGGCGCAGGGGGCAGTGGTCCCGGAGTCAGTGCCTGGCGAGGGCTGTGTACATGCTAGACTCAGCCATGGGCACCATGGACTCTGGGGACACAGCCTGGGCTGTCCTCCAAGTGAAGGCCTGGTGGTCCAGCTGAGCATATGTCACCTCCAGGGGTCCCCTGCAGCAGGGGTCTGAGGACAGAGACCCGCGGTGAGGTAGGGGAGATGAGGGTGAGGGTAGGGGGTCTAGAGGGTGGCCCATTGGAGGTGAGAAGAAAATATTTGCTCAATATTACTATAATCTGCACTTATTTATGGTTTAAAAAATCTTAATGAATTAGGAATAGAATGAAACATCATAAACATGTTAAAGGATGCCCAGCAACAAATCAATAGCAAATATTATATTTAATGATGAAGCTTAGATCAATTTCCACTAAAATATGAACAAAACGAGGCTTAATGGTCTTTCCACTTTTATTCCATTTTCTACTGAGGTGTCCTAACTGATGTAATAATATCAGTAAAAGTAAAAAACTAAAAATAAGATATATGAGGGCTAGAGAGATTTTTTCATTACTTGTAGGTAGTAAGATTCTCTAAATAGAAAATTCAAAGTCCATTAGGATTTATAAGAAAATAAAAACAAATCCATATCAATGACATTTCTATACAGCAGGGGTAGTAGTTAGAGAATCGAATGGCCCCAAACTCCTGGCCTCAAGCAATCCTCCCACCTTGGCTTCTCAAAGAGCTAGGACTAACAGTCGCCGTGGAGAGCAGTTTGAGGATATCTCAAATAACTAGGAATGGAACTACCATTTGACCCAGGAGTCCTATTACTGGGTATATATCCAGGGAAAATAAATCATTCTAGTCAAGAACACACACACTTGGATGATCATTGCAGCACTATTGACAATAGAAAAGACATGGAATCAACCTCGTTGCCCATCAACAGTGAACCAAATAAAGAAAATGTGGTCCATATACACCATGGAAGACTACACAGCCATAAAAAAGAATGAACTCATGTCCTTTGCAGCAACATGGATGCAGCTGGAGGCCATTATCTTACGTAAACTAATGTAGAAACTGAACACCAAATACCACATATTCTCACTTATAAGTGGGAGCTAAATATTAGGTACACATCTTCCCATAAAGATGGCAACAGTAGACGCTGGGGACCACTGAGGGTGGAGAGGAGGGGGATGGGGCTGAAAAACTACCTGTTGGGTACCATGCTCCCTACCTGGGTGAGGGGCTCAGTCTTACTCCAAACCTCAATGCCACACAATATTCCTTGGTAACAAACCTACACATGTACCCCCAATTCTAAAATAAAAATGGAAATAGAAAAAGCAGTGTATAGGCCGGGCGCGGTGGCTCACGCCTGTAATCCCAGCACTTTGGGAGGCCCAGGCGGGTGGATCACAAGGTCAGGAGATCAAAACCATCCTGGCTAACATGGTGAAACCCTGTCTCTACTAAAAATACAAAAAATTAGCCGGGCGCCTGTAATCCCAGCTACTTTGGAGGCTGAGGCAGGAGAATGGCGTGAACCCGGGAGGCAGAGCTTGCAGTGAGCTGAGATGGTGCCACTGCCCTCCAGCCTGGTGACAGAGTGAGACTCCGTCAAAAAAAAAAAAAAAAAAAAGAAAAGAAAAAAGAAAAAGAAGTGTATAAAGGTGTGGGCAAATGAGAGGGATGAAGCACCCCAGGAAGCCACTGCCACTCCCAGGATGGGAGGTCAAGGGGTGGAGAGAGCCCTGTGTGGGAGATGGGAGGTGCCTTGCGGGAGCTGATGTCATGGGTAGAGGAGCACAGTTGCTGACAAACCACAGCCTGGCAGGGCATATGTGTGGGAATTGATTCCCCGGCCTCTCTCTCCTCTCACCCTCTGCTCTCCTGACAGTGCCTCCATGGTTGAACTCAATCAGACGCTAAAGGCAAGGAGACACTGATGATGCAATCCATAGAGTCAGCCTCCAGGGCACAGACAAGGTGGGAAAGGACAGAGGGTGTATTAGGAGTTCAGCACTTTGGGAGGCTGAGGTGGGAGGATTACGAGGTTAGGAGTTCGAGACCAGCCTGGCCAACACAGTGAAACCCTGTCTCTAAAAAAAATACAAAAAATTATCTGGGTGTGGTGGTGTATACCTGTAATCCCAGCTACTCAGGAGGCTGAGGCAGGAGAATCACTTGAACCTGGGAGGTGGAGGTTGCAGTGAGCCGAGATCGTGCCATTGCACTCCAGCCTAGGTGACAGAGTAAGACTCTGTCTCAAGAAAAAAAAAAAAAAAGGAGTGGCCTGTGGGGAAACAGCAGTGCCCTCAATGTGGGGACAAAGCATCAGGAGAGACTGGGACTGCACGTCTGAGCCAGGGAGGACAACAGAGCAAATCACAGGCAAAGAGAGAAGAAGCCCAGCTGGGCCAGAGTGCATGGAAATAAGAGAGGAGGGGACACACGTGAGCAGTGCTAAGAAGGCAGAACACATGGTTGGACCTGATTAATGTTGATTGTGGGGTGAAAGAGAGAGAGAAGTGATAATGGTTCTTAAAGCTCTGGCTTGGCTAACTTAGTGCACTTTTTATCTGTTAGCTCCTCTCTTTTGTGTGTTTTTACTACTCTTTCTCATTTTAAATTATAGTAAAAAAAAAAACAAATGAAATAAAATTTACCATATTTACTCTTTCTAACTCTACAGTGCAGTATTGTGAAGTGGTTTGACATTGCTATGCAACCATCGCCATCACCATCCCCAAAGTATTTTATCTTTCCAATTGAAGCTTTATATTCAGTAAACACCAACTCTCAGTTTCCAGGCCCCCAAGCCTCTGTTAACCGTGATTCTACTTCCTGAGTCTGTGAGTTTGACAGGTAGCTCATATAGATAGAATCTTAGCAATATTTGCAATATTTGTCCTTTATGAGACTGGCTTATTTCACTTAGCATAATATCTTCAAGGCTCTCCATATTATAGTGTATGTCAGTCACAATTTCATTTCTTTGAGAGACTGAACAGTATTTCCTAGTTTCTATAACATTTGTTTATCCATTTATCCATCTTTGGGTTTTTTCTACTTTTTTGTTAATGTGAATAACGCTGTTATGAACATGAGTATATGAGCATCCTTTTAAATCCTTGCTTTAATTTTCCCAGAAATTGCCGGGTCATATGGTAATTCTGTGTTTAATCTTCTGAGGAACTGACATACATCTGGGTAATTTTTACACTGCGTTCATTTTTTGAGAGCCTAAGAAGCAATATGAGGCTATGGTTATTATCATTTTTATTCAATACTGAGTCCCAAAGTCCTTGCGTATTAACTGGCATAATGTATGATCCAACAGATATTGTGGGGAGAAGTGATTAAATAAAGGACGCAATTGTCTAGAGGGAACTTAGAGCCCAGAGACCACACTTGGAGCATTTGTCTTCCTTGTCCAGCAGACAGTGCAGAACTGTGAGACGCGGGCATCACTGACAATGAACCCAAAGGGGCTGAATGTCGGGAATCCTGCAGACACCAGGAAAGAGATGCTTCTCAGCCAATGGCTTGGGTTCTGAATCCAGGTTACCCACAGTGATAAAATACCAGCTAGACCATGAGAGGAGACAAACATGCTCACCAGGACGAGGATGGTGTGTGTGGCTCTAGTTTCATGAGATTTTCAGGGGGAGAGGCCGTGGCTGCGAATGCATTGGACTGTCTGCTTGTGTCTATATAAGAAGAGGATCATGGAGCTGCTGGTGTAGTCCATGAGGGCCAAAGACATACCATCCACAAGGGAGAAAATGACTGCATTTGCTAAGAATAGCAATCATCCTAGAATGGGTGAGGAGAGTACCTATACATTTATTCCATACTCACGTTTTTGCTCTTCATTGGGCCAGTTACATGCATTGCAATATGGGTATATGCCACAATTTGCAAGATCCAGCAGAGGGGGCAGCAGAAAACAATGCACTTTGTGGACCTAATTCGGAGTTCCATCCTCCTAGAGATACTGAGGTTGAAGCTTCATGGCCTGGAAGCCACTGGGGAGACAGGCGGTGCTGAGGGAAACCCCTCTGGCCACTCTGTGTATAGATAGAAGACAAGTTTCATCCAGCCTCGTCCAGGAAGGATTTCATTCCAAAAGCTGCCATTGTCTGGGGGATTCGTTTAGAGAAAAGAACCAGGTTGTTGGCTAAGACCAGCTGGCTGAGAATCAGGTCTCTGGGTCTCAATATCTGTGAAGTGATAAAAGTAAAGCTAAAAAAGTAAAGGAGTGAAGAATTTCCAAGGATTCCAGCAGCGGTCTGAGTGAGAAAGACAATACCCTGATTTAAGTTAACAGAAACCGATCCATCCATTATAGAAACGGTATCACATTTCCTCAAAATGTTAAAAATTGAACTATAAGACACCAGATTTCAACTTCCGGATAATTATCCAAAAGAACTCAAATCAAGATCTTGAAGAGATATATCCACACTGATGAATTCACTGCACCAGTATTCACAATAGCCGAGGTAAATAAATGACATAAATGCCCATTGATGGAGGAATGGATTAAGATAACATAGTATAATAAATATAAAGTTTTATTCAGTCTTGAAAAAGAAGAAAATCAGATCATTTGTGATAGCAGGATTGGACCCAAATGACATTATGCTAAGTGAAATGAATCCAACTCTTAATAGATAAATATCTTATAATCTCACATAATTGTGGAATCTAAATAGTGAAATTCATAGAAGCTGAGAGTAGAATGGTGGTTAGCAGGGGCTGGAAATGGGAAAAATAAGATGTTGGTCAAAGGATACAAAGTTTCAATTCTCCGAAATGAATAATTCTGGAAAGCTAATGTATGGAATGAAAGCTATAGGTAACAATACTGTATTGTACACTTAAAATTAGCTGAGAGTAGATCCTAAGTATTTTCACTGCACACACACATGCACACAGAAATAATAACTAACTGAGGTGATTAATATATGGTATTTCTAGTTCTAGATCCCTGAGGAATCACCACATTGACTTCCACAATGGTTGAACTATATTGTGGCACTATTCACAATAGCAAACACTTGGAACCAAGCCAAATGTCCAACGATGATAGACTGGATTAAGAAAATGTGGCACATATACACCATGGAATACTATGCAGCCATAAAAAATGATGAGTTCATGTCCTTTGTAGGGACATGGATGAAATTGGAAACCATCATTCTCAGCAAACTATTGCAAGGACGAAAAACCAAACACCGCATGTTCTCACTCATAGGTGGGAATTGAACAATGAGAACACATGGACACAGGAAGGGGAACATCACACACCGGGGCCTGTTGTGGGGTGGCGGGTGGGGAGGGATAGCTTTAGGAGATATACCTAACGTTAAATGACGAGATAATGGGTGCAGCACACCAACATGGCACATGTATACATATGTAACTAACCTGCACATTGTGCACATGTACCCTAAAACTTAAAGTATAATTAAAAAACAAACAAACAAACAAAAAAAACAACTCCGAGACCTGAGCAGGCAGACACACAAGCAGCTGGACGTCCGCAGATCAGCGGAAGAAGAAGACACTGGCGGCTGAGAGGAGCACGTCAGTGCAGGAACACACAGATGGCTGGATGTCGAGAGGAACGCAAGGACGGGCACCAGCACACCACAGGCCACCGACTGGCAGAACGACATGGAGCTTGGCTGGGACAGTCAGAGAGGATCCCGGGCCGCCAGGGGCCCGACTCCAGGAGAAAACCATCGCCCTTCTGCTGAGAGCTGTTTCCACTCAATCAAACCTTGCACTCATTCTCCAAGCCCTCATGTGATCCGGTTCTTCCGGTACACCAAGGCGAGAACCCTGGGATACAGAGAGCCGTCTGTCCTTGCAGGAAGGCAGGGGTCTAATGGAGCTGATACACACAAGTTGCCTATGGAAGGCCGAAACTAAAAGAGCACCCTGTAACATGCGCCCACTGGGGCTTCAGCGGTTGTCATTTTGAATGTGGTGAATTTATTTTTATCTATTTATTTATTTTTAAGTTTCAGTAGTTTTGGGGGAACAGGTGGTGTTTGGTTGCATGCATAAGTTCTTTAGTGGTGATTTTTGAGATTTTGGAACACCCATCACCCGAGCAGTGTACACTGTACCCAATGCGTAGTCTTTTATCCCTCACCCCCTCCCATTGCTCCCCCTGGGTCCCCAGAGTCCATTATATCCTTCTTATGCCTTTACATCCTCATAGCTTAGCTCCCACTTATGAGAACATATGATGATGGTTTTCCATTCCTGAGTTATTTCACTTAGAATAGTGGTCTCCAACTGCCTCCAGGTTGCTGCGAATGCCATTATTTTGTTCCTTTTTATGACTGAAGTATTCCATGGTGTGTGTGTGTGTGTGTGTGTGTGTGTGTGTGTATATATATGTATATATACGCATATATACATGTTTTTTATATGTTTGTTGGCCATTTGTATATCTTCTTTAGAGAATTGTCTAAAGTCAAAAGGGGAATTGGATTTGGAGGGAACAATTTTATGGCTATTTTTCAGTATAATCATCAAGTGAAGATAGTGTCTGTTCGGCCAGTGTTACTTTAATCCATTACCTGTAGCCAGGAAGGGAGATGTTTATCACAGAGATAGGCACCAACCTGGAATGCTTTCCTCAAAAGTGATTAACTGTAGTGTGAACCCTAAATTTCACCGCAGTTTGGTCCTGATTTGGCACAAGATATGCTTTATCCACTGATGTGAAATGCCCAGGTGTTTTTTGTACGGTTTTGTTGCTGAAAGACACAATACCCTCTAATCTAAGGCATCCTCTCCAAATCCCACTGAACAATACCCTCTAATCTAAGGTGTCCTCTCCTAATCCCACTGAACAATACCTCTAATCTAAGGCGTCCTCTCCAAATCCCACTGAACAATATCCTCTAATCTAAGGCATCCTCTCCAAATCCCACTGAACAATATCCTCTAATCTAAGGCATCCTCTCCAAATCCCACTGAACAATACCCTCTAATCTAAGGCATCCTCTCCAAATCCCACTGAACAATATCCTCTAATCTAAGGCATCCTCTCCAAATCCCACTGAACAATATCCTCTAATCTAAGGCATCCTCTCCAAATCCCACTGAACAATACCCTCTAATCTAAGGCATCCTCTCCAAATCCCACTGAACAATACCCTCTAATCTAAGGCATCCTCTCCAAATCCCACTGAACAATATCCTCTAATCTAAGGCATCCTCTCCAAATCCCACTGAACAATACCCTCTAATCTAAGGCATCCTCTCCAAATCCCACTGAACAATATCCTCTAATCTAAGGCATCCTCTCCAAATCCCACTGAACAATACCCTCTAATCTAAGGCATCCTCTCCAAATCCCACTGAACAATACCTTCTAATCTAAGGCATCCTCTCCAAATCCCACTGAACAATATCCTCTAATCTAAGGCATCCTCTCCAAATCCCACTGAACAATACCCTCTAATCTAAGGCATCCTCTCCAAATCCCACTGAACAATACCCTCTAATCTAAGGCATCTTTTCCAAATCCCACTGAACAATACTCTCTAATCTAAGGCATCCTCTCCAAATCCCACTGAACAATACCCTCTAATCTAAGGCATCCTCTCCAAATCCCACTGAGGCACAGGAGCGACACTAAGGAGGGGGTCACGGAGCTTCCTGAGGGAGATTCGCCTCCTGAACCCTGGGCAGATCCTCCCCACCTTGGGATCTCTGTGAACCTCTGGGGTCTTCTATTCAATCAGGACCAAGTTGTGAGGTGGGATTCCTTCCAGGCTACAGTCTCCCCTCTCCCTCTTTCAATTTCATCAAGACAGATCAGAGGTTTGCGGGTGGAAGTCATGGCATCTCCTCCACAGCCCCTGGCTGTGCAGATGGACGAGACCACAGTTCCTGGATGGAGTAAATCTACTGGGAGCCTGGGTTCTCCATCACGAGGTTGTCCCGTCATCAGCCCCACAAGAAGGGGAACTGCCCTCTCCAGGAGCCTGGCTTTCATTTCCCCAAGGCTGGGACTGGGGCAGGCACCAGGCTGTCTTCAGATATTTCATACAGAAATGGTATCTCCCTGACCCTTTTCTGCGATTTGCCTCATCTGTCCTCATCTCATCAAGGGTCAGGACACAGGACACAGCACCTTTCTGAGTCTGTCCTGTCCAAGTGAGAGTGACTGGGGGCTTTTTCTTCTTCTCAGAGCCTCCCCGTGGGGTCTCCTTCCCTCCTTCAGCCCGTCCATCAACACAGCATTGCGGGATCCTTACCATGGCATCCAGCCCTGGAGATGCTTCAGGAAAGTTGCAGGTCCATGCTGCAGGACAGGCTCAGATCAGCAGAGACGCATCTCACATCGGGCTGTGAAATTCAAGTTGAGCTGCAATTGGCAATGAGAAAAAAAGGAGAAATAAAGAAATGCTGACTCTTCTTTTGTCTTTGGAGTATGGGTTTTATTTCTTCCAGTTTCCTTCTTAGACTTCCCTTCTTTTTTTCTTCCTATTTTTTAATAGCGTTCAGCTCCCCTTCCCTTAAAAGTAACCTCTGAGTCATTCCTGCCTCCTCGGGGTCCCTCCCACCCCCAGCCCCGCTTCCTTGGGCATTCCCCTGCATCTCAGTCTGCCTTCAAGGTTTTGGGAACAAGTACTTGTCTTGAGCTCTGATTTGGCGGTGGGATAGGGAGTTAATTTTTTCTGAATTGCTCACCTTCATCCCTGCGTGCATGACCTTGGGCAGTAAGTCCCATCTCTGAGCCTCGGTTTCCTCATTTGGAGCCTGTTGTCATGAACCCCCCTCCTGAGTGGTTTTGGGGGCCAGTGGTGCCTGGGTCATGGGAGGGCCTCAGTCATGGTACATTTCCAGACCGGGTTAAGTCTTGAGGGGCTGAAACATGAGTGGATCCTGGTGTTGGACTGCACAGTCACGGTGAGCAACTTAAATGCTCAACAGCCCACATCTGCTCCTAACATTGGGAAAACCTACTTATAATGTGTCTGAAATATGTAGCCATGGTCCGATGAAGAAAATGAGAAATGAGACTTCCTGTCATAGGCAGGAAACCTTAAGAAGCAGAAGAGGCCAGAGCCGAGCGGCTGCTGGTGACTTGCAAAGTCTGGGGGTCACTAAGGGGGAGGTTTCTGCCTCTGTATGAGACAGAGGAGAACCCCAGGCCCTCACAGACAGGGAGGGGTCGGGGTTTTGGATGAAAGTGAGAAGTTGTGGCTCCTTCTCCCCTGTGTTTGTGGATGGCACTGGGATATCTCTGCTCATTGACTCAGGTCCATGGTCAGCCCTGAGCCGCCTCCTCCATGTGTGTGAAACAGATTCACTGCAGCGTTGTCACACATGGGCGTCTGTCCCACATGCGAGTCTGAGGCTCACACTGGACCTTCCCTGCTGGTTACAGCCCTGAGTAGACTCATGTGGCACTGGCAGCTGGAACCATCTCCCCTTTTCCAGCCTTAACTCCCAGCACAGCCCTGGTGGAAACCCTCTCTGGAAGATGAGGCATGTGGGAAGCATGTGTCCAAAAATGACAAGGAGGAGGAATTATCCCAATGATCAAAAGTGCTATGATAGGCCGGGCACCGTGGCTCATGCCTGCAGTCCCAGCACTTTGGGAGGTCAAGGCGGGCGGGTCACTTGGGCCCAGGAGTTCAAGACCAGCCTGGGCAACATGGCAAAACCGCATCTCTACAAAAAATACAAAAATTAGCTGGATGTGGTGTCATGAATAATGGCCTCCAGCTCATCCAGGTTGCTGCAAAACTCAATCCCTTGTACATCAGTTGCAAAAATTAAAAATATCTAAGTATATACCTAGCCGAGGAGGTGAAAGATCTCTACAAGAAGAACAACAAAATGCTGCTGAAAGAAATTGTAGATGACACAGCAAAATAGAAATATATCCCATGCTCATGGATTGGAAGAATCAATATTGTGAAAATGATCACACTTCCCAAAGCAATATTTAGATTCAATGCAATTCCCATCAAAATATCAACATCATTTTTTTCACAGAATTAGAAAAAACAATCCTAAAATTCATATGGAACCAAAAAGAGGACGAATACCAAAGCAATCTTAAGCAAAAAGACAAATGTAAATTTAATAAACATATCCTAGGCTGAATTGTGAGGGGTTGTTTTTGCTTTTGTTTTTGTTTTTGTGTGAGACAGAGTCTTGCTCTGTCACTCAGGCTGGAGTGTAGTGGCACAATCTCTGCTCACTGCAACCTCTGCCTCCCAGGTTCAAGCAATTCTCCTGTCTCAGCCTCCCGAGTAGCTGGGATTACAGGTGCTTGACACCATGCCTGGCTAATTTTTGTATTTTTAGTAAAGACGGGGTTTTGCCATGTTGACCAGGCTGGTCTCAAACTCCTGACCTCAAGTGATCCGCCCGTCTCGGCTTCCCAAAGTGCTGGGATTACAGGCATGAGCCACCGTGCCCGGCCTGAATTGTGGGTTTTTAAATGTTATTTTTATATTATATAATTTTTAACTCATTAAAAAAATACAAGGAAGTCTGTCCTGGAAACAAAAAAAAAATCCTAAAATTATTTATTTGTAAAAATGCAAATTATTTCCAATGGATTTGCATGCTCACTGGGATTGGACCTTCCAACAGCAAATTCAACACCAGGAGATACTAAAGAAAGGCCTTCAGAAATTCATGGTGAAGATTTCTGTGTTAATCTAAATTATTAAAGACAAAGGCAAACGACCTGTCGGCAGCTTGTCTCACACATTAAACCCAGCATGTCAGGCTTCATCTTGAGGAACGGGGAGGGATTGGCAGTAGACGCCTTAACCATTACATGTACTTTCCCTTCTACATCTTTTCCCTTATGCTTTATTTAATATAATTCAGGACAAAGACTTTATTTAATATAATTCAGGACAAAGATGGGCAAAGACTTCATGACGAAATCACCAAAAGCAATTGCAACAAAAGCTAAAATTGACAAATGGGATCAAATTAAACTAAAGAGCGTCTGCACAGCAAGAGAAACCATTATCAGAGCGAACAGACAAGCTACAGAATGGGAGACAATTTTTGCAATCTGTCCATCTGACAAAGGTCTAACATCCAGAATCCACAAGGAACTTAAACAAATTTACAGGAATAAAACATTAATAAGTGGGCAAAAGGCATGAGCAGACACTTGTCAAAAGAAGACATTCATGTGGCCAGGAAACATGGAACAAAGCTCAACATCACTGGTCATTAGAGAAATGCAAGTCAAAACCTCAATGGGATACCATCTCACACCAGTTGGAATTGCGATTATCAAAAAGTCAAGGAGAAACAGATGCCGGTGAGGTTGCAGAGAAATAGAAATGCTTTTACACTGTTAGTGGGAATGTAATTAGTTCAACCATTGTGGAAGATGGTGTGGTGATTCCTCAAAGATCTAGAACCAGAAATACCATTTGACTCAGCAATCCCTGGGTATATACCCAAAGGAATATAAATCATTCTATTACAAAGATACATGCATGCATATGTTTTTTGCAACACTATTCATAGTAGCAAAGACCTGGAATCAACCCAAATGCCCATCAATGATAGACTGGATAAAGAAAATGTGATACATATACACCATGGAATACTATGCATCCATAAAAAGGAACAATATCATGTCCTTGGCAGGGACATGGATGGAGCTGGAAGCCATTATCCTCAGCAAACCAATGCAGGAACAGAAAACCAAACACTGCATGTTCTCACTTATAAGTGGGAGCTGAACAGTGAGATCACATGAACACAGGGAGGGGGACAGCACACACTGGGACCTGTTGGAGGAGGGTGAGTTGGGACAGGGAGAGGATTAGGAACAACAGCCAATGCATGCTGGGCTTAATACCTAGGTGATGGGTTGACAGGTGCAGCAAACCACCATGGCACATGTTTACCTGTGTAACAAACCTGCAGATCCTGCACATGTGCCCCAGAACTTAAAATAACAACAAAAATTTTAAAAAATTTACAAATCTTGATACAGAGTGAAAGGGAAAGGAAGGTATTTCCAGAGCCACAATTAAAAAAAATTTTTATTGTTTCACACTTAGTGAAAGCAATTCTAAATGATGTAATTTAATTGGAAGATCAAAGAATCCAAAACATACAATGCGATATCCTCAAGGGAGGAAAAATGGGAAAAACCACACACTGAAACACACACACACACACGTGAACATGCACCCTCATAGTTACAGACATGGGTGAGTACACAGAATGGAAAAACCACATACTGAAACACACACGAACATGCACCCTCATAGATACACACATGAGTGAGTACTCAGAGCTCAGCTAATGTGTAATTTGAGCCCGTTTTCTCTACAGGGACAGGAGAAATGAATCCTTTTTCAAAAATATAGAATTGTTTTTGTAACTTGGCAATTGTGAATAGTGCTGCAATGAGCTTAGGAGTGTGGACGTCTCTTCTGTGGCCGATTTCATTTCTTCTGGTATACACCCAGCAGTGGGCTTGCTGGATTATATGGTGGTGGCATGTTTAGTTTTTTGAGGAGCTTCCATACTGTTTTCTAAAATGGCTGTGTTAATTTACATGTCCACCAATGGTGTGTAAGGATTTTTTCTCCTCATGCTCACCAACACTGATCTTTCACCATTCTGATAATAGGCAATCTAACAGCTGTGAGGTGATATCTCACTGCAAAATTTCACTTTCTACACATATATGTGTATACCTGTGTATACATATATACATACAATACACATGCATATATATGTACATACGTATCTGCACATATGTACGTATGGATGTTTATGTATGAATACATACATTTGCATATATACATATAGGCATATACTTACATACATATAAACTTTAAGAAGCTATAACCTCACATCTGTTAGGATGGTTACTATGAAAAAGAGTAGAATAACAAGTGTTAGCGAGAATGTAGAAAAAATAGAACCGCTGCCCTCCGCTAGTGGTAATGTAAATGAGTACAATGACCACAAAAATACTATAGATGTTTTTCAGAAGTTAATGATCAGAGCTACCCTGTGTTTCAACAATTTCACTGCTGGGTGTGTATCTAAAGGAAATGGAATCAGTACGTTGAAGAGATGCCCGCCCTCCCATGTTCATGACAGCTTTAGCCACCATAACCAAGACATGGAACCCGGCCAAGCGTCCATCAGCAGGCGAATGGATACAGAAAATGAAGCGCTCAGTATAAACACAGCGAAAAACTATTCCGCCTTCTAGAAGAAGGAAATTGTTTCATTTGTGACAACATGGACGAGCCTAGAGGACGTCACGCTACGCGGAATAAAGAAGGCACGGGAAGACACCTGCTGCCTGATCTCACTTATGTGCGGATTGCCCCAGTTGAACTCATGGAAGTAGAGAGTAGAAGGTGGTCCCCGGGAGCTGGGCTGGGGTGGAATCAGAGAGCTGCATCGAAGGATACCGCACTTCAGTTGGACAGGAGGAGTAAGTTTAGGAGATCTGTTGTACAGTATGGTGACTACAGTTGCTAACAATGGATTGCATACGCGAAAATTGGTAAGAAAGTGGATTTTAAATGTTCTCTTAACAGAAAGATAACTACGTGATGTTACAGATGTTAATTAGCTTGACCTAGCGATTTCACAGGCATATTAAAATACCATGTTGCACATCCTAAATATGTAGAATTTTAAACTGCCAAATAAAATAAAGTAAAACATTAAAATAAAATTTAAAAAAATATTATTTTGAAACAGAAAAACTGTAGAGTTTAAAATATGCCTGTTATAGAATGGAAAATTCTATTTTATATGTCATGACTTTTTTTTTTTTTAATTTTTTGAGACAGAGTCTGGCTCTGTTGACCAGGCTGGAGCGCAGGGGCGGGATCTCAGCTCACTGCAGCCTCCATCTCCTGGGATCAAGTGATTCTCCTGCCTCTGCCTCCCAAGTAGCTGGGACTGCAGTGTGCGCCACCATGTCCGACTAATTTTTGTATTTTTAGTAGAGATGGGGTTTTGCCGTGTTGGCCAGGCTGGTCTTGAACTCCCAGCCTCAAGTAATCTGCCGCCTCTGCCACCCTATGTGTTGAGATTACAGGCGTGAGCCACCGCACCTGGGCACATTGCCACTTTTTCTATTCTCAAGAAACATTTGTGATGCTCTGGGTGTGTTTGTGTGTTTCATTAGTGTGTCAATATTTGTAAGAAATCACCAATGAAGCTTCGTGAACTCGAGATTATTTTTATTATAGTCAATGTTTTTCACACACACACACATATATATACACACACACACACATCTAAAATGAGTCAGATTCTCTGATTACTCTTATGTTCATTATGTAAACTCCAGTTTAGAATATTTCATCTATTTAATCTGCAATTTCTAGTATATTGGCATAGGTTTGCCGCCTGTTCCATTGTTAGTTTTGGAAAACGTGTGTACGATCTGTAGGGCTGTCTGCTGGCTCACTCCCATATGGAAATGCATGCCTGCTCTTTCTTTCTCTTTTTCATTGTAGTTAGAATTCATGAGTGTGATTCATGTTTTCAAGAATGAGCTTCACTGGCTTTGTTGAATTTTCAAGCTTTGGTTTTTCCTCATGAACAACTCCTCTTATTATTGTTATTATTCCCTTTCTTACGCCTTCATTTGGAATAACTTGTTATTCTTCTAAATTTCTTTTTTCTCTTTTTCTTTCTTTTTTTTTTTTTTTTTTAATTTGAGATGGAGTCTCCCTCTGTCGCCAGGCTGGAGAGCAGTGGTGCGATCTTGGCTCACTGAAACCTCTGACTCCCTGGTTCAAGCGATTCTCCTGCCTCAGCCTCCCAAATAGCTGGGATTACAGGCACTGCCACCACATCCAGCTAATTTTTGTATTTTTAGGAGAGACAGGGTTTCACCATGTTGGCCAAGATGGTCTCGATCTCCTGAACTCGTGATCTGCCCGCCTCGGCCTCCCAAAGTGCTGGAATTACAGGCGTGAGCCACCGTGCCCTGCCCTAAATTTCTTATAGGAAAGCCAAGATCATTCATTTCCTACTTTTTTTCTTTCCTAATTCATTCATTCGTGGCTTGTAGTTTTCCAGTTTCATCGCTTGATGTGTAATATTTACATTGTGATTCAGTTTAATGCACTTTCTGACTTAGTTTTCTCAGCTACTTCATTGATTATTGAGAAGTCTGTTGCTTTATTTCAAAATTGTAGAGACATTAGTTATTTATACTGCAGAATTGAGTGACCCCTAAAAGTTCCCAGAGTCTCCTGGGGTAGATCCAGGCTGGGTGGGGTCCAATGGTGTCCACTGGGGGGGCAGCTCCCATGCATTCCAGACTCCATGGAGTGTGGGGTCTGCGTCCCCCCCTGGGCTAGTGGATGGCCAGAGTGGCGTAGATGCTGGGCACAGCTGGAGAGGGCCCTTCCTGGGATGGAGGAGGCTCAGTTGCCTTCCGTCTAAGGGTCAAGCTGTGCAGCTGGGCGTAGGTCACATCCTGGGGGGCTTCAGATGCAGCAGCCTGCAGCGGGGGAGAGTGAGAGGGAAGGAACGTGGTGGGGGTGGGGGAGGCCTGGGGGCCTGGAGAGGAAAGGACTCACCTCAGTGTCCATCTGCCTGTCCTCTTCCGCCTGTCTGTCCTTTGTGTCCAGGAATTCCCCAGACAGTGGGGAAGGAGGAGAGGCCATTTCTCTCCTAGGTCTGGAGTGTTTCACCTCGGCATACGTCACTGCCTGGGGGTCTTCATCGTGTGGGCTCTGCTGGAGAGAGACAGTGGTGGGGGGTGTCCTTGAATCCTCCTGACCCCCTGGAGTCAATTTTCCTCACTGTTCCCCGGGTGATCCGATTACATCCCTTTCCCGATGGAATCTCAGGGACGCCCTAAGGCCGTGGAGGGTCTGGCCGCTCCCTCGCTGTGGTTCTGGCCTCTGCTCCTCACTCTGACGTTGCCCATTTGGCTGCAGCCTCACGGGCCTTCCTGCAAGAGCTCGCTGCTGCCTGGGGGCCTTTGCAGGGTTGTTTCCTCTGCCTGCAGGGGCTCGTCCATCAGAGGATCGTGTGCCCCACTCTGTCCAGGCTTCTCAGATGACAGCTGAGCAGACAGCCCTCCCCTTCCATTCAGACTGGCCCCACTGCCCCACACTCTCTGCCCTTTCTCTGGTTTATGTTCCTTACAGCACGTTGCACTCCTGGACGCGGCACATTTATTTGCATTTTGTCTCCCACCACGAGGTGAGCTCAGGAGGCGGGGGCGGCTTTCCTCCCTGCTGTGTCTGCAGCTCCCATGGGGAGCCCCATCCACAGTGAGCTCCCTGGGAACACTTGCTGGTTGAATGAATGAAGGGGAGCCTGGGGGACCGGGGTGGTTCATTTATTCCTCATCCTCCTGAGGCCTGGGGAGAGCTCTAACAACCAGACGGCCAAACAGAGGATGAGGAGCAGGAAGGGGACCCGGGAGGAGGCCCACGAGGTCCCAGGACAGCAGGAGAGAGTGAGGTCGCAGCAGGCGGGAGGCAGCGTGCTGGACAAGGAGGGGTCCACCGTGACGATGCTGAGAGCCGGGGGAAGGAGGACAGAGAAGTTCTGCAGGATTAGATCTGGCACCAGGAGGCCTTTGGTGCCTGGGACAGGGGTGGGGTCTCACCCGAGTGTCCATCTCCACCCCATCCTCAGGCTGTGTGTGCTTCACGGCAGCATCTGCTGGGGCAGAGCAAGGGGTTTGTCTCTTGGGAAGGTTCCCTGGGACCTCTGAGTCCTGCCAGCCCCTGCTCAGCTCCCAGATGGGGCCACTGAGATGCAGGGAGGGGCTGCGATGTCCCTGAGGCCCCACAGTGTGGGGTGAGATGATCTCACCCTGAGCCCCAGACCCTTTCCAGCCAGCGCCCCTTTCCCCATTGCTACGGAAACTTCGGGGCCCCCATCTCCCTCCTGGCTGGTCACCTCTTCCTCTCACTCACAGAGGTTTTCTTCCTGGGCATCGGCAGCTGGGCTGGACCTGGGGGAAGAATGGGAGCTTTAGGGGCAGTGTATGGGCCACGAGCAGGTGGGAGTCTGGGGTCTTCGGGCAGAATTACCTCCACTGCAGGCCTCTGTCTGTGGGCTCTGGCCCCACAGCCCCTGCAGGATGTTGGAAATCAGCCTTTCTCTGGGCTGGGGGAAGAAGGACAGAGCCTCAGCCCTGGGAACATTGGAGCCCCCTGCCCTGCACACACAGCTCGAAGGTAAGGAAGGAAACCTAAAAACACTCCTGCCTCCATGTTCCAAATGCCTCATAGGATGGACAGAGCCCGAAGGACACTTTACATTTGTAGATGGCACTGAGCCCGAAGGACACTTTACATTTGTAGATGGGACTGACTGTCGATTGGCCTGGTGAGAAATGCTGGAACAGTTTCTCAAAGCTGCATTTGCCCAGTGGTTTGGATTCTCTTTGGCTGTGCCCTGAGCCCACCCTCGGTCAGCCCTCAGGGTCCCCCCATTCCCTACTCACTCGATGTCCAGTGTTTGCCCTGACGTCGATGTCGGAGGATGAGGAAGAGGAGGAGGAGGAGGAGGAGCAGTAGGATGACGGCCACCAAGATGCCGATCACAACCCCCAGGTGCCTTCCCAGACCTTGAGCACGATGATGTCAGGGATGGGGGTGATGTCATTGAAATGAGCGCCTACTGTGTGCAGGTGACTGCTGGACCTTCTGTTCACCACCTCCAACCCCCACAACAGTCGTGCAGCACAGAAACATCCACCCCACCCACTGTACAGATGAAAAACTGACGCTCAGAGAGGGGAATCGCCTGCCCGGGGCCCCCAGCCAGGAAGCGGCAGAGCTGGGAAGGAAGCCCAGGAGTCTGACCTGCAGCCCTTGTTCCTGCACCAGAGCCGAGCCCCGGAGCTGCAGGGAAAGAGCCTGACCGTCCTGAACCATGACTCTTCTCCCCTCCCCTGCCCCAGGTCACCGTCTCTGCTGCAGGTGGGACGGGACAGGCCCCCGCGGAATCGGGTCTGGGAGGTTCCCTGGGAGGCCTCCTCTCCCAGGAGGTCACAGCTGGGAGTCAGAGCTGAAAGGAACTTTCCCACCCGCAGGCCTCTCACCTTTACATTTGGAGAAACTGAGGCCCAAGCAGGGGAGGAGCCTGTCTATATCACCACCTCCAGAGGAGACTGAACCTAGGACAGAACCCACCCCTGCCTCCCCTGGACCCTGCCCACCTCCCACTCAGAGCCCGTCACTCACCACTCTGGGGATCCGACCCGGTGGGGGTGAGGGGCTGGTCCTCAGGGCCTGCTGGGTCAGGACGGGGAGGTGAGGGCTGGGGCTGCCCTGCTCCCCACATCAGCCCGGCTGCTCCTCCCCCAGGCTGGGCCCCAACATTTCTCTCTGCCTTGACCCCCCACCCCTCACCAGCCCAGCCTCAGAGCCCTGGGGACCCTGTGGCCCCTCCTCTGGCTCTGCCCGGCTCCCTGGAGGGAAGCTCGAGTCTTTGAGGGGAATGGGATTCTCTGGGAGACCCAGGGCTGCCCTGGGGGAGGCCGCACTCCCTTGAGTTCAGAAGCCTCAGGGACTCACCAGATGTGGAGGTGGGGCCTGTTGTCGGGGAGCTGGGGCCCCCAGACGGTCCTGGGTAAAAGAATGAGAGGAGGCTGAGGAGCTGGGGCTTTCCTGAAGTCTCCACCTCAAACCAAATTTCTCTACATGGGACCTGTGGCCTCCCCAGGCCCCTCCCTCCACCCGCCTCTCCTGTCCATGATGCTGGCGATGCCACTGAGGGTGGGCAGGCCTGGGAGGGCCCTGTTCTCCTCCTTCCCTCTGAGGGTGAGTCTCCCACTGGCTGAGCCCCTCTCAGACCCCCGCTCACTCCATCCCAGCCCAGAGCTCTCCTGGGGCAGGGTCTGAGCTGAGACTTTGAGCTCAGAGAGGACAGGGTCAAGGCCCCCACCTGAGACCACGAGCTCCAGGGGGTCACTGGGGTGAGTCAGCAGGTAGGGTTTGGAGCTCTGTGAGCCGTAGCACCTGTAGGTCCCCGCATGGGCTGAGGTCACAGGACCCATGGGGAATTCAGCCTGGTATTTTTGAGATTGGTACGTTGATCTTAGACGCCATGGGTCATCAGCTGCCCCCTCCTTGGTCAGAAGGAAAGTTTGCATCCATCCCTGTGACTGACACAGCAGGGTCACGTTCTCTCCTGAGGCCACCGTGGGGCCCGGCTGCACCGAGAGGGAGACTCTGTCATAGAACTGTCCTGGAGAGAAGAAGGATGGGCGAGGGGCTGCCCCACCTTGCTCTGAGCTGACACCTCCCCAGGTCTCCCTCTGGGACCCTCAGTGTCTCTGTCTCTGTTTTCTCTGAGTCTCCCCCTCCCCGCCCATCCCCTGTCTCTGTCTGTCTCTCCCTCCCTTGGGACCCCCATCCCTCATCCCGGCCATCACTACCTGAGCTCCCCCGGCAGGGCCTGTGCGGAGCCTGGGTCCCTGACTGAACCCGCTGGGCTCCTCACCTGCGATCAGGATGTCCAGGGGGTCGCTGGGGGCCGACCACTCGGAGGAGAGGTTGTGTGCACCGTAGCATCTGTACTGGCCCCCGTAGGAGCGGCTCACAGGGCCCAGGGTGAAGTTGGCCTGGGAGAGCCCAGCCTGGGGCTGTGCGCCAGCGAGCTGAAGGAAGTCACGTTCCCCGTCCTTATACAGAACAAATCTGTTGTAGCCAGCATCAGAGCCACACTGCAGAGTCAGGGTCTCCTCAGGGGCCACGATAGGACCTGGCTGCACTGAGAGTGATGGCTTCTTAGAAACACCTGGGAAAAGGTGGTCATGGTTTCCAGGAGCCGACCCTCAGGCTTCCCCACAAATCTTCCCTTTCCCCCGGGGCCACATCACTGCTGATCTTCCTGTGTCTCTGGCCCCAGGAGCCCTGAGCCCTCTCGCCCCAACATCATCCCACCTGGAACTGCCCTGAGACGCGGCTGCTCCCCACCTGCCTGGAGACTCAGGGAACTCCAGGCAATGCTGTGAATTTCTCACCTAGGACCAGGAGCTCCAGGAGATCACTGGGTAGAGACCACTCATAGGGAGAGTTCGAGTCATAAGCATAGCACCTGTACCACCACCTGCGACTCGGGCTCACGGGGCCCACGGAGAAGATGGCGCGGGACGACCCACGGGCATGGGGCTGGGAGTTCAGGCATTGTGGGTGTTCATCTTCTCCTTCCTTACACAGAATGAAGCCATCAAATGCCACCTGTGAGTCACACTGGAGGGTTACATTCCCTCCTGAGTTCACCACGGGGCTGGGCTGGGCTGAGAGGGTGGGTTTGATGTAGGCTCCTAGGAGAGAAGGAGGCACCGTGTTAAATGTGGCTCAGACCACCCGCGTCATCCCCAGGGCTGGGCTGTGAGAGGGAGAAGCCCCTGAGAGCCGTCCCCCTTCCTGAGGGCAGAGTCTGGGGCTGGGACCCCTGAGTGTCAGCTCACCTGTCACCACCAGCTCCAGGGGGTCACTGCTCTCTGAGCGGCCTGCAGTGTCGCTACCATAGTAACAGCGATACCGCCCTGCATGTTCCCAGGTGATGGATGGGATGGGGAACTGGCCCTTCTTCACAAGCTCCTGTGGGATCCGTGTAATCCAGGGTGCTGTTTTCTTTTCTCTATATAGACGGTACTCCTGGGTCTCCTGGCCCCCCTGACACCTGAGGGTCACAGGACTCCCCTGGGTGATCACAGAGCCTGGTTCAGCCCAGAGGGTGGGCTTGGGGAGGTGCCCTGGAAGGAAATCAGGAGTCAGATTCTAACTCATTTCCCACCCAACCCAGCAGATTCCAGCTCTCAGCCCAGGACCCTCCAGACGCCCCCATCAGTCAGCCCAGAACTGCTATTCCCCATCCCCAGCGGCACGGGGGTGGCCCCTTGTCCCCAGTGAGGAGGAGGGACCTGGAAGAGCTGGGGACAGACTCACCTGCCTGCACGTGGGTCCGGGGGCCCAGACTCAGCCCTGGAAGAGAGTTCCCGGTGAGGGATTTGCCCCCTGAAGCCTGGGCAGGTCCTCCCCTCCCTGGGATCTTTGTGAGCCCCTGGGGTCTCCTTAGGGACAAGAGTTTGGCTGTGGGGTGAGGTCCCTCTTAGGTTAGAAGCTCCCCTCCTTCTTCAAATCTCACCGAGACAGATCAGGACCGTGAGGATGGGGGTCATGGCGTCTCCTCCCACTGCCCTGCTCTGTGGATGGATGAGCCCTCGGTGCTGGCAGGATAGAGAGACACACAGAGTGTGGCCAATCGGAGGCTGGGTCCTTCTTCTCATGGGGTGCTGTCATCTGCAGCCACACAGGAAGTGGAACTGCCCTCCCCAGGACCCTTGCTCTCATTCCATTAGGGCTGAGGTGGGGGCAGTCACTAGGCCCTCTGCATCATTTCAGATGGTAATGGGCCCTTTCCTGACCCCCAGCCACCGTCTGTCTGGTTTGTTTTCATCCCACTGAGAGCCAGGATGTAGCAGCAAATAAAACTGGTTCCTTCCTGTGTCTGCCCTTCCTGACGAGGGTAGCGGAGGCATCTCCTTCCTTCTCACAGCCTCCCACATGGTCACCCTCCCTCCTTCAGCCGTCCATCAGCTCAGTGTTGTGGGGTCCTTACCATGGCAGTCGTCCCTCCAGCCCTGGAGATGCTTCAGGGAAGACCCAGGTCCATGCTGCAGGCAGACTCAGATCAGCAGAGACGCATCTCGCATCTGGCTGTGCCGCCCAGGCTGAGCTGCGTGTGGCAGTGAGCACAGAAGAGAAATGCAGGGAAATAGGGAAGAAAAGTTGACTTCTTTCTTGACACTGGATTGTGGGTTTTCTTTCAACCAAATAGTCCCCTCTTAACTTCCCCTTTTTAAAATATTTTGCTACAGTGTCCAACCCCACCCCCCGGGAACAAATCTCTGAGTCTTTCCTGCCTCCTCGGTGCCCTTTGCTTACTTGGCCGTCCCTCTGCACCTCAATCCCTGTTCAACGCTTTGGGAACAATGACTTATATTTGAGCTTTGATTTGGGGAGTTGGGGGGGAGTTATATTTATTCAACGACTGGTTATCATCCACTGCCTACGTGACCTCGGGCGGTAATGAACCATCTCTGAGCCTCAGATTCTTCCTTTGCCGACTGTTGTCACAAATCCCACTCGTGACAGTGGTTGTACGGTCAGTGGTGCTGGAACATTAGGAGGGGCTCATTTGTGCCTGATTTCCAGACCAGGGTAAGACCTGAGGTGTTTGGGACATAAGAGGATCTTGGCGTTGGACTCCACAGTCTACGTAGGTGATTGATGTGTCCACTCTGGATCTCACATCTGACCCTAATGGATAGATGGACGTGTATTTGTCCATCTATCTGGGCATTTCTGAAATACCCAGAGCATCAATGTCATGAGCAGAAAAAGAGATGTGGAAGTTCCCAAGTGTAGATGGATCCACAGGAAAGAACAGAGGCCACAGGTGAGATGCCACAGGGACCTGGGACCATCAAGGGCTCATTAGGGTGGAGGTTTCCACCACTGAGTGGAGCCAGGAGAGGAACCTCGGGATCTGCAATGACAGTGAGGGGCTCAGGGCTCCAGACCAAGGTGGGAGGCTGCGTCCTCCAGCTACACCTGAGGCTGGAGTGGACCCCAAGCAGCCCAGGGGAATTCCCTCAAGGGAGTGCACCAAACCGTCCAGTGACAGAGCTGCTGGGATTCCAAAGAAAGAAGCACTAAACACCAGGGTGTTCATAGATCATTTATTAGGGAGACTTCTGCACAGTGGGGCACCCTCGTCTCCTTGCCCAGTGTCTCCTTGTGGATCTCAAGGATGTGCTTCCACATAGCAGCATCTTCTTCAGATGGACAAGGAGACACTGGGTGTTCTACCCGAAGCTTTAACTTAAAATAAAAATAAAAACAAAAATAAACCCCTAGAGAATATGATCTCTCAGTAGAGTTGTTTCTTGGGATACACAGGCAATTCGTTTCAGTACCCGCTACATGCACCAACACCTGCTCGTACTCCAGCCCCGACATTGTCTCTGCTGGGCCTGCATATAGGAAAAGTCTGCCGTTCATATACACAAGTCTTGCATCCCACAAATGCTACAGTTTTGACCCCCGTTTGGTTGAAAAAAGTGTGCATATAAGAGACCCCAGGAATTCAAGGCTGCGTTGCTCCAGGGTTGTCTGGATTTTGAGTTTATTTGGGAGTGAGAAGCAAGGATTACAATCTGGAGTGCATGGCATGGCAAGCCACAGTGTGTCCGGAGAGGGAAGTGTGATGTTGTGATACACACTGGTTTTCACCTGCGGTTCCTGGCTCATAGCTCCATAGCCCTTGTTACAGTCTTTTGTTATAACATTGGCTGTGTTAGGCCTTAGGGGAGGCCTCTGACCTCCTCCTGCCCTTCCTTCACCTGCCCAAGGCAAGACTCTAATGTCCCTGCCTTTCTGATGGTGGCTCTTAAGACCCTCCCAGAAGATGGTCTCAGCCTGTTCCTTGTGGGAGGAAATACTGACATCATGAAGCTTCATAAAAACCCAAGAAGACTGGGTTTCGTGGGTTTCTGGGTGGTTGAGCATGTGGAGACTCCTGGAGGGTGATGCCCAGGGAGGGTATGGAAGCCCTGCGCCCCTTCCCCCATGCCTCCTCCTATGAGTCTCTTCATCTGTGTCCTCTGCAGTGTGCTTTGTATTCAACCAGGAAACGTCAGTGTCTCTCTGAGTTCTGTGAGCTGCTACAGCAAATTAATCAAACCCAAAGAGGTGGTCATAGGGTCCCCAACTTGAAGCCAGTCAGTCAGAAGTTCTGGAGGTCTGGACTTGGGAATGGTGTGGGGGCAGTGTTGGGGACTGAACCATTCAATCTGTGGGATCTGGGACTGTCTCTGGGTAGACAGTGTCAGAGCTATGCTAACATTCTCAAATATCTGCTAGCCGTGATAAATAAATCAATGTACTTTATGTTATTAGCTCCCACAATTTAGCCTAAATATTTGCCCTGGCATGCTTATACTGGTCCAAGCAAGCATTAGGTCATAGCCTGTTCCTCTTCCTTATTTGAAGGTGTTTTCACCTTTCTCAGCATTCCACAAGTTACTTCCTCCTTCCTTTGTTCTGCTCTACCTTTGCCTCTTTTCAGAAGTTCTAAGTTACTAGCCAATCGGGACAAATACAGAGTGTGAGGTCCTGTTCCAGCCAGTGGAAACCGGACAGAGCAGTAGGGTGGACGTGTCAGGTTATAAATGACCCTGTCTCTTTTGTTTTGTGTACTCTCGAAGCAAAACTGCTGGTGAGTGTACCCTTGCTGCAGAAAATAAAAATGGTCTTGCTGAGTAAATTAAATTTATGTTCAAGTGCTATTTGTTTACGGCACTGGGGAAGAAGCATTTAAACACTCAGCTGGCGTCCGCTACTGGGTCTAGGAAAAAAAATCCCACACATCTGGTCCTAGAAGTCTTCTTCTGTGAGGATGATTCCTGTGGTGTGAGAGTAGAGGAAAAGCACCATAGAGAGAGCTCTCTGACATACAGAAGTAAAGGAAGTTCTTATCAGCAACAAGAGAGAGGCTGACAGAGCTGCTTAGAAACAGAGTTCCCTGATTCCAGAGGTTCAAAGCCAGAGTTGCTGTCAGTCCATTGGAGGAGATGCCGTTGCTGGGCAAGTTTTTTCTCGAGAGCATCTTATCTGAATTCCTGACATCCTAAAGAATATCTAGTGATAAACCTCGTCAAAGCAGGAGGGGGTGAAGGACATGGAAGGGTTTCTTGTGGGGTTTTTAAAAAGTCCTTAGAAGCAGCTCTTATCTGAGAGCTGGAAGCATGGGCCTCCTCTCCTTCAGGCCTTCCTGGCCCTGTGGGGTCTGAGCTTGACCAAAGTCATCTCATCCTTGCACATGTGACTTTCCTATTGGGTGTCTGCAGTGAAGGGATTGGGTTACGAAGTTTAACCTGAGAGTTTCAGGAATTTCGTTGAGGGGAGGGCTTGTTTCTACCTCTTTAGCAAAAGGGTTAATTTTTCAGTGTTTTCTAAAAACAACCTAAAGTGCTTTATCAGTACTTGGGGATGCTGAAGACCTCAGCTTGGGTTCCAGCCTGCAGGTGAAAGCATGCATCTGTCCAACCCACAGAGCAGCCATGGCACTTTGTCTCTCTCTCAGAACAAAGCAAAAAATGGAGGAAACCGTGGGACCCTAGAGAGACTGTTGTTCTCCCTCTTCTGTGTTTGTGGACAGACCCTGGGATAGCTCCCCTCAGTGACCCGGGCCACACTCAGCATTGAGCCACCTTCCCGGGTGTGCATGACACAGATGCGCTTTATCACTGCTGGACCAGGCATCTCTAGCACGTGAGTGTGAGGCTCACATGGGCCCCACCATGCCGGACAGAACACAGAGCTGATTCTAAGCTTGGCAGCATGGACACCGCAGGGCAGGAGTGACCACAGCAATGCTCCTCATCAGCTTTCCTTCCTGAGTCAGCCCGGGGAGAAACTGTATGGAAGATCACATGTGTGGGAGAAAAACCCACCCAAGAGAAATAAAAATCAAAAAGTCCATTACAGAAAAAACAGGCAATTATAGAAATGAATTAGGAAGCTACTGTGAGGTGAAAAATAGTAAATCATATCAACACATTTAGAAATAATTGCATCAAGAACAAGACACAGCTGAAATGATGAGCATAGTATTGGTGTGGAATATCTATTAAATTTTTCATTAGTCATCAGAGAAAAACTAGAAATGAATAAAGTAGAAAACATAATTAATGCACACAAGAAATGGAATGAGAAGAGGAAACAGGTATCTCTCTATGGATCACACTTTCAGAATGAAGGAAATAAGGAGTACGTTATTCAGTAAATATTGCAAAGAAAATGGTTGACATTTTTACAGAAATGAAGAAAGAACATGAGTTTAATGTGAACAAATTAATAAATAACATCAATGTCTTAACTATGATAGAGTAAAAGATACCTAGAATAGATACAAAGTAATTTTAAAACTACTGGAGAAAATGAAAATTATTCTCAAATGAAAGACAAGCACATTGGGACCGGATTTCCCAAGAGTAAAAAGTGACAAGAAAATGATTGTGGGCTGAGGTTCAAGTTGGCTGAATGGAAAGGGCTGGAGTCTGCCTACTCACTAAGAGGACCCAAAATAGTGAGTAAATACCAACAGGTCAAGTGGATCTTCCAAGAGGATGCTGGGGTTCACCTGAGAAACATGAGGACATGGAAAGAAGAGAAGAGAAAAGGTGGGAGCCAGGAGAGGCTCCTAACACGGGGAAGGGGTGAGTGAGTGAGAGATTCTCTAACACGGGGAAGGGGTGAGTGAGTGAGAGATTCTCTAACACGGGGAAGGGGTGAGTGAGTGAGAGGCTCCTAACATGGGGAAGGGGTGAGTGAATGAAAGAGTCCCTAACACGGGGAAGGGGTGAGTGAGTGAGAGGGTCCCTAACACGGGGAAGGGGTGAGTGAGTGAGAGATTCCCTAACATGGGGAAGGGGTGAGTGAGTGCGAGGCTCCCTAACCCGGGGAAGGGGTGAGTGAGTGCGAGGCTCCCTAACACGGGGAAGGGGTGAGTGAGAGGGTCCCTAACACGGGGAAGGGGTGAGTGAGTGCGAGGCTCCCTAACACGGGGAAGGGGTGAGTGAGTGAGAGGCTCCTTAACAAAGGGAAAGATTGAGTGGGTGTGAGGCCCCTGGGATCCACACCCCTGTCTTGGCCCTTTACAATCCTGGTCACAGGAGAGCCCCTGACCCCCCTTGGCCTACAGAGGCACAGGGAGTTCCCAGAGATGGTGCAGAGGCGCCTCTGGAGCCCACGTGGAATCCCACAGGCTTCTGATCCCTGAGCAGCCTGGGTCCAGCTGCCACTGCCTTAGCAGGGAGGGAGGAGGCCAGGCACCTCTGTGGGCCCCAGAATAAGTATGACAGCTGGGGCACAGGAGCAGCCAAGCTGAGCACCACACAGCTGCCCACCTCTGTTGCTTCCTGCGAAATGGGGCTTCCTTCCTGCTAATGGGGCTTGCCAGCTGCAGGGCCCCAGTCACCCGTCCTGCCCCCACCCGAACACCGTGGCCCTGGCTCAGTGCCCTCTGAAAGTCCAATGCTCAGAGGCCCCTGACAAGCCCTTTGCAGTCACTGCCACCTCTGCCTCTGTCCCTGCTGCCCCAGGCCCAGGGAGGGTGTGGGGAGGCCTGGCACTTTCACGTGTCCCCAGAGCAAAACCGAGTGACACTTCTTCAGGAGGGAAGTGTGAGCGGGCCCTGTGCCTCACAGCTGCCAGTCTCCAGTGCCCCAGCAGAGGGGCCCTGCCCTCCCTAGTGACAGGCCCACAGCACAGCCACCCTGCCCCCACCTGGACATTTCAGCTGCAGCCCCCAGCCCTTCTGAGAGCCCAGTCCCCACAGGTCTGTGATCTGCCGCAGGCTCTACCACCTGAGCCTTCTGCCTGCCCCGCCTGAGGGTTCTGCCTGTGCCCTGGGGACCAGCCCATCCCTCCCCATCACAGCCAGCATCTGAACCCCGGAGCAGCCAAAACCCAGTCCAGCCCCTTCAGGACTCACACACGCTGTCCAGCCGGCCACCTAGGGGCCTGTGATCCGGGAACTACCTGCCCTTTCCTACCCTGCTGGCACCTGACCACTCACCCCAGGGCCTGAGGTCGGGCCCACCCAGCCAGCAACACCACCACAACTGACGTCCACTCTCCCATCCAGAGAGGCAGAAGCCCCACATCCCACCTACATGAAGCAGCTACCACGTCAGACAACAGACAGCCGCTCAGGGTCTGCACTGGGCTGAGGGAGGAGGCTCTGCCTTGGAACCACGCCTGCAGAGAGTGGCAAGGCAGGTGTTTCCCACGGCCCTCAGCCACACTGTGGCCTGGGGAGAGACAAGAGTGTGTGTCTGAACTGAGACTCATGAGCCCTGGAGCACGGGTGTGATAGGGAGACAGACAACGTTCCTCCCTATGGGACTGGAAACGGTGTAGCTCCTTCACCCCCCGCAGAGACCTCAGGGCATTTCACTAGGAGCTGCTCCAGCCATGTCCATCAGGACTAGTGCCTGCACTCATCACTGGGATATCTGTGGGCAAGCCGGGGGTTCCAGCTCTGCCCAGGGGTGTTCCCTCGCCCCTGTGGAACACAAAGCTCAGGGCACCTGACACTCCACGGTCCAGCCCTTCCCCTGAAACAACAGTCAGCACCTCACAGGAAACACACCAGGTCCATATCCACCTGCTTGTGCCGAGGGTGGCTCTTACCCTTAAGCACCAGCTCCTGGCCTGCAATTTGAGCTGCACAGCCCAACACAAACCCTGCTGCAGAAGCTCCCAAAGCCATGGGAAAAGCCAAAAGACCCTTCCCAACATGCTCTACAGTCACCCTCCCTGCGGGGCCGGGGGAAAATGTGCAAAACAAATCCCATCCAAATGAAAATAAATTCGAAGAGAGTAAGTGGAGGCCTCTCCAGAAGAGAAGGAATCAGTGTAAGGATTCTGACGCTGTGAAAAATCTGAATATTGTGGCACCACCAAAGGATCGCACTGGCTTGCTAGTGATGGATGCTGAAAACAATGGAAACTCTGAAAGGACAGATAAAGAATGAGATTGAGACAAAAACATTACAAAGAATCAGTGAAAGAAAACGTTGGTTTTTTGAAAGTATAAATAAAATTGAGAGATGGCTGACTACACTAACCAAAAAAAGGAGAAGATTTAAATAAGCACAATCAGAAATGATAAAGTTGACATTACAACCAACGCCACAGAAATACAAATGACCATCAGAGACTACTATGAACACCTTTATGCACGTAAACTAGAAAACCTAGAGAAATGGATGAATTCCTAGACACATACAACTTCCTAAGATCGCACAGGCAAAAAATAGAAACCCTAAACAGACCAATAACAAGTAACCAAAAAGAATCAGTACTAAAAATCTTCCGGCAAAAAAGCCCAAGAACAGATGGATTCACAGTCGAAATTTGCCATATACACAACGAAGAGCTGGTGCCAATCATAATGAAAGTATTCCAAAAAATCAAGGCGATGGGATTCTTTCCTAGCTCATTCTATGAAACCAATATCACCCTGATAGCAAAATCAGACAGGGATCCAACAGAAAAATAAAGCTACAGGCCAAGAAACCTGAGGAACACAGGTGCAAAAATCCTCAAGAAAATGCTATTAAACGGAATCTAACAGTGTATCAAAAACATAATTCATCATGATCAAGTTGGCTTGATTCCAGGGATGAAAGGATGGTTCAATATATGCAAGTCAATAAAAGTGACTCATGACATAAACTAAGAACAAAAAGCATATGGTCATCTCAATAGATGCAGATAAAGCGTTCGAGAAAGTCCAATATCCCTTCATGATAAAATCCCTCAACAGACTAGGCATGAAAGAAACATACCCCAAAATAAGAGCCTTATAAGACAAACGCACAGCCAACCTTAAAATTGAATGGGGAGAAGTGAAAGCATTTCCCCAAGAAATGGAACAGGATAAGGATGTCCACTCTCACCACTCCTATTCAACACAGTACTGGAAGTCCTAGCCAGAGCAATCAGGCAACAGAAAGAAAGAAAGTGCATCCACATTGGAAAAGAGAAAGTGAAATTATCTGTGTGTGCTGATGACACGATCATATACCCAGAAAACCCTGAAGATTCTTCCAGAAGACTCGTAGACTTGGTAAGTGACTTCAGTAAAGTCTCTGGATAAAAAAATCAAGCTACAAAAATCAGTAGCTTTTCTATACATCAGTACCGTTCAAGCTGAGAATCAAATTAAGGACACACAAACACAAACACACACTGAGGAGTATATTTAACCAAGGAGGTGAAAGACCTCTACACAGAGAGTGACAAAAGGCTGATGAAAGGAACTGTAGGCAACACAACCAAATAGAAAAATATTCCTTGCTCACAAATGGGAAGAATCAATATTGTTAAAATGACCATATTGCCCAAAGCATACTACAGATTCAACACAATTCCTATTAAATTACAAATGTCATTTCTTTAACAGAATTAGAGAAAAAGCAATTTTTAAATTCATTTGGAACCAAAAACCAGCCTGAACAGCTAAAACACTTCTATGCAAAAAGAACAAAACAGGAGGCATCACATTGCCTGATTTCAAGTTATACTATAAGGCCATAGTAACTAAGACAGCATTTACTAGTACAAAAATATACACAGACATCAAGGGAACAGAATAGAGAAACTAGAAATAAAGATACATGCCTACAACATACTGAGCTTTGCTAAAGTCAACAAAGTAAACAATGGGGAAAGGACACCCTATTCAATAAAGGATGCTGGAAAAACTGGGTAGCCATATGCAAAAGAATAAAACTGGACCTTTATCTCCCACCATGTACAAAAATCAACTCAAGATGAATTAAAGACCTCAATGTGAGACCTGAAACTATGTAATTCCTAAAGCAAAATTTAGGAAAAACCCTTCTGGACATTAGTCCAGGCAAAGAACTTATGGTAAAGACCCTTAAAAATGCAACAAACCCCCGAATAGACAAATGAGACATGATTAAAATTAAAAGCTACTGCACAGCAAAAGAAACAATCAACAGAATGAACAGACAACCTACACAATGGAAGAAAATATTTGCAAATTATGCCTCCAACAAAAGACTAATGTCCAGAATCTGCAAGGAAGTCAAAGAATTCAACATGAAAAAAAAAAAACAAAAAACACAGACAACTTTATGGAAAACTGAGTAAAGACCATCAACAGACATTTCTCAAAACAAGAAATATAAGTGGCCAACAAACACATTAAAAAATGCTCAACATCATTAATCATCAGAGAAATTCAACTTAAAACCACACTGAGTATCAACTTACACCAGTCAAAATGGCTACTTTTAAGAAGTCAGAACCAACAGATGTTAGCAAGATACATGGTTGGTAGGAATGTAAATGAGTTTATCTTCTATGGAAAATAATATGGAGCTATCTCAACTAAAAATAGAACTACCATTTCACTTAGCAATCCCATTACATGGTATCCAGCCAAAGGAAAAGTCATTATATTAAAAAGACAATTGGGTCAGGTGTGGTGGCTCACGCCTGTAATCCCAGCACTTTGGGAGGCCAAGACAGGCAGATCACCTGAGGTTGGGAGTGTGAGACCAGCCTGGGCAACATGGTGAAACCCTGTCTCTACTAAAAATACAAAAAATTAGCTAGGCATGGTGGCGAGCACCTGTAATCCCAGCTACTTGGGAGGCTAAGGCAGGAGAATCGCTTGAACCCAGGAGCCGGAGGTTGCAGTGAGCAGAGATGGCACCATTGCACTCCAGCCTGGGCAACAAGAATGAAACTCCATCTCAAAAAATAAAAAATAAATAAATAAATAAGACAACTGCACTCATTATGTTTGTTGCAGCACTATTCACAACAGCACAGACATGAAACCAAACTAAGTGTCCACCAACGGTTGATTGATTTTAATGGTTACTTGGTTCATATGCTTCATACACCAGCCCCACCTGGCTCGCATACAAAGCATATTCACTGCTTCATCTGGGATGCTGCACTTGGTGTTTTATAGGGAGAGTTGGCTAGTCCCCTTCTCAGGGCCAACAGACCTTTCAGTGGCGTTTGTCTGGTCCACTAAGCTGGTTGTTCTCTCTGGAATAACCTCCTGTGCATTTGGATCTCATATACTCATTAGTGATTGTTTAATAGTGAGCTACGGGTCCTGCATCAATCCAAACAAGCTCTTAAATTCTGAAGCATTTAAAATTAAGAATGTGGGCGTGAACCTGGGAGGCAGAGCTTGCAGTGAGCCGAAATCACGCCACTGCACTCCATCCAGCCTGGGCAACAGAGCAAGACTCCATCTCAAAAAAAAAATTAAGAATTTGGCCCTTAAAGTGGTTATTTTTTACAATCTACCACATAGATTATTTTTAAGAAACTGATTATAACAATCTAAAAAGCAGAACAATTCCTTTGCATTATACCCTCTGGTTTTAATAGTTACTTGTTTTTGCCCTTCCTCTATATCAACTATCTTCTTGGTAATCACAGGTCTCAGAGTTAACTTTTGTTGTCCTGGCTAAATTGTTCTTTTTATTTAGTTTTATCTCCGTAATTTTTTCTTCATTTTAAAGCAACTCTTAAATAGTTTCTTAACTAGAAAAAAACCTACTTTTTTTTTTGCAAAACCTATATCCTTGTGTTTTATATGCATCACCAAAAACATTTTATACTCCTACTATTTTAATTTAGTAACCCAAATTTCAAGTGAAAAAAAAAAAACGAGGTTTAACATAACATAGCTCTAATTACTGGAGAGAGTTTTAAGATTAAATTTACTAAATTAATTTTACTAAATATTAAAATCAGGTGAATTCAAAGGCATCTTAGCTAGTGTCTGCCAATCTGATAAGCACTTACTTTTTTTTAAAAAAGACAACTGATGAGCTGTTTCATGTAGTTTGGTAGTGAAATATCACTTCCAGATAACACATATGAAGATACAGATATAACAGGCATACAGAAGAAAAAAAGCAGGTCTAAAGGATATTTCATTTTTCTGTTTTTAAATAAAAATTCCTCTCTTACTTTAGATAATTAATAAAAGTTACAGAAGCCAACACAAGGTGAAGGAGAGAGCTATCATCCAAGGCCTTTCAAAAGAGAAAAAGCTGAACTTTGATATATTCATTGGAAGAATTTCAAAAAGACAGATTATAGAATTTAAAAATTAAAAACTTTTTGCATTAAGAATAAGTTAATATTTTACTAAAACCTTGTTTTAACCAATTATTTAGTTTTGGATTAGGGTGTGTTTTTTAAATATCAAAGACCCATCTGTAGAATGACTATTATATTTCTTAATCATAACCAACTACATTACACTACCTTTCTTTTTTTAAAAAAAGTCTTATTGTGACTTACAGAGACCACTTACAACATGCTTAAACTGCCTGTTTTGTCCTAAATATCCCTCTTTCTTGAACTATCAGTTATTTTATTTCAGGACAAAAATTCACTACATAAGACTTTCTTGTGTAAAATTACTTTCCTTTTCATCTTTTTTACCAAAATTCCTCTTTATATTTATAACTGTCTTTACATCTCTTATTTCCTGTTTCCATTTATCTTGTTTTATACATAACTTTTAAAAAAGCTTTGAATTAAACACAGATATTTATCTTTTAATAAGAATTGTTTTTTAAAAATGTTTTCCTGTAATTTTTAAATTATAAATTACCCAGCTAATCAATTAATATCTATTATTTAATATAACTTTAGATTGTAAATTATGTGACAAGTTTGTTTATAGGCATTTATTCCATTGCATTTACTTGATAAACTTATTTAATAGTTTACCTAGATTATTTATGAACACTGTGACAGTCATCACTTAAAGTTAATTCCCTGTTAACCAATGTTATAAACTATGAATTTCAGGTGTTTACCTAAGTAAGGGAACTTATGGTTAAATATAAAGTTATTTTTTTTAACCAATATCTCAGTAGTTAGCTGTTTTTATTTAACCAACAATATTACATGGCTTATTTATTAAAAATTATACAAGCAAAGATCATTCTGTTTTGGGCTGGGTTTATAATTTTGTTTTGTGTGTGTCAGGCTGCTCTTGAACTCCCAACCTCAGGTGATCCACCAGCCTCGGCCTCCCAAAGTGCTGGGGTTACAGGCGTGAGCCACCGTGCCCGGCCAGGTTTATAGTTTTATAACCCTTATGGAAAATCTTATACTATTCTGCAGGGATAAGCACAAAACCACTTGTGCAATAAGTGCAAACAAAAACGCTAACAATTCTTAAGACATTTCTAATCTTATTTTACCAATAATTTTAAAGCCAGCTTATTTATTAAAGATTTTACTTAAGTGAACTTGAAGAAGCATCTTGTCCTGATAAAGTATTTGATTTAAGCACTTTTATTCTCTTTAAGCCAATTAATTAGAGCTCTTTTGTATATTTTTAGTAGTGAAACATTATGTACACCACACACAGATTCATGGACGCATTAGGCATGCTGATAGAAGTACATCTTATAGATTCAAAAAACCTCTTTTTTTTCTATCTCAAACTTTCAAACTCTTTTTTTTTCTTTTTTTCTTTTTTTCTTTTTTTTTTTTTTTGAGGCAGGGGCTCACTCTGTCACCCAGACTGGAATGCAGTGGCATGATCCCAGCTCACTGCAACCTACATCTCCCATGCTGAAGTGATTCTCCTGTCTCAGTCTCCCAAGTAGCTGGGATTACGAGTGTGCCACTACTGCCTGGCTAAGTTTTGCATTTTTAGTAGAGACAGGGATTCACCATGTTGGCCAGGCTGGTCTTGAACTCCTGATCTCACATGAGTCACCTACCTCAGCTTCCCAAAGTGCTGGGAATACAAGTGTGAGCCACCACGCCCAACCCTTTCAAACTCTTCATAACCTGTTTCCTTACCCCAGGCAGTTGTCAGCTAAATAACCCTAAATTTCCATGTTACAGGAAACACTTTTTAGGAGAAAAAATCAGCAAAACTTACATCTCAAAGTACAGAGGAAGAAGTCTGGTGTGTTAGAGGGAAATTAAAATGGGTTCACTGCCAATTAAACATAAAATTATACAAATCTATCATAAAGGCTTTTAAACACACACACACCACACACACACACACACACACACACACACACACACAGACATCCTGTAGCTTTTACTTCAAAACTCTAGCCATGAGATATTAATATAAATTTACCAGCTTGCAAAAAAAATTTGGATCTAAACAGTGGTTTTTATCTCAGTAGAAAGGTAACAGCAGATGTAAAGCAGGCAGAAAAGAAAATAGAGAAAGAGAGAACTTAGGAACTCTATAGCGTGCAAGCCGCCATTAGGGCTCTCTTACCTTGATGTAAATGTGCACAAAGACCATAATATTTTTGTTTTACACAAACTCCAGAAAGTAGAGGCGCCATAAAACCAATGGAGTGCCCACAAGGGGGTCACTCTTCTTGCTTTCTCCTCATTCTTAGATTATTTGTTTCCCACTTTTTCTTTTCTTTTCTTTTCTGTTCCTCCTCTCCTCTCCTCTTTTCTCTTCTCTTCTTAAAGGAGGAAGTGAGCTGTGGGCTAGAGGTTTGTGCAGTGGGTCACAGTGTGCTGGTTGTGGGTGGGACTCCACAGGGTCTCACCACTGAGTCATTTCTTCCCTCTCATGTGTCTCAGTTTCTCTCTCGGAAGGTCTAAACACCTCCAGGAGGGCCCAAAATGCAGAGTGACCAGCTCCCATATGTGCTTCCTGGACAAGCCTTTTTAAAACTCATTTTGTTGGGTGTTCCCTGTAGGCCACTCACATCACGATGGGGTCCATCCACCCCCAGACATTCCCACAAGCACCCCTCATCACTTCCCACATTTTGGCTGGGAGGAGCAAAATGCCCTTTCTTTTTTAAGCTGAGGAAACACAGTCTCTCGTTTCCCTATGAAAACAACAGTTCAGTTCCTCATGCAAATGTGAACAGACAAGCCAAATCGAGATTAATTTGGGGAGAAAAGCAATGGAGAAGACCCTTTAGAATGTATCTCCCAACTAGAAGTAGGATCCTTAAACAACAACTTCCTAGAAAGAAAAAGAAATAGTAGATCAGAATAAATAAAGGGCCGTCAACCAAAGGGAGGTCGGGGCTCAGGAGGACTTACCACTTCTGGCAGAGAAGAAGCTCAAAATCCTGGAGGCTTTCAGTGGGCCCCTGCTGGTACCTTAGCTCCAGGTTGAGACAACTCCTTTGGGGTCCTGAGTCTTATCTGAGGCCTCACGTGTTCAGGCACCAAATTATTGTGGACAAAAAGAGTCAAACTCTGTAATATATTAGAAGAGATTTTTCTGAGCCAAATATGAGTGATCAGCACTCAGGAGGTCCTGAGAACATGTGTCCCTTGACTTTTTAATAATAGCCATTCTGACAGGTATCAGATGGTATCTCATTGTGGTTTTGATTTGCATTTCTCTCATGATCAGTGATGTTGAGCTTTTTTTATATGATTGTTGGCCACATGTATGTCTTCTTTTGAAAAGCGTGTGTTCATGTCGTTTGCCCACATTTTAATGTGGTTGTTTGTTTTCTTCTTGTAAATTGGTTTAAGTTCCTTAAAGATACTGGAGAGTAGACCTTTGTTAGATGCACAGTTTGCAAAAACTTTCTCCCAGTCTGTAGATTGTCAGTTTACTCTGTTTACAGTTTCTTTTGCAGTGCAGAAACCCTTTGGTTTAATTAGATCTCATTTGTCAATTTTTGCTTTTGTTGCAATTTCTTTTGGCATTTTAGTCATAAAATCTTTGCCCGTGCCTGTGTCCTGAATGTATTGTCTAGGTTGTCTTCCAGGTTTTTATAGTTTTAGGTTTTACATCCATCAATCAATCCATCCTGAGTTAGTTTTTTTGTATATGGTGTAAGGAAGGGGTCCAGTTTCAATTGTCTGCATATGGATAGCCAGTTATCCCAGCACAGTTTGTTGAATAGGGAATCCTTTCCCCATCACTTTTTTTTTGTCAGGTTTCCTAAAGATCAGATAGTTGTAGGTGTGTGGTTTTATTTGTGGGTTTTCTATTCTGTTCCATTGGTCTATGTGTTTGTTTTTGTACCAGTACCATGCTGTTTTGGTTACTGTAGCCCTGTAGTATAGTTTGAAGTCAGGTAACATAATGCCTCCAGCTTTGGTTTTCGGTTTTTGTTTTTGCTTAGGCTTGCCTTGACTATTTGAGCTCTTTTTGGGTTCCATATGAATTTTTAAATTTAAAACTTTTGGTTCCATATGATTCTTCTAGTTCTGTGAAGAATCTCAATGATAACTTAATACAAATATTACTGAATCTATAAATGGCTTTGAGCACTATGGCCATTTTTAAGATATTGATTCTTCCTATTCATGATCATGGAATATTTTTCCATCTGTTTGTGTCATCTCTAATTTTTTGAGCAGTGTTTTATAGTTCTCCTTGAAGAAATTGTCCACCCTCCTAGTTAGCTGTATTCCTAGGTATTGTGTGTGTGTGTTTGTGTGTGTGTGTGTAAACTGTAAATGAGATTGCATTCCTGATTTGGCTCTCAACTTGACTGTTATTGGTATATAAATGCTAGTGATTTTTGCACATTTATTTTGTATCTTGAGTCTTTGCTGATGTTGTTTATCAGCTTAAGAAGATCTCAGGTTGATGTTTGGGTTGATGTTTTCTAGATACAGGATCATTTCATCTGCAGCAAAGATAGTTTGACTTCCTCTCTTCCTATTTGAATACGCCTTATTTTTTTCTCTTGCCCAATTGCCCTGCCTAGTATTTCCAATACTGTTGAATAGGAGTGGTGAGAGAGGGCATTCTTGTGCCAGTTTTCAAGTGGATTGCTTTCAGCTTTTGCCCATTCAGCATGATGTTGGCTGTGGGCTTGTCATAAATGGCTCTTATTATTTTGAAGTATGTTCCTTCAATACCTAGTTTAATTAGAGTTTTTAACAAGAAGTGATGTTAAATTTTATCAGAAGGCTTTTCTGCATCATTAATATAATCATGTGGTTTTTTGTTTTAGTTCTGTTTATGTGATGAATCTGTTTATTGATTTGTGTACGTTGAACCAATTTCAGGCTCATTATTGGTCTGTTGAGGAATTCAATTTCATCCTGGTTCAGTCTTGGGAGGCTGCACGTGTCTGAGAATTTACCCATTTCTTTTAGATTTTCTAGTTTATGTGCATACACGGGTTCATTATATTCTCTGATGGTTGTTTGTATTTCTCTGGGGTCAATGGTAATATTCCCCGTGTCATTCGTGATTGTGTTTATTCGAGTCTTCTCTTTTTTCAATTAGTCTAGCTAGCAGTCTATTTTATTATTTTTTTCAAAAAACCAGCTCCTGGATTTGCTGATCTTTTGAATGATTTTTTTGTGTGTGAAGGAACCCAATCTCCTTCAGTTCAGCTCAGATTTTGGTTCTTTCTTGTATTCTGCTAGCTTCGGGGTTTGTTTGCTCTTCGTTCTCTAGTTCTTTTAGTTGTGATGTTAGGTCATCACAACTAATGTGATGTGGACATTTAGTGCTATATATTTTCCTCTTAATACCCCCTTAGCTGTGTCCCGGAGATTCCGGCATGTTGTATCTTTGCTCCCATTAGCTTGTAATAACTTCTTATTTTCTGCCTTAATTTCATTATTTACCCTGATGTCATTCAGGAGCAGGTTGTTTAATTTCCATGTAATTGTATGAGTTTAAGTGAGTTTCTTAGTCTCGATTTCTAATTTGATTATGCTGTGGTCAGAGAGTGGTTTGTGCCAATTTCAGTTGTAACAAACTGAATTTGCTGAGGAGTCTTTTGCTTCCAATTATGTGATTGAATTTAGAGCATGTGCCATGTGGTGATGAGATGAATGTAAATTCTGGTTTGGGGGTGTGGAGAGTTCTGTAGATATCTATCGTGCTGAGTTCAGGTCCTGATTATCTTAGTCAATTTTCTGTCTTGATGATCTGTCTACTATTGTAAGTGGGGTATTAAAGTCTCCCACTATTATTGTATGGGAGTCTAAGTCTCTTTGAAGGTCTTTACAAATTTCTTTTATGAATCTGGGTGCTGCTGTGTTGGATGCATAGATATTTAGGAAAGTTAGATCTTCTTTTTTATTTATTTATTTATTTATTTATTTATTTATTTATTTTTAATTATACTTTAAGTTTTAGGGTACATGCGCACATTGGGCAGGTTAGTTACATATGTATACATGTGCCATGCTGGTGCGCTGCACCCACTAACTCGTCATCTAGCATTAGGTATATCTCCCAATGCTATCCCTCCCCCCTCCCCCCACCCCACAACAGTCCCCAGAGTGTGATATTCCCCTTCCTGTGTCCATGTGCTCTCATTGTTCAATTCCCACCTATGAGTGAGAATATGCGGTGTTTGGTTTTTTGTTCTTGCGATAGTTTACTGAGAATGATGATTTCCAATTTCATCCATGTCCCTACAAAGGACATGAACTCATCATTTTTTATGGCTGCATAGTATTCCATGGTGTATATGTGAAAGTTAGATCTTCTTGAATGGAATGAATGGAATTCTCATGGGAACATGATCAGGGTTCTAAGATCCATGAAGGTGTCAGTTTGAGTGATACACATTTTTTTTTTTTTGAGACAGAGTCTAACACTGTCGCCCAGGCTGGGAGTGCAGTAGGGCAGTCTCAGCTCACTGTGACCTCCTACGTCCCAGGTTCAAGCGATTCTCCTGCCTCAGCCTCCCGAGTAGCTGGGATTACAGGTGCTTGCCACCATGCCCAGCTAATTTTTGTATTTTTAGTAGAAACGGGGTTTCATCATGTTGGCCAGGCTGGACTCAAACTCCAGACTTCAGATAATCTGCCGGCCTCTGCCTCCCAAAGTGCTGGGATTACAGGCGTGAGCCACTGCACCCTGCCTTGAGTGATATACTTTTTTATCTGCAACAACAGACTCTTAGAGATCATCACAGGTAGCTGGAGAAAAATGTAAGACCAGACCATTTGTAATTTCCCTTGGTCCAGACAATTGTTGGTCCTATGAGAAACTGAATCTGGTACTTTCTCAATGTGAACTAGGAATAGTTTCACTTCATAGGAAATTGCAACCTACTTATTTTAGAAAACTGAGTGATATTAGAGTATCACATCCTGTTTGTACTTCTCCATGGGGTGTAGAAAAAAAGACAAAAAGGGTTTTGTGTGATACTTGGGAGATGTGAGCTTTTATAAAGACAAATATATATATACACATATATATACACATGTATAGTTACTATTATAAGTATCTGGCATGAGAAAAGAGACAGGGAACCAAGATTCTTCTTTATAACACCTTTTTCTGACCAAGAATCGAACAGAAACACATACTTCTTCTCCTCAGACACCAAGACTCAGGGCTGTCTCCTTGCTCTCAGGCCAGTAAGGAGTCTCCACTTTCCACCTGTAGTTCTTACAGATGAAGCCCAGTTGTCCCTACATGCCTATATATACAATCACATTTATAGGTGTTTTAAATTTCAAAATCTCTAAAACGTGGGCCTCTTCCATTTTGTACTTGAGTTTATATTGCTAAGATGCATGCCTATTAATTTTTAGTTCCATATTATTATTATTGTTTTCAACTTTTATTTTAGAATGCGGGGGCACATAACGCATGTTTGCTAGAAAGGTATATTGCGTGATGCTGAGGTTTGGAGAACGAATGAATCCGTAGACCCAGGTAGTGAGCATAGCGCCCAACAGGCACTTTTTCAGCCCTTGCCCTCCTCCCTCTCTCCCCACTCTAAGTGTCTCCGGTGCCAGGGCCAGACTCTGTCTCAAAGAAAAAAAAAATCACAGGAAACATCCTGTTGTTATAGGCATTGACAAAGCGTTTACAGCTAAGTCCTTGAACGCAATTAAACAAAAATAACAACTGATGAGTGGGACCTCATTAACCTACAGATCCAGTGAAGGCCTAATATTCAGAATCTAGAAGCAACTTACACAAATCAGCAAGCAACAAACAAACAGCCCCATTAGAAAGTGTGCAAAGGACATGAACAGACACTTATCTATGTCCACATGTGCCCAGTGTTTAGCTCCTGCTTACAAGAATGTGCTATGTTTGGCTTTCTGTTTCCACATGGCATCACTTAGGCTAATGACCTCTAGCTCCATCCATGCTGCTGCAAAGGACATGATTTCCATTTTGATTGCTGTGTAGTATTCTATGGTCCATATATCCAATCCATTGTTGGATGAACACCTGGGTTTATTCCACATCTTTGTTATTGGGAATGGTGCTGCAATGAACATATAGGTGCATCTGCCTTTTTGGTAGAATAATTTATTTTCCTTTGGGCATATACCTACCAATGGGTTTGCTAGGCCGAATTGTAGTTCAACTCTTAGTTCTTTGAGAAATCTCCCAACTGCTGTCCACAGTGGATGAACTAATTTACGTTCTCACCAACACTTGTTCCATTTTCTTTGCAGCCTTACCAGCATCTGTTATTTTTTGACTTTTTAATAATAACTATTCTGAGTGGTGTGGGTATCTCATTGTAGTTTTAATTTGCATATCCCTACTGATTAGTCATATTGAAGATTTTTTGATATGCTTCTTGGACATATGTGTGTCTTCTTTAGAAAAGTGTCTGTTCACGTCTTTTGCCCACTTTTTAATGGGGCTGTTTGTTTTGTGCTTGTTGATTTGTGTAAGTTGCTTACAGATTCTGAATATTAGACCTTTGCTGGATCTGTAGGTTTATTAGGTCCCACTCATCAATTTTTGCTTTCGTTTAATTGCTTTTGAGGACTTAGCTGTAAATACTTTGCCAATGCCTGTATTAAGGAAGATGTTTCCTATTTTTTTTTCTTTGAGATGGAGCCTGGCTCTGCTGCCGAGGCTGGAGTGCAGTGGTGTGATCTCGGCTCACTGCAACCTTTCCCCACCAGGTTCAAGCGATTCTCCTGCCTCAGCTTCCCAAGTAGCTGGGATTACAGGCACCTGTCACCATGCCAGGCTACTTTTTTTTCTTTTTTGTATTTTTATTAGAGACAGGGTTTCACCATGTTTTCTTCTAGGATTCTTATAGGTTTAAATCTTACATTAAAGTATTTAATCTGTCTTGATTTAATTTTTGTATATGGTGATATGTAGGGTCTGTCCAGTTTCATTCTTTTGCATATGGCTAGCCAGTTATCACAGGATTATTTTTTGAATAGGCCTGTTTTTGTTGGCCTTGTTAAATATCAGATGGTTGTAGGTGTGTGGCTTTATTCTGTTTCATTGGTCTATGTGTCTGTTTTTGTACCAGTGCCATAATGTTTTGGTTACTGTAGCCTTGTATTACAGTTTTTTTAAAAATGTATTTTATTTCAATAGCTTTTGGGGTACAAGTGGTTTCTAGTTGTATGAATGAATTGTATAGTGGTGAAGCCTGAGATTTTACTACACCCATCACCCAAGTAGTGTACATTGTACTTGGTACATAGTATTTCATTACTCACTCTCCACCCCCTCTCTCCCTTCTGGGTCTCCAGTGTTCATTACACCCCTTTACATGTCTTTGATTACCCATAACTTGGCTCCCACTTATAAAGTGAGAGCATATGGTATTTGGCTTTCCATTGCTGAGTTAGTTCACTTAGTGTCATGGCCCCCAGCTTCATCCAAGTTGCTGCAAAAGACATTATTTCATTTTGTTCAATGGCTGAATAGTGTTTTCTTGTGTATATGTGCCACATTCACTCATCAGCTGATGGACACTTACGTCGATTCCACATCTTTGCAATTATGAATTTTGCTGCAATCAACATTTGTATGCAAGTGTGTTTCTGATGTAATGATGTCTTTTCCTCTGGGATGTACACATTTGTTGACTGCAGTGGGATGCTAGTGGGTGCAGGGGTGCTGGCCTCCATGTCGGTGTTCAATGCGGTGGCGTCAGCAAGACTGGGTGGGGTGCGCGGGAGCCCCGCAGGCGTTCGTGTGCGCATTTGCACCGGTAGTGGTGTTAGCAAGGTGGCGGGGCTCCGGCCTCATGGGACTGTGTGCACCCTCTGTGTGCACTTCCACGCTGGCGGCTGCTGCTGTTTGCGGTGGGGGTGGATCCGCTGGTCTCCCTGTGTGTGATCACACCGGTGGTAGTGTTGGCGCCGGGAGGGTGGAGGACAGATGGGTACTGGACAGGGAATCTCTGTACCCACGAATGCTCTGACAGCAGTCCCAGTGCTCGGGGGTCGTTGGGTGAGTGGGTGAACTCACACCGGCAGCTGTGGCACTGCGAGGTGCACGTGCAACACACATGCCGTTGGGGAGGGGAGAGAAGGTCTGCTCAGGAGCACATAATGCTGGCAAAGCCCTGGCGGCAGTGGCTGTGGGCGAGCGAGTGCAAGCAAAGTGGCTCGGGGACACTGAGGTGGGGCGAGGGAGTGGGGCGGGCTGGTGAAGTTTGCAGGAGTGAGATACACTATGTGAGATTTCCTCGGTTATAAATAGCCTTGGGGTTTTGGCTTTCTCAAACACCAGCTTTGGTAATGAACCGGCCATGTGAACAGACTCAGGACCTCTTGGTTATCCAGGGGGTTGCTGGCAATGGTGATAGCTGAGGACATGCACACGTGTTCTCCTTCCTGGGTGCTGTGTTATTGAGCCTGCGGATGCTGTCCTGCACGGTGTCAGTCGGCCTCCAGCCCGGAGGCAGCGGTTGCAAAAGCGCTCCACATCTTTGCAATTATGAATTTTGCTGTGTTGGTCTTCATGGGCTTTTTGCCTTCCTTATGTTACGCAAGGGAGGCTGTCCGGTGTCTCAGGCAAAGGGCGAGGCCATTGAGCTCCCGAAAGTCTTTGTCCTTTGTGTTAACCTACCAGGGTGGGGGTATGGGCAGAGGCAGGTGCGGGCTGGGTCAGCCTAGTCCGTGCTCTCGCTTTCCAGGTGCTAAGTGGGTTCAAGCGAACCCTCCCCAGTAGCTGGAATTACAGGCGCACACCACACGCCAGGTTAATTTTTGTATTTTCAGTAGAGACGGGTTATTGTCATGTTGGCCAGGCTGCTTTTGAACTTCTGACCTCAAGTGATCTGCCTGCCTCGGCCTCCCAAAGTACTGGGACTACAGGTGTGAGCCACTGTGCCTGGCCGAAGATGGAACTCTTATTTCCAATATTGGAACTGTCAAATAGGACCTTTATTAGTGGAATTCTAGGAGAGAAGGAGGCACCGTGTTAAATGGGGCTCACACCTCCCACATCATCCCCCAGGCCTGGGCTCTGAGAGGCAAGATGCCCCGAAGAGCAAACCTCCTTCCTGAGGGCAGAGCCTGGGGCTGGGGCCCCTGAGTGTCCCCTCACTGTTACCACCAGCTGCAGGGGGTCTCTGAGTGCTCACCTGCCAGCAGGACTGAAATACTCACAGCAATATTCCCCTGCATGGTGCTTTGTCCTGAGTGAGACGGAGGACTCACGCTGTCCTGGGCTTCGGCGAGCTCTGTGTGCTCCTGAACACTGGGCTTTCCTCTTTATCCAGACCACACTCCTGAGCCTCTAGGGTCTCCTGACACCAGAGGGCCACGGGCCTCCCCTAGGTTATTACAGAGTCTGGTTCAGCCCTGAACGTGGGTTTGGGGAGGGTCCCTGGAAGGAAATCAGAAACTGGGTCCTATATCATTTACCACCCCTCAGATCCCAGCTTTCAGCCCAAGATCCCCCCATGATCCCTCTCAGTCAGCCCAGAGTTGCTGTTCTCCAGCCCCAGCTGCCCGGGGGTGGGACCCTGTCCCCGGTGAGGAGGAGGGACCTGGGACAGCTGGGGACAGACTCACCTGCCTGCACGCAGGTCCTGAGGCCCAGACTCAGCCCTGGAAGAGAGTTCCCGCTGAGAGATTTGCCCCTGAAGCCTGGGCAGGTCCTCTCCTTCCTGAGATCTTCCCTAATCCCCTGGGGTCTCCTACTGGACCAGGGCCTACCTGTGGGGCAGGGTCCCTCTCATGCTAGAATCTCCCATTCCCCTTGTCAAATCTCAGTGAAGTGGACCATGGCCGTGTGGGTGAGAGTCATGATGTTTCCTCCTACTGGCCCCGGCTGTGTGGGTGGATAAGACCATGGTGTCCACAGAACACACACAAAGGAAGGGTTCTCTCCCTTACAGGATTTTCCCACCAGCATCTCCATGGGTAGTGTACTGTCCCGGACCCCGCCACGAGCCTGGCTCTTGTTTTCCTAGTGCTTGGCCTGAGACAGGTACCAGGCTTTCTGTTGATATTTCAGACACACATGGGGTCTCTCCTCATCTCCTTTCACTGTCTGCCTGTCCTGTCCTCTTCTCATTAAGGGCCAGGACGTGGCTGCAAATGGACGTGGTGCCTTCCTGAGTTGATCCCTTCCAGGTGAAGGCAACGGAGGGTTCTTCCTTCCTCTCAGAGCCTCCTCATGGGGTTTCACTCTCTCCTTCAGCTCACCCATAAACACACTCTTGTGGGGAAACTACCATGGCCAGTCTTCTCACCAGTCCTGGGGAAGCTTCAGGGAAGATGCAAATTCAGGCTGCGGGGCAGACTCACATCAGCAGAGACTCATCTCACATCTTGCTCTGCAGTTCCAGTTGAGCTTTATTGCGGCAATGAACAGAAAGGGGAAATACAGGGAGACAAGGGAAGGAATCATGACTCTTTCCCCAGAACTGGAGTGTGGGTTTTCTTTATGCAAAAACGTTCCCTTCACGAACTTCTCATTCACTCATCGCAACAGCATCCGCCCCCGTCTCCCTGGAAACAACATTGACCTGACTCTGCCTTCTTGGTGCCCCCGTCTTCTTTCAAACACTCCTGTTCCCATCCTGTGCTCCTGAGTTCAAGGTTCTGGGACAATACGTGGGGTTAGCACTCTGCTTTGAGGGGAAATCTTGTCTTTATTTAAATATTCTTGTGTCACCCCCTGCCTGTGTGAACTTGGGCAGTAACCTCCCATCTCTGAGCCTTGGTTTCCTCATTTGGAGCCTGTCATGAACCCCATTTATCACAGGGGAGCTGGGTCATTGGAGCCTGGGGGCTGCAGGGGGCTCAGCCATGGGTAATTTCCAGAGCAGGTGAAGACAGGAGGGGTGGGGGCATGAAGGGATGCTGGCGCCCACCATCAAGGCCTGAGATTGATGTTTCCACTAAGGAGAGCCCCTTTGTTCCTGCCCTTGAGAGATGCTTCTCATAATATTTCATCAACACCCCGGTTATCACAGTCATGTCCAGAAAATGAGAAATGAAAGTTCATCAGAAGGAGAAGGATACACACGAAACAGAGAGGGCATCTGTGTCTGGTGCCATTAGGGGTCATTAGGGAGGAAGTTTCCATTTCTGTGCAGAACAGAAAAGGGGCCCTGGGTCCTCACAGGCAGAGAAGGGCCAGGGCTCTGGGCAAGGCTGAAAGCTGTGATGGAATATGTCTATTTACCGACCCAGGCCCATGGCCACCACTGAGCCAACTCCCCTGGGTGTGTGTGAAACAAATTCATTCACTGCAGAGTTCTTACATGTGGGTATCTGTATCATGTGTGGGTATGAGTTTTTTTTTTTTTTTTGAGATGGAGTTTTGCTCTTGTTGCCCAGGCTAGAGTGCAGTGGCATGATCTCCACTCACTGTAACCTCCACCTCCCAAGTGATTCTCCTGCCTGATTCTCATGACCAAGTGATTCTCCTGCTTCAGCCTTCTGAGTAGCTGTGATTACAGGTGCCCACTACCAGGCCTGGCTAATTTTTTTGCATTTTTAGTAGAGACGGGGTTTTGTCATGTTGGCCAGGCTGGTCTTGAACTCCTGGCCTCAAGTGGTCTGCCCACTTCGACCTCCCAAAGTGCTGAGATTACAAGCATAAGCCACCGTGCCCGGCCATGAGTGTGAATTTCACATGCATTTTTTTCCTTCTGGGAGCAACCTGAGCAGACACTATGTTTGGGAAATGAATGCCACGTGTCATCAGTAGCTGGAACAGTCCCCCATTTTCAGTCCTGGATTACTAAAAACTGCCTTGAGAGGATCCCTCCATGGTAGCTCAGGAGTGTAGGAGGTGAGTGTCCAACAAAAATAGACAACCAAGAGCCATCCTTCTAATGATAAAAAGTGCTATGATCATCAGTCTACACATTTGTTGATAAGGATTATTATGTGCAAAGAAATAGAATACTAGGAACGCATAAGACCCTTTTTCAATTAAACATGTTTAAATATCTGAAAAAAATACAAGAGGAAATTAAATTTCTGAGACAAGAATATGGATTATACTGGCAAAAAATGAGCATCAGAGAAATGAGTTAGAAATCCTAGAGGCAAAAATTCAGTTGAAGAAGCACACTCAAAATATTTATTCTATCAAGGTCAAGATACAGCTAAAGAGACATTTATTAAATTGGAAAACAAAATTGGGAGAATTTTCCAGAATGCACTATGGAGACACCAAAAGTGAAAATTCACCATATTTGGGGGAATATTGTGAGGAGGGAGAACCTCATATCTATTGTACGTGTCAGAAGGAAAGAAGGGAGAATAATGTCTGGCAACAGCTCACGAATTAAAGAGTTGAACATTTGACAGAGACGAGGAAAGACTAATTAAGTGCTAAGATGCATACATTTAAACATGCAATGTAAACCTTGACCTACCATGATAAATTGAAAAATACCAGAAGTAGATTAAAAAGTATATATGCTAGACTGAAATTGTCTAGCATAAATTGTATAGTTTAAAACACATTTTTGTGTCCTGTGATTTTCAACTCAACATGTCAGTAGAATAGCATGATCACTGGGATCGGACTTCCCAACAGAAAAATGAAAGGCAAGGAAATGTTGAAAATGTACTCTCAAGGGATTAACAGCAAGTGAGGAACTCTATGCTTACTCAGGTTAATACCTAAAAGTTAAAGGGGTCAGCAGGGGACCAATTCCTAAGCAGAAAAAGGCTCAGAGCAAGACAGACCTGTGAAGCCCATTAGGTTGGGCTTCCCCTGCATGAGGGCTGAGGAGGGATTGGAGGGTGGATCCCTCAATCATCAGATGTGCTTTCTCTTCCAGGTGTTATATCTTACCCTTTAATTAATATAGAAATGTTTTCATCTATTTTGATAGAGAAAGTGGGAGGAAAAATAAAGCATTATCTGAGCTGCAAGTTACTAGATATTACTGTTTTCATACTCAGTGAAAGCAATTTTAAATGATGTTATCCAGATAGATCAATGAATCCAAAATGTAGGATGTGAGATGCCGGTGATGAAAAGTGGGAAACAGGCAAGTATTTGAAAATTGCATGCACGCACACACACGAATGTAACTACACACACATATAAGAGTACATGTCTTTTCTAAAGGACAAGGATAAATGAATCTTCATTCAAAAATATATAATCGAATACTTAACTAAATTCATGAAATTATTCTAAATTATTCATTTTTTACCCCGTATGTTAAAGAGTGATTCCCCTACTCAGGATGAGTTAAATAGCCCAACACCCCCAATAACACATTAGGCATGAGACACAATAGTATCATCTAATATAAAATCATAATTTAAAATCAGTAAGGGAAGAAAGACATGCTGTTAAAATTATCTATTAGAAACATTAATAGTCCACAAAATGTAACATAATACAAAACTTTTTTGAAAATAGTGAAGTTTTATGTTTTAATGAAGGTATTAAGTGCTGGGTACGGTGGCTCACACCTGTAATCCAGCACTTTGGGAGACTGAGGTGGGAAGATCACTTGAGCCCAGGAGTTCAAGACCAGCCTGGGCAACATAGTGAGACTCATCTGTGTTAAAAAAAAAAAAAAGAGAGAGAGACGGTATAAAAAATGATAAAATAATTGTAAACTTTCATTCATCTAACCATGGGTTATTGAAATATATACAACATAAATTTGTATATATTTGGTGATTCAAAGAAATATTTATCAAGAACTGAGAGGTTAAGAAAAAAAATGAATGAGTATACAACTTAATGTTCAATCTGAATTACATACATATGGTAAAACTCTCTAGTTACATATGTTATAGGGTTTGTATATAGAAAAACAAATTCTATGTATGTATACATATATATGTTAATTTGTGTATATATTTACCTATTATGTACATAAGCACTATATGTATACACACACGGTATATATGTGTGTAGATGTGTAAAGAAATGTTACACAGTTTGTATGGAAAAAGAATTCACATATATATTCTGATATATTGTATACATACACTTACTCTAGGTGTTATGTGTGTATATATTTACATATTGCATACAAATACATTATATGTGGATATATAGTATGTGTAGATGCCACTGTACAGTATATATGTGTGTGTGAGTATATATATGTGTGTATATTAATGAACACATACCTCAAAGGGGGGAATGCCCATATTTATGACATACATTGCACATAAAATGTTAAGTATTTACTGGACAAGGAAGGAAAAATCTCCAAATTTTTCTAAATGACTATCTTATACATTTTATTCCCAGACATGATTGTTATTTAGTTTGAAGTTAACAATAAAAAGATATTATGAGAAAACCTCAATATTGCTCAAAATTAATAAAATCCTCAGTCATTTTGTACGATATATATTTGAATTCATGATGTACTAAGAAATATTTTGCTAGATGGGTGTTTGTATTTTATATTGTTTGGATAATTATTTTACTTTTTAAGGCATATGAAGAATTCCATTTCCATTTTATGAAATAGGAGTCCTGAGGAGATTGCCATGGATCCAGCAAGGAATTTCTGGCAGAGGAAAGTAGACAGCAGTACTGGGAAAAATCACTGTATGAAAAACCGAGGAAGAAGGAATTAGGGCTCCCGGATGGGGTGAAGACCCACCTGCAGAGTGTCTCCGAGCCCTGAGAGTGGAGCAGTGTGTTCAGGACCCTGAGCCTGTGGAAGGAATCTTCTCTGAGATGTGAGTCTATGGAATGTGTGTTGTAAGACCTGCCTTTTCTTAGTATAATCCAGCAAAAGCCCATGGGTGAGGACTCAGTTTTATTTTAGGGGATGTGGGGACAGTATATTTTCTATTCATATTTATGCAAATTTCATAGTGCTTGTCAGTCATGTAGAAAGCAGAGGTCAGTGTGTTCACAGGATTCATACCCAAGAGTCTGGAGACACACGTGGGGTCCATGGGAAAGGCTGGTGGCCAGGTATGGCGGGAAGGTAATCAGCGACAGACGCCAGAGTCTCCTGCTTGATCTTGCCGAAATCTGGCTCAAATGTTTGGCCTGGCACAACCAAACTAGAACTTGGAAGATGCTGTATAGGTAAAACATAATATTGTAATCATTCATATTCTGTTAAGGCTTTGAAAATGTCCTTAATAAGATTTCTTTATTCTAGAGGGTAGATGGCAAATGATAACATTTCTTTATTCTGGAGGGTAGATGATGAATGATAAGATTTCTCTATTCTAGAGGGTAGATGGCGAATGATAAGATTTGTTTACTCTAGAGGGTAGACGGTGAATGATAAGATTTCTTTATTCTAGAGGGTAGATGGCGAATGATAAGATTTCTTTATTCTAGAGGGTAGATGGTGAATGATAAGATTTGTTTACTCTAGAGGGTAGACGGTGAATGATAAGATTTCTTTATTCTACAGGGTAGATGGCGAATGATAAGATTTCTTTATTCTAGAGGGTAGATGGTGAATGATAAGATTTCTTTATTCTGGAGGGTAGATGGCAAATAGCTGCTCCCTTTGTCCTAGAAAGTTGAGGACTATTTGATCCCTCATGTTTTTCAGGATCCTCCCTCCAAATATTCCATCCTATGCAGCAGGGTTTTACATCCTTCAAACACAACAGTGGTCTTGGACCTAGACATGTTGAACTCTTTAATGCTAGGACTCAAGTCCTCTTGCTGTTTGCGACAATTCAGAAAAGAATCAGCCCCAGTCATTTTGCATACTTCTGCCTGACTGTCCTAGGTGAGTAGAAAAAAACAGCTCAACTGCTTGTCAAGATTCATCGACCTGAGGTCTTGTCTGCAGCTGGATTTCTATCCTGCTTCCGTGATTTTCCTTTCGTGGATCACCAACACACTGCAAATGCCTATCATTGCTTTTGACGTGGTGTACTTTGGTTCTGCCTGGAAAGGCAGGAAGTCTCGAAGTGAGGAGCTCACAGGTCAAAGGAGATTGAAATGTTTTCAGACAGAATAGGCAAATCCGTAGAGACAGAAAGCACATTTGTGGTTAGCAGGTGCTGGAGGGAAGAGGGAATGGGGAGTGGCTGCTGAATGGGTGTAGGGTGATGACCATGTGTGGAACAGGATGGCAGTGATGGTTACACAATGATCTAAGGAGAAGCTGCACAGGTAGCATGTGAGAAGGAGGGAAGGGCTCGTAGGGTTCAGAGAGGGTGTCAGGGCATCAGGGTGGATTTATCTTTTCCTGGTTGAAATCCGATACTCTCCCATTGATTTAGTTACTGAAGCACGTTTGGAACTCTGAATTGAAGAGATGGAGGCTCAGTAAAGCACACCAGGGAGTATGGCAATGAGTAATAAAGAAGACTGTGTTACACACCATGGACCAGAGCACACAGATGTGCAGAGGTGTGGACCCAACGCTGCCATGTGGGATGTAGCCTCATGTCTGTCTGGGGGTGGGGAAAGAAGAGGATCCAACCAAGGGAAGTCAACATTAATAGAGAGGAAAGGTATCACATGTTAATGGTCCTTCATGGATCACTCCAGAAAATGTCTCTGCAATCCAACACTGATTCCTCCCTCTAAAAATGATTGGCAGACAGTCCAGATAGCATCAGCCCTAAATTGTCTCCCGGAACCTCCTGGCATCATCAGATCTGTTCCCAAGGCTCCACCACTCTGAAGGGTACATTCTTCTCTCTGCTGTTCACCTCCCGGCTGCATCTCAGAGGCTTCTCTGGCTGTGCTGAGCCTCAAATAGCAGAATCCCGAGGACCACCAGGACCAAGCCAGCTATGCCCATGCGGATGAGATTCTCCACTGTGTAATCCTGGGGGTGTGAGGCTGGGGATGGTGGGCAAAGAGGTCACAGAGGTCAGGGCAGATCAACTTCACCCAGGACCTCTGGATGTCCACCCAGAGCACCTCCTTACCCTTGACAGGACCCAACCCTTGTGCCCAGCACCGTAAACGAGAGCATCTCCTCACTCACCAGTCTTGTTTTGTGATGGGCTGAGGGTGTTAGCTGCTCCTGAGAATAAAAACAGAGGGGAAGAGCCCTGAGCCAGCCTCTCCCCTGGGCTCTGCATTCTTATCTTCCCCTATGTCTTCTGACATGAGTTCTAGGGAGTTCCTCAATAAACCCTTCCTGTGTAGCAGGGTTCCCTCCAGTGTCCTTATTGAATTATTTCAGATTTCTTGCATTCTAGAAATTCGAATGTTGCTCCTGAGGCATTTGGGGAGGGCGTTTTCCTGCACTCTGGGAGCTCAGGATCTGCAAGGGAATACAGAAGTCACTGAGCCCTGTGCGCTGTCTGTGCAGCCAGGGACACAGGAGCACATGAGCCAATTCCCCCAGAGATGAGAGTTTCACTTATCCACCAGCGGAGGACCCAGGCTCCATGCATGGGAGGTTGGTCTGCAGGGGCTCCCCAGTGTCAGAAGCACAAAGGGGTGAAAGTCTGGGGGTGCTTCTTCTTCACACAGCCTCAGCCAGTTCACCTGGGGTTTCATCTTCCATTTAATCTCTAGTTAACTAATTCCTCATATAGGCAGTAACACCTAGAATGCAATACAGTTTCCCACATTCACACACACATACAAACATATATATATATATGCTAAATGGAGATGTCACTCAAGGTTCATAAATCAGTATTTGTTTTTATGAAGTGTGAATCTAGGTGAATCTAGACCAGGAACAAACATGTAAACACCTACCGCATCAAATATATTAAGCATATGCATGAATATACATCAAATGAATTTGGATATACTTACACACATATTCAAAAGTATCTTACTTAACCACACATAAATATGTATATATGTAAAACTTCAGATATTTATTTAAGATGTAGTAACATATATATTGACATTTAAAGTGAGAAATATTGGCACATAATTTAGAAATAAAGAAGTAAAATTTCCCATTGTCTTACGGTTTATACAAATTGTATTAGTAAATTAGAGGAGATCCATTGAAAAGCAGTTAGAACAGAGCAATTTAGTAGTGAGTTAGCATGAAATACAATGAATATACTCAAAGCAGTAGCTTTCTCATGGATAGTTATCTCTTATTTTAAAAATGTAAAGGAATGAAATACTTCACTTATAAATCATTAAAGGTGTTGAAGAATTCTTTAAATTAGAATGAATGTAATTTTTTAAAATGTCCACCCAGGACACCCAGCTCCCCTTGACAGGACCTGACCCTCTGTGCCCAGCGTCATCACGGCAAGCATCTCCTCACTCACCAGCCTTGGAATCGGACTTGTTTTGTGGTGGGCTGAGGGTCTCAGCTGCTCCTGAGAATCAAAACAGAGGAGAAGAGACATATTCAGAGGTAACTTATATAACAAATTCTATATAAGATTATGTATAACTTATATAACCTCCCTGTCAAGGAGAGGTGGGTGTCCTGGGTAGACATTTAAAAAATTATATTCAGGCCAGGCACAGTGGCTCATGCCTGTAATCCCAGCATTTTGGGAGGCTGACGTGGGCAGATCATGAGGTCAGGAGTTCAAGACCAGCCTAGCCAACATGGTGAAACCCTGTCTCTACTAAAAATACAAAAATTAGCGGGGCATGGTGGCGGGCGCCTGTAATCCCAGCTACTCGGGAGGCTGAGGCAGGAGAATTGCTTGAAACTGGAAGACGGAGGTTGCAGTGAGCCAAGATTTCACCACTGCACTCCAGACTGGGCAACAAGAGCAAAACTCCATCTCAAAAAAAATTTTTTTTAATTATATTCGTTCTAATTTAAAGAATTATTCAACACCTTTAACAATTTATAAGTGAAGTATTTGATTCCTTTACATTTTTTAAAACGAGAGATAAGTACTCATGAGAAAGCCACTGGTTTGGGTATATTCATTGTATTTCATATTAACCCACTACCAAATTGCCCTGTTCTAATTTAAATCTAAATTAACAATTTAAAGCACTTTTTTCATATAAAAGACGTTTATTTAGATGTTAGAATTATCCAGTGATTGGACAAGGTTGGGCATGAACCCCCCAGGCCCAGGGCTGAGCTGCACTGTAGCTCCCGCTGACCTCCCCCGGGTTTCTCATGCCACAGGGAGCCGCCCAGTCAGTTTCGCTCGGGCCATTGTGCTTGGAAACATCCAAACATTTCTGAAGTTCGTTAAGGAAACCTCGATTTTTAATATGTACAGGAGGAAGACTTGAGGTTAATGAAAAATGGATGTCTACATTGAATATATAAATTAAATCAAGCCCCAATGAAAGGCAAAGTAAAATTAAATGTTTTTAAATAATAGGTTCATATAATTGAAATAAAAAATATAAATTTATATATTGAAGTATTGCTTTAAAAGTTTTAGTAAAGGAGAGAGCATACATATAGAAAGCATACGTACAGAAAATACAGTGTAGAAATGAATGACATATGAGACGTGCTGTGAATCATTCCCTAACTCATCCAGGGAGCAGGTGCACGGTCCCTCCTTAGTCTCCGGGTGCCCTGAGCACAGAGCCTTGGTGGGATCTGACTGTGGTGAGGGTTGAGTCCACCCAAAACGTGCTCCTTTAGAGAGAAGCACTCCAGCTGTGGGTGCCGCTCACACGGCCCCTCCTGTGCTCACCTGGTGGGCTTGGGCTCAGGGCACCCCTGAGACTAAGGAGGGGCCGTGCACTTGCTCCCTGGCAAGTTAGGGAATTATTCACAGCACGTGTTGTGTATCACTCATTTCTGCTCGGGGTGGACTTCACCCTCATCACAGTCAGATCCCACCAAGGCCTCCTCTCTTGTCTTGAGATGGCCCAGGGACCCTACAGGTGTGGGTGAGGGGTTCATCCTCAGGGGCCCTTGGAAATGAGAAATGAGAGCTGCCAAGGGACCGTCTGTCTGTCCTCTTTCCAACTCGCCCGCCTCTGTTCCTCCTCCATCAGCCCCAGCATCTTCCACGTGTCCAAGTCAGGCTGGACCCCAAATCCTGCTGACCCGACCTGTTCTCCCTCTTCTACTCGTCACACATCCTGCAGGACAAGGTCGGGGTGTGGGGTCCTGCAGAGCTGTGCCACGTGTTGCTTTCAGTAGAAAATTGGAGAGATTTTGTTATGTACATGAGACAGTGGAGAGTCTCAACCAGAGGTGATGTCTCCTGGAATCCTGCTCGGGGAGGGGGAAAGACCCCGCTGCTCCACTCATCAATGCTGAACCTCAGACACCTCTCTCCCCTCTGAACACCACGGAGGGAACACCTGCCCCATCCCTGGAGCACCAGGAAGCCATGCAGACCACACCCTTACTGTCCACCCTCCCCTCTGCTGCCCTGGAAATCAGACCCTGAATATTAGAGGTAGCATTGAGATGAGTCTAGAAACTTCTTTAGAGCTGGGAGTGACTGGGTTTTTGTCACCCATGGGGTCAGGACTTAGAGGTTGGGATCCCCAGAGGCTCTGATTCTGAGGTGGAGACATCAGGAGGGGAGCAGGTGGGGCCTCTGTCTTTCACCCTCAGTCTACTCTCATCTCCTCTGAGGTTCACCCCCATCTCCTCCCAGCCTTCCCTGCTCTTTACCCTACTGAGACTACAAGGGTGGGAGCCAGGGGTGGGAGGCCCCGTCTATTTCCACCCTCCCATGGGCTCGACCCTCCCCCGCAGACCTTCCCCCTTCACTCCACTCTTTTCTTTTCCTTTTTTTTTGAGATGGAGTCTCGCTGTCTTGCCCAGGATTGAGTGCAGTGGCATGACATCAGCTCACGGCAAGCTCCGCCTCCCAGGTTCATGCCATTCTCCTGCCTCAGCCTCCCGAGTACCTGGGACTACAGACACCTGCCACCACGCTTGGCTAATTTTTTCTATTTTTTAGTGGAGACGGGGTTCACTGTGTTAGCCAGGATGGTCTCGATCTCCTGGCCTCCTGATCCACCCGCCTGGGCCTCCCAAAGTGCTGGGATTACAGGTGTAAGCCACCGTGCCCAGCCAACTCCCCTCTTTTCTTAGTGTCCAGAGCTCTCCTGGGGGGCAGGGCCTGAGCTGATCCTTTGAGCTCGGAGAGGACAGGGTCAGGGCCCTCACCTGAGACCATGAGCTCCAGGGAGTCACTGGGGTGAGACAGCAGGTAGGGGTTGGAGCTGAGTGAGCCGTAGCACCTGTAGGTCCCCGAGTGGGCTGAGGTCACAGGACTCATAGGGAATTCAGCCTGGTACTTAGGATATTCGTGTATTGATCTGAGACGGAGGGGGGCATCAGCTGCTCCCGCCTTGGTCAGAAGGAAAGTGTGGAACGGCCCCCATGACTGACACAGCAGGGTCACGTTCTCTCCTGAGGCCACCGTGGGGCCCGGATGCACCGAGATGAAGGGTCTGCCACGGAACTGTCCTGGAGAGAAGAAGGATGGGTGAGAGGCTGCCCCACCTTGTTCTGAGCTGACGCCTCCCCAGGCTTCTATCTGGGACCCTCAGTCTCTATCTCTGTTTTCTCTGAGTCTTCCCCGCCCCGCCCATCCCCTGTCTCTGTCTGTCTCTCCCTCCCTTGGGACCCCCACCCCTCATTCCGGCCATCACCACCTGGGCTCCCCTGGCAGGGCCTGTGCGGAGCCTGTGTCCCTGACTGAACCCGCTGGGCTCCTCACCTGCGATCAGGATGTCCAGGGGGTCGCTGGGGGCCGACCACTCGGAGGAGAGGTTGTATGCACCGGAGCATCTGTACTGGCCCCCGTAGGAGCGGCTCACAGGGCCCAGGGTGAAGTTGGCCTGGGAGAGCCCAGCCTGGGGCTGTGGGCCAGGGAGCTGGAGGAAGTCACGTTCTCCCTCCTTATACAGAACAAATCTGTCGTAGCTGACATCAGAAACACACTGGAGGGTCAGGCTCTCCCCAGGGGCCACTATAGGACCTGGCTGCACTGAGAGTGATGGCTTCTTAGAAACACCTGGGAAAAGGTGCTCATGGTTTCCAGGAGCCGACCCTCAGGCTTCCCCACATATCCTCCCTCTCCCCCGGGGCCTCACCACTGCTGATCTTCCTGTGTCTCCGGCCCCAGGAGCCCTGAGCCCTCTCGCCCCAACATCATCCCACCTGGAGCTGCCCTGAGACGTGGCTGCTCCCCACCTGCCTGGAGACTCAGGGAGACTCAGGGAACTCCAGGCAATGCTGTGAATTTCTCACCTAGGACCAGGAGCTCCAGGAGATCACTGGGTAGAGACCACACATGGGGAGAGTTCGAGTCATAAGCATAGCACCTGTACGACCACCTGCGACTCGGGCTCACGGGGCCCACAGAGAAGATGGCCCGGGACCACCCATGGGTACGGGGCTGTGAGTTCAGGCATTGTGGGTGTTCATCTTCTCCTTCCTTACACAGAATGAAGCTGCCAAATGCCACCTGTGAGACACAATGGAGGGTCACGTTCCCTCCTGAGGTCACCACAGGGCTGGGTAGAGCTGAGAGGGTGGGTTTGATGTAGGCTCCTAGGAGAGAAGGAGGCACCATGTTAAATGGGGCTCACACCTCCCACTTCATCCCCAGGGCTGGGCTGTGAGAGGGAGATGCCCCTGAGAACTGACTCCCTTCCTGAGGGCAGAGCCTGGGGCTGGGAGCCCTCAGTGTCAGCTCACCTGTCACCACCAGCTCCAGGGGGTCACTGGGCTCTGACCAGCCTGCAGTGTGGCTACCGTAGAAACAGCGATACCGCCCTGTGTGTTCCCAGGTGATGGATGGGATGGGGAACTGGCCCTTCTTCACAATCTCCTGTGGGATCCGTGTAATCCAGGGTGCTGTTTTCTTTTCTCTATACAGACGGTACTCCTGGGTCTCCAGGATCCCCTGACACCAGAGGGTCACGGGACTCCCCTGGGTGATCACAGAGCCTGGCTCAGCCCAGAGTGTGGGCTTGGGGAGGGTCCCTGGAAGGAAATCAGAGTTCAGATTCTAAGTCATTTCCCACCCAACATATCTCAGCTCTCAGCCCAGGACCCTCCAGATGCCCCCATCAGTCAGTCCAGAACTGCTATTCCCCATCCCCAGCTGCACGGGGGTGGCCCCTTGTCCCCAGTGAGGAGGAGGGACCTGGGAGAGCTGGGGACAGACTCACCTGCCTGCACGTGGGTCCGGGGGCCCAGACTCAGCCCTGGAAGAGAGTTCCCTGTGAGGAATTTGCCCCTGAAGCCTGGGCAGGTCCTCCCCTCCCTGGGATCTTTGTGAGCCCCTGGGGTCTCCTTAGGGACTAGAGGTCGGCTGTGGGGTGAGGTCCCTCCTAGGTTAGAAGCTCCCCTCCCTCTTCAAATCTCACTGAGACAGATCAGGACTGTGACGATGGGGGTCATAGCGTCTCCTCCCACTGCCCTGCTCTGCGGATGGATGAGCCCTCGGTGCTGGCAGGACAGAGACACACAGAGAGAAATAGCCTCCCCTCCTTCCCACCCAGTGTGGACACTCGGAGGCTGGGTCCTTCTCATGGGGTGTTGTCATCTGCAGCCACACAGGAAGCAGAACTACCCTACCAGGAGCCTGACTCTCATTCTTTTAGAGCTGAGGTGGGGGCAGGAACCAGGCCCTCTGCAGACATTTCAGACTGTAATGGGGTCTTTCCTGACCCCCAGCCACTGTCTGTCTGGTTTCTCCTCTTCTCACTGAGAGACGGGATGTAGCAGCAAATAGAACTGGTGCTTTCTGCGTCTGCCCTTCCAGATGAGGGTAACGGAGGCTTCCCTTTCCTTCTCACAGCCTCCCACATGGTCACCCTCCCTCCTTCAGCCATCCATCAGCTCAGCGTTGTGGGGTCCTTACCATGGCAGTCGTCCCTCCAGCCCTGGAGATGCTTCAGGGAAGACCAAGGTCCATGCTGCAGGCAGACTCAGATCAGCAGAGAAGCATCTCGCATCTGGCTGTGTAGCTCAGGTTGAGCTGCGTGTGGCAGTGAGCACAGAGGAGAAATGCAGGGAAATAGGGGAAGAAAAGTTGACTTCTTTCTTGACACTGGATTGTGGGTTTTCTTTCAACCAAATAGTCCCCTCTCAACTTCCCCTTTTTAAAATATTTTGCTACAGTGTCCACTCCCACCCGCTGGGAACAAACATCTGAGACTTTCCTGCCTCCTCGGTGCCCTTTGCTTACTTGGCCATCCCTCTGCACCTCAATCCCTGTTCAACGTTTTGAGAACAATGACTTATGTTTGAGCTTTGATTTGGGGAGTGGGGGAGGGAGTTGATATTTATTTGATGACTGGTTATCATCCGCTGCCTACATGACCTTGGTTTGTAATGTCCCATCACTGAGCCTCAGTTTCCTCCTTTGCAGATTGTTGTCATGAATCCCACTGGTCACAGTGGTTGTTGGGTCAGTGGTGCCTGGGACATTCGGAGGGGCTCATTTGTGCTTGATTTCCAGACCAGGGTAAGACCTGAACTGTTTGGGATGTGAAAGGATCTCGATGTTGGACCCCCCAGTCTGTGTAGATGATTGATGTGTCCACTCTGGATCTCACATCTGACCCTAATGGAGAAATGTACATGAGGCATTTCTGAAATACCCAGAGCATCAATGTCATGAGCAGAAAAAGAGGTGAGGAAGTTCCCAAGTGTAGGTGGATCCACAAGAAAGAACAGAGGCCAGAGGGTCCCAGGACCTTCAAGGGGTAATTAGAATGGAGTTTTCCACCACTGAATGGAGGTGGGAGAGGAACCTCGGGATCTGCAATGACAGTGAGGGCCTCAGGGCTCCAGACCAAGGTGGGAGGCTGCGTCCTCCAGCTACACCTGAGGCTGGAGTGGACCCCAAGCAGCCCAGAGGAATTCCATCAAAGGAGTGCACCAAACCGTCCAGTGATAGAGCTGCTGGGATTCCAAAGAAAGAAGCACTAAACACCAGGGTGTTCATAGAGCATTTGTTAGAGGGACTTCCATAGAGTGGGCCCTGCAGCATGTCCTGGAGGTAGACAAGGTGACACTGGGTGTTCTATCCAATGCTTTAACCTAAAATAACAAAACAAAACAAAAATCTAGAGAAAATTATCTCTAAGTACAGTTGTTCTTTGGTGTACAAGGGAACTGGCTCCAGTCCGTGGCCCACATGTCACAAAACCTGCCTGTACTCCAGCCCTGAAGCTGGCTCCACTGCACCATGTATAGGGAAAGTCTGCCATTCGTATACACAGGATTTGCATCCCACAAATGCCATAGTTATGATCCCCGTTTGGTTGAAGAGAGTGTGCATACAAGAGACCCCAGGAATTCAAGGCTGCATTGCTCCAGGGTTGCCTGGATTTTGCTTGTATTTGAGAATGAGAAGCAAAGATTACAATCTGGAGTGCATGGCATGGCAAGACACAGTGCATCCGGAGAGGGAAGTGTGATGTTGTGATACACACTGGTTTTCACCCGCGGTTCCTGGCTTATAACTCCATACCACTGGTTACAGTCTTTTGTTAGAGTATTGGCTGTGTTAGGCCTTAGGGGAGGCCTCTGACCTCCTCCTGCCCTTCCTTCACCTGCCCAAGGCAAGACTCGAATGTTCCCTGCCTTTCTGATGGTGGCTCTTAAGACCCTCCCAGAAGATGGTCTCACCCTGTTCCTTGTGGGAGGAAATGCTGATGTCACGAAGCTCCTTAAAAGCCCAAGAGGACTGGGTTTCATGGGCTTCTGGATGGCTGAGCATGCGGAGGTTCCTGGAGCGTGGCGCCCAGGGAGGGCATAGATGCTCCGGTCCCTTCCCCCATGCCTCCTCCTATGAGTCTCTTCATCTGTGTCCTCTGCAGTGTGCTTTGTATTCAACCAGTAAACGTCAGTGTCTCCCTGAGTTCTGTGAGCTGCTACAGCAAATTAATCAAACCCAAAGAGGTGGTCATGGGATCCCCAACTTGAAGCCAGTCAGTCAGAAGTTCTGGAGGTCTGGACTTGGGAATGGTGTGTGGGGGCAATCTTGGAGAATGGGCCTTCAATCTGTGGGATCTGGGACTGTGTCTGGGTAGACAGCTCGGAGCCGACTTAGAGGACACCCAGCTGCTGTTCGCTATTGGGTCTGGGAAACAATCCCACACATCTGATCCTACAAGTCTCCTGTGTTGATGACTGTTGTGGTGTGAGAGTAGAGGAAAAACATCATAGAGAGAGCTCTCTGTACATAGAGAGGTAAAGGAAATTCTTATCAGCAACAAGGGAGAGGCTGACAGAGCTGCTTAGAAGCAGAGTTCCCTGGTTCCAGAGGTTCAAAGCCAGAGTTGCTGTCAGTCCATTGGAGGAGATGCCATTGCTGGGCAAGTATTCTCTCGAGAGCAGCCTATCTGCATTCCTGATGTCCTAAAGAATATCTAGTAATAAACCATGTCAAAGCAGGAGAGGGGTGAAAGACATGGAAGAGTTTCTTATGGGGTTTTTAAAAAAGTCCTTAGAAACAGTTCTTATCTGAGACCTGGCAACACGAGCCTCCTCTCCGTCAGGCCTTCCTGGCCCTGTGGGGTCTGAGTTTAACCAAAGTCATCTCATCCTTGCTCATGTGACTTTCCTACTGGGTATCTGCAGTGAAGGGATTGAGTTACAAAGTTTAACCTGAGCGTTTCAGGAGTTTGGTTCAGGGCAGGGTTTGTTTCTACATAATTAACAAAGGGTTAATTTTTCAGTGTTTTCTAGAAACAATCTAAGGTGCTTTATCAGTACCTGGGAATGCTCAAGACCTCAGCTTGAGTTCAAGCCTGCAGGTGAAAACAGGCATCTGTCCAGCCCACAGAGCAGTCATGGCACTTTGTCTTTCTCTCAGAACAAAGGAAAAAGTGGAGGAAACCGTGGGATCCTAGAGAGACTGTGGCTCCCTCTCTTCTGTATTTGTGGACAGAATCTGGGATTGCTTGGTTTGGTGACCCAGGCCACATTCAGCACTGAGCCACCTTCCCGGGTGTGCATGACACAGTCTCGCTTTATCACTGCTGGACCGGGCATCTTTGGCACTTGAATGTGAGGGTCTCATGGGCTCCACCATGCCAGGCATAACACAGAGCTGATTCTAAACTTGGGAGCATGGACACCGCAGGGCAGGAGCGGGTACAAAAATGCCCCTCATCAGTTTTCCTTCCTGAGTCATCCCTGGGAGAAACCCTGTATGGAAGATCAGGTGTGTGGGAGAAAAACCCACCCCAGAGGAATAAAAATCGAAGAGTCCATTAGAGAAAAAACAGGCAATTATAGAAATGAATTAGGAAGCTATTGTGATGTGAAAATAGTAAATTATATTAACACATTTAGAAATACTTTCATCAAGAACCAGACACTGCTGAAATGATAAACATTGTATTGGTGTAGAATATTTATTAAATTTTTCATTAGTCATCGGAGAAAAACTAGAAATGAAAAAAATAGAAAAGATAATTAATGCACACAAAGAATAGAGTGAGAAGAGGAAACAGATATATCTCTATGTGTCACACTTTCAGAATGAAGGAAATAAGGAGTATGTTAGTCAATAAATACTTGCAAAGGAAATAGTTGACATTTTTACAGAAATGAAAGATCATGAGTTTAATGTGCACAAATTCATAAATAACATTAATGTCTTAACTATGATAGAGCAAACGATATCTAGAATAGATACAAAGTAATTTTAAAACTACTGGAGAAAATGAAAATTATTCTCAAATGAATGACAAGCACATTGGGACTGAGTTTCCCAGGACTGAAAAGTGGTAGAAAAAATGATCGGGGGCTCAGGTTCAGGTTGGATGAATGGAAACAGCTGGCATGTGCCTGTCTCGTTAAGAGGAGTCAAAATGGTGAGTAAATACCGAAATTCTAAGTGGATCTTCTAGGACAGCATGATGGGGCTCACCAGAGAACCACAGGGACATGGAAAGCACAGAGGAGAAAAGCTGATAGGCAGGAGAGCCTCCGAACAAGGAGACGGGGTGAGTGTATTAGTCTAGGTTCCCTAGAGGGAGATAACTAATTTTAAGCCTTTTGATTTATGATACTGGGATGACTTTTTCCTCATTTAGGTCTTTTGTTATTTCTTTGAGCAGTATTTTAAAATTGTCAATGTATACGTATTGCATCTCTTTGGTTAAATGTATTTCTCTTTTTTTGAGACAGAGTCTCACTCTGTTGCCCAGGCTGGAGTGCAATGGCAAGATCTCAGCTCACTGCAACCTCTGTTTCCTGGGTTGACGCGATTCTCCTGTCTCAGCCTCCTGAGTAGCTGGGATTACAGGCGTGTACCACCACACCCACCTAATTTTTGTATTTGGTTAAATGTATTTCTATGCATACTTTTCTTGTAGACACTGTCATAAATTGACTTGTTCCCCCTAATATACACGTTGAAATCCTGAGCCCCATTAGCTATAAATGTGAACATAGTTGGAAATAGAGTCTTTGCAAATGCATTTAAGTTATGATCAAGGGATCATAACGAATTAGGATGAGTCCTAATCTGATCTGAGTGATATCATAATCTGAAGAAGAGAAAAGACACACACAGAAGAATGGGTGTGAAGACAGAGGCAACCAGGTAGGTGTAAGCATTGAGAAGATGGAGGCAGAAACTGGTGGGATGCTGCCCCAAGCCAAGGAGTGCCTGGACCAGCAGAAAGTAGAACGAGTCATTTAAGAATTCTTCCATCAGCCGGGCACAGTGGCTTACACCTGTAATCCCAGCACTCTGGGAGGCTGAGGCAGGTGGATAACCTGAGGTCAGGAGTTCAAGACCAGCCTCACTAACATGGCGAGACCCCCGTCTCTACTAAAAATACAAAAAATAGCCGGGAATGGTGGTGCACACCTGTAGTCCAGTAACTCGGGAGGCAGAGGCAGGAGAATTGCTTGAACCTGGGAAGTGGAGGTTGCAGTGAGCCGAGATTGCACCATTGCACTCCAGCCTGGGCAACAAAGCAAAACTCCATCTCAAAAAAAATTCTTTCATCGAAACTGCATAGTTCTGTTAACATTTTTCTTATGTTGTACTTGGATTTTTTTTTTTTTTTGAGACGGAGTCTTGCTCTGTCGCCCAGGCTGGAGGGCAGTGTCGCAATCTCGGCCCATTGCAAGCTCCGCCTCCCAGGTTCACGCCATTCTCCTGCCTCAGCCTCCTGAGTAGCTGGGACTACAGGCGCCCACCACCACGCCCGGCCAATATTTTTTTGTGTATTTAGTAGAGACGGGGTTTCACCATGTTAGCCAGGATGGTCTAGATCTCCTGACCTCGTGATCTGCCTGCCTTGGCCTCCCAAAGTGCTGGGATTACAGGCGTGAGCCACCGCGCCCGGCATGTACTTTGATTTTTAGGTGAGCCGTGTTATCTCCCACATCAGATATTAATAGGTTTGTCTTTTGTGGATATGCTAGGATAACAGTGTCAGAATTTCATTTGACCTGTGCCATAACACTGAAGTAGAAGTGATCATTGCCTCTGAAATAGAAAGGACTGTAGGTATATGGGTGAGCTCTCAGTGGGATGTGCCACAGGTCCCTGGTGCTCATTAGTGAAGACAGTTCTGTCCCTTGCTTCCCAACCCTGTATTCAGTGAGAACCCATTGGCACCTTGATTTGGGCCATGAGAAAAATATTTATGTCACAGAAATTGGTAGATACCACTAATTACAGTATTTTAGAGATGTCTTTTTCTGAATCAGCATAGCTGTGGTGTCACTTGAAATGCCAGTGTGATGATTCCAAGTGGTGATATTTCAGGAGAAATTACACAGATAGCATCTGAGAAAGAGGGAAGGGCTCATAAGGTACAGAGAGGGTGTCAGGGCAGCAGGGTGGATTTATGTTTTCCTGGTTGGAATCTGATCTCCTGTCGTTGATTTAGTTGGTGGTTCAGGTTTGGATCTCTGAACTGAAGAGACGGGGACTCAGTAAGTGACATCAAGGAGTGTGACAATGAGGAATAAGGAAGACTGTGTCACATGCCGTGGACCAGAGCACACAGGTGTGTGGAGGTGTGGACCCAACGGTGCCATGTGGGATGGAGCCTCATGTCTGGGGATGGGAAAAAAAGGGGATCCAGTCAAGGGAAGTCAACATTCATAGACAAAAAAATGTACCACAGTTTAATGATCTTCTAGGAATCACCCCAGACAGTTTCCTTACACTCAAATATTGATTGCTGTCTCTAGAAATGACCAGCATACAGTCCAGATAATGTAGGTCCTAGATTGTCCTCCAGAGCCTCCTGGGATCATCAGATCTGTCCCTGAGGCTCCACCACGCTGAAGGATGCATTGTCCTCTCTGCTGTTCACCTCCCGGCTGCATCTTGTAGGCTTCTCTGGCTGTGCTGAGCCTCAAATAGCAGAATCCCGAGGACCACCAGGACCAAGCCAGCCACACCCATGCGGATGAGATTCTCCACTGTGTAATCCTGGGGGTGTTGGCCTAGGGATGCTGGACAAAGAGGTCACAGAGGTCAGGGCAGATCGGAATCACCCCGGGACTCCTGTATGTCCACCCAGGGCACCCACCTCCCCTTTACAGGACCTGACCCTCTGTGCCAGTCCCATAACTGAGAGCATCTCCTCACTCACTAGTCGTGGAGTCTGTCTTGTTTTGTGATGGGCTGAGGGTCTCAGCTGCTTCTGAGAATCAAAACAGTGGAGAAGAGCCCTGAGCCCAGCCTCACTCCTGGGCTCTGCATTCTTCTTTTCCCCTGTGTCTCTTGACATGAGTTTTATGGAGTTCCTCAATAAACCCTTCCTCTGCTGTAGCAGGGTTCCCTCCAGTCTCCTCATTGAATTATTTCAGACTTCCTGTGTTCTACAAATCCAAACTCAGCTCCTGAGTCATTTGGGAGAGTTTTCCTGCATCCCGGGAGCTCAGCATGGATATGGTAAGTGGTCCCCAATACAGAAATAACCAGGACCTTATGTGCTCTCTGTGCAGCCTGGGACCTTGTGTGCTCTCTGTGTCCTCTCTGAGCCCTAACTGGCTGCAAGGAGCAGGTGCAGGACCACAGAAGCCAATGCTCCCCAGAGATGAGTTTCACGGATCCGCCAGCTGAGGACCCAGGCTCCATGGAGGAGGGGTTGGACCTCAGGGGCTCTTGAATGTCAGGAACACAAAGGGGTGAAAGTCTGGGTCTGCCTCCCCTTCATGCCCTCAACCACTTCACCTGGGGTTTCATCTTCCGTTTAATCCTTAGGTAACTAATTCCTCATACAGGCAGTAACCCCTAGAATGCAATACACGTGCATGCACACCCACCCACACACACAAATATGCATATGTTAAATGCTGGTGCTATCCGAGGTTCATAAATGAATACTTCTGCTCCAGCAAGTGTGAGTCTAGATAAGAAGACCAATAACAAACCTGTAAAGACCTGTCATGTCAAATATGTGAAGCATATGGATGAATACATATAAAAATGTGTTTAGATATACCTCCACTCACATCATGTGTAATGTATAGAACCTGTGTATATATGTAAAACTTCAGAAATGTATTTATTATGTAGTTATATACACGTTAATATTTGAGAAATATTGGCATGTAATTTAGAAATAAAGAAATAAAATTTCCATGTATTATGATTTCTAAAATTGTACCAGAAATTAAAGGAGATCATTGAAGAGTAATTAGAAAGGAGCCATTCTCTAGTGGGTGAATAACAAATAAAAAGAACATAATGAAACCAGTCACTTTCTCATGGATACCTATCCTTCTTTAAAAAAAATATAGGTGTCGCTTCCAAGATGGTCGAATAGGAATGGCTCCGGTCTGCAGCTGGATTTCTGCATTTCCAACTGAGGTACCTGGTTTATCTCATTGGGACTGGTTGGACTGTGGCTGCAGCCCACAAAGGGCGAGCTGAAGCAGGATGGGGTGTCGCCTCACCTGGGAAGCACAAGGGGTCGGAGGATTTCCCTTTCCTAGCCAAGGGAAGCCGTGACAGACTGTATCCGGAGAAACAGTACCCTCCTGACCAACTACTGCACTATTCCCACAGTCTTAGCAACTGGCAGACCAGGAGATACCCTCCCGTGCCTGGCTCGGCAGGTCTCACACCCACGGAGCCTTGCTCACTGCTAGCGCAGCAGTCTGAGATCGACCTGCGATGCTGCAGCTGGATGGAGGGAAGGGCATCCACCATTGCTGAGGTTGGAGTAGCTCACAGTGTAAACAAAGATGCCTGGAAGCACGAACTGGGTGGAGCCCACCACAGCTCAGCAAGGCCTACTGCCTCTACAGATTCCACTTCTGGGGGCAGGGCATAGTAGAACAAAGGGCAGCAGGTAGCTTCTGCAGACTTAAACGTCCCTGTCTGATAGCCCTGAAGACAGCAGTGGTTCTCTCAGCACCGCATTAGAGCTCCAACAACGGACAGACTGCATCCTCAAGTGGGTCCCTGACCCCCGTGTAGCCTGACTGGGAAACACCTCCCAGTAGGGGCCAACAGACACCTCAAACAGGTGGGTGCCCCTCTGGGATGAAGCTTCGAAAGGAAGGGTCAGGCAGCAATATTTGCTGTTCTGCAGCCTCTGCTGGTGATACCCAGGCAAATAAGGTCTGGCTGGACTGGACCTCCAGCAAACACCAACAGACCTGCTGCTGAGGGGTCTGACTCTTAGAAGGAAAACTAACAAACAGAAAGGAATAGCATCAATGTCAACAAAAAGGACATCCACACCAAAACCCCATCCCTAGGTCACCAACATCAAAGACCAAAGGTAGATAAAACCACAAAGATGGGGAGAAACCAGAGCAGAAAAGCTGAAAATTCCAAAAACAGAGTGCCTCTTCTCTTCCAAAGGATCGCAGCTCCTCACCGGCAACAGAACAAGACTGGATGAAGAATGAGTTTGACAAGTTGATGGAAGTAGGTTTCAGAAGGTCGGTAATAACAAACTTCTTCAAGCTAAAGAAGCATGTTCTAACCCATTGCAAGGAAGCTAAAAACCTTGAAAAATGGTTAGATGAATGGCTAACTACAATAAACCGTGTAGAGAAGACCTTAAATGACCTGATGCAGCTGAAAACCACGGCACAAGAACTTCGTGATGCATGCACAAGCTTCAATAGCTGATTCGATCAAGTGGAAGAAAGGATATCAGTGACTGAAGATCAAATTAATGAAATAAAGCAAGAAGACAAGATTAGAGAAAAGAGAATGAAAAGAAATGAACAAAGCCTCCAAGAAATATGGGACTATGTGAAAAGACCAAATTTATGTTTGACTAGTGTACCGGAAAGTGACGAGGAGAATGGAACCAAGTTAGAAAACACTCTTCAGAATATTATCCAGGAGAACTTCCCTAACCTACAAAGGCAAGCCAACATTCAAATTCAGGAAATACAGAGAACACCACAAAGACACTCCTTGAGAAGAGCAACCCAAAGACACATAATTATCAGATTCACCAAGGTTGAAATGAAGGAAAAAATATTAAGGGCAGCCAGAGAGAAAGGTCTGGTTACCCAAAAAGAAAAGCCCATCAGACTAACAGCGGATCTCTTGGCAGAAACTCTACAAGCCAGAAGAGAGTGGAGGCCAATATTCAACATTCTTAAAGAAAATAATTTTCAACCCAGACTGTCATATCAAGCCAAACTAAGCTTCATCAGTGAAGGAGAAATAAAATCCTTTACAGCCAAGCAAATGCTGAGAGATTTTGTCACCACCAGGCCTGCCTTAAAAGAGCTCCTGAAGGAAGCACTAAACATGGAAAGGAACAATCAGTGCCAGCCACTGCAAAAACATGCCAAATGGTAAAGACCACTGACACTATGAAGAAACTGCATCAATTAATGGACAAAATAACCAGCTAACATCATAATGACATGATCAAACTCAAACATAACAGTATTAACCTTAAATGTAAATGGGTTAAATGCTCCAATTAAAAGACACAGACCAGCAAATTGGATAAAGAATCAAGACCCATCAGTGTGCTGTATTCAGGAGACCCATCTCATGTGCAGAGACACACATAGGCTCAAAATAAAGGTATGGAGGAAGATCTACCAAGCAAATGGAAAGAAAAAAAAAAAGCAGGAGTTGCAATCCTAGTCTCTGATAATACAGACTTTAAACCAACAAAGATCAAAAGAGACAAGGCCACTACATTATGGTAAAGGGATCAATTCAACAAGAAGAGTTAACTATCCTAAATATATATGCACCCAATACAGGAGCACCCAGATTCAAAAACCAAGTCCTTAGAGACCTACAAAAAGACTTAGACTCCCACACAATAATAATAGGAGACTTTAACACCCCTCTGTCAATATTAGATCAATGACACATAAGGTTAACAAGGATATCCAGGACTTGAACTCAGGTCTGAACCAAGCAGACCTAATAGACATCTACTGAACTCTACACCCCAAATCAACAGAATACACATTCTTCTCAGCATCACTTTGCACTTATTCCAAAATTGACCACATAATTGGTAGTAAACCACTCCTCAGCAAATGTAAAAGAACAGAAATCACAACAAACTGTCTCTCACACCACAGTGCAATCAAATTACAACTCAGGATTAATAAACTCACTCAAAACCACACAACTACATGGAAACTGACCAACCTGTTCCTGAATGACTACTGGGTAAATAATGAAATGAAGGCAGAAATAAAGATGTTCTTTGGAACCAATGAGAACAAAGACAAAACATAACAGAATCTCTGGGACACATTTAAAGCAGTGTGTAGAGGGAAATTTATAGCACTAAATGCCCAAAAGAGAAAGCAGGAAAGATCTAAAATCGACACCCTAACATCACAATTAAAAGAACTAGAGAAGCAAGAGCAAACAAATTCAAAAGCTAGCAGAAGGCAAGACATAACTAAGATCAGAGCAGAACTGAAGGAGATAGAGACACAAAAAACCCTTCAAAAAAATCAATGAATCCTGGAGCTGGTTTTTTGAAAAGATCAACAAAATTGATAGACCGCTAGGAAGACTAATAAACAAGAAAAGAGAGAAGAATCAAATAGATGCAATGAAAAATGATAAAGGGGATATCACCACCGATTCCACAGAAATACAAACTACCATCAGAGAATACTGTAAACACCTCTACACAAATAAACTAGAAAATCTAGAAGAAATGGATAAATTCCTGGACACATACACCCTCCCAAGACTAAACCAGAAAGAAGTTGAATCTATGAATAAACCAATAACAGGTTCTGAAATGAAGGCAATAATTAATAGCCTACCAACCAAAAAAAATCCAGGACCAGAAGGATTCGCAGCCGAATTCTACCAGAGGTACAAAGAGGAGCTGGTACCACTCTCTCTGAAACTACTCCAGTCAATGGAAAAAGAGGGAATCCTCCCTAACTCATTTTATGAGGCTAGCATCATCCTGATACCAAAGCCTCGTAGACACACAACAAAAAAGGATAATTTTAGGTCAATATCCCTGATGAACATTGATGCAAAACTCCTCAATAAAATACTGGCAAACCAAATCCAGCAGCACATCAAAAAGCTTACCCACCATGACCAAGTCAGCTTCATCCCTGGGATGCAAGGCTGGTTCAACATAGGCAAATCACTAAATGTAATCCATCACATAAACAGAACCAATGACAAAAACCACATGATTATCTTAATAGATGCAGAAAGGGCCTTTGACAAAATTCAACAGCCCTTCATGCTAAAAACTCTCAATAAACTCGGTACTGATGGAACATATCTCAAAATAATAACAGCTATTTATAGCAAACCCACAGCCAATATCATACTGAATGGGCAAAGAAGTATTCCCTTTGAAAACCGGCACAATGCGGGCTCTTTTTTGGTTCCATATGAACTTTAAAGTAGTTTTTTCCAATTCTGTGAAGAAAGTCATTGGTAGCTTGATGGGGATGGCATTGAATCTGTAAATTACCTTGGGCAGTATGGCCATTTTCACGATATTGATTCTTCTTACCCATGAGCATGGAATGTTCTTCCATTTGTTTGTGTCCTCTTTTATTTCCTTGAGCAGTGGTTTGTAGCACTACCTGACTTCAAACTATACTACAAGGCTACAGTAACCAAAACAGCATGGTACTGGTACCAAAACAGAGATATAGATCAATGGAACAGAACAGAGCCCTCAGAAATAATGCCGCATATCTACAACTATCTGATCTTTGACAAACCTGAGAAAAACAAGCAATGGGGAAAGGATTCCCTATTTAATAAATGGTGCTGGGAAAACTGGCTAGCCATATGTAGAAAGCTGAAACTGGATCCCTTCCTTACACCTTATACAAAAATCAATTCAAGATGGATTAAAGATTTAAACGTTAAACCTAAAACCATAAAAACCCTAGAAGAAAACCTAGGCATTACCATTCAGGACATAGGCGTGGGCAAGGACTTCATGTCCAAAACACCAAAAGCAATGGCAACAAAAGACAAAATTGACAAATGGGATCTAATTAAACTAAAGAGCTTCTGCACAGCAAAAGAAACTACCATCAGAGTGAACAGGCAACCTACAACATGGGAGAAAATTTTCGCAACCTACTCATCTGACAAAGGGCTAATATCCAGAATCTACAATGAACTCAAACAAATTTACAAGAAAAAAACAAACAACCCCATCAAAAAGTGGGCGAAGGACATGAACAGACACTTCTCAAAAGAAGACATTTATGCAGCCAAAAAACACATGAAGAAATGCTCATCATCACTGGCCATCAGAGAAATGCAAATCAAAACCACTATGAGATATCATCTCACACCAGTTAGAATGGCAATCATTAAAAAGTCAGGAAACAACAGGTGCTGGAGAGGATGCGGAGAAATAGGAACACTTTTACACTGTTGGTGGGACTGTAAACTAGTTCAACCATTGTGGAAGTCAGTGTGGCGATTCCTCAGGGATCTAGAACTAGAAATACCATTTGACCCAGCCATCCCATTACTGGGTATATACCCAAATGAGTATAAATCATGCTGCTATAAAGACACATGCACACGTATGTTTATTGCGGCACTATTCACAATAGCAAAGACTTGGAACCAACCCAAATGTCCAACAATGATAGACTGGATTAAGAAAATGTGGCACATATACACCATGGAATACTATGCAGCCATAAAAAATGATGAGTTCATATCCTTTGTAGGGACATGGATGAAATTGGAAACCATCATTCTCAGTAAACTATCGCAAGAACAAAAAACCAAACACCGCATATTCTCACTCATAGGTGGGAATTGAACAATGAGATCACATGGACACAGGAAGGGGAATATCACACTCTGGGGACTGTGGTGGGGTCGGGGGAGGGGGGAGGGATAGCATTGGGAGATATACCTAATGCTAGATGACACATTAGTGGGTGCAGCACACCAGCATGGCACATGTATACATATGTAACTAACCTGCACAATGTGCACATGTACCCTAAAACTTAGAGTATAATAAAAAAAAAAAAAAAAGAAAAGAAAACCGGCACAAGACAAGAATTTCCTCTCTCACCACTCCTATTCAACATAGTGTTGGAAGTTCTGGCTAGGGCAATCACGCAAGAGAAAGAAATAAAGTGTATTCAATTAGGAAAAGAGAAAGTCAAATTATCTCTGCTTGCAGATGACATGATTATATATTTAAAACCCCATTGACTCAGCCCAAAATCTCCTTAAGCTGATAAGCAACTTCAGCAAAGTCTCAGGATACAAAATCAATGTGCAAAAATTACAAGCATTCCTATAAACCAATAATAGACAAACAGAGAGCCAAGTCATGAGTGAACTCCCATTTGCAATTACTACAAAGAGAATAAAATACCTAGGAATCCAACTAACAAAGGATGTGAAGGACCTCTTCAAAGAGAACTACAAACCACTGCTCAATGAATTAAAAGAGAACACAGACAAATGGAAGAACATTCCATGCTCATGGATAGGAAGAATCAATATTGTGAAAATGGCCACACTGCCCAAAGGGATTTATAGATTCAATGCTATCCCCATCAAGCTACCACTGACTTTCTTCACATAATTGGAAAAAACTACTTTAAAGTTCATATGGAACCAAAAAAAAGCCCGCATTGCCAAGACAATCCTAAGCAAAAAGAACAAAGTTGGAGGCATCACGCTACCTGACTTCAAACTACCCTTCAAGGCTACAGTAACCAAAGCAGCATGGTACTGGTACCAAAACAGATGCATAGACCAATGGAACAGAACAGAGCCCTCAAAAATAAAACCACACATCTACAACCATCTGATCTTTGACAAACTTGACAAAAACAAGAAATGGGGAAAGAATTCCCTATTTAATAAATGGTGCTAGAAAAACTGGCTAGCCACATGTAGAAAGCTGAAACTGGATCCCTTCCTTACACCCTATACGATAATTAAGTCAAGATGGATTAAAGACTTAAATGTAAGACCTAACACCATAAAAACCCTAGAAGAAAACCTAGGCAATACCATTCAGGACATAGGCATGGGCAAGGACTTCATGACTAAAACACCACAAGCAATGGCACCAAAAGCCAAAATAGACAAATGGGATCTAATTAAAGAGCTTCTGCACAGCAAAAGAAACTATCATGAGAGTGAACAGGCAGCCTACAGAATGGGAGAAAATTTTTGCAATCTACCCATTTGGCAAAGTGCTAATATCCAGAATCTATAAAGAACTTAAACACATTTACAAAAAAAAAAAATCAAAAAGTGGGCAAAGGATATGAACAGACACTTCTCAAGAGAAGACATTTATGCAGGCAACAGACATATGCAAAAATGCTTATCATCACTGGTCATCAGAGAAATGCACATCAAAACAGCAGTGAGATACCATCTCATGCCAGTTAGAATGGCAATCATTAAAAAGTCAGGAAACTACAGATGCTGGAGAGGATGTGGAAAAATAGGAACGCTTTTACACTGTTGGTGGGAGTGTAAATTAGTTCAACCATTGTGGAAGACAGTGTGACGATTCCTCAAGAATCTACAACTAGAACTACCATTTGACCCAGCAATCCCATTACTGGGCATATACCCAAAGGGTTATAAACCATTCTACGACAAAGACACATGCACACATATGTTTACTGTGGCACTAATCACAATAGCAAAGACTTGGAACCAACCCAAATGTCCATCAGTGGACTGCATTAAGAAAATGTGGCACATATACACCATGGAATACTATGCAGCCGTTAAAAAGGATGAGTTCATGTCCTTTGCAGGGACATTGATGAACCTGGAAACCATCACTCAGCAAACTGTCACAAGAACAGAAAACCAAACACCGCATGTTCTCACTCATAATGGGAGTTGAACAATGAGAACACATGGACACAGGGCGGGGAACATCACACACCGGGGCCAGTCTAGGGGTGGGGGGCTGGGAGAAGGATAGCATTAGGAGAAATACTAATGTGAATGACGAGTTGATGGGTGCAGCAAACCAACATGGCACCTGTATACCTACGTAACAAACCTGCACATTGTGCACATGTACCCTGGAACTTAAACTATAATAATAAAATATATATATATATAAAAAGAAATCAAATACCTCACTTATCAATTGTTAAAGATGTTGAATAATTCTTTAAGTTAAAATGAGCATACAATATTCTTAGGAGTAAAATTTCAAAACATGTCTTAAATTCATTAAGAAAATCTTCATTTTTAATGTGTGAAGGAGGAAGAGTTGATATTAATGAGAAATTTGTTTCTACATTGAATGTATAAATTAAATCAAGACTCAATTAAAGGGGAGTATAAATAAGGATTTTTAAATAATATATGCATACAATTTTAAGTTCATATATTATAAATTCATATATTCAAATACTGTTTTAAAAGTTTTAGAAAAAAAGTAACAAAGGACAAGTGCATACAGAAAATGCAGAGTAGAAATGAGTTAAACAGAAAGACGTGCTGTGAATACTTGCCTGACTTGTCCAGGGAGCAGGTGCAGGGCCCCTCCTTATTCTCAGGGATGCCCTGAGCACAGAGGCCTCCAGGTGAGCACAGGAGGGGCAGTGTGAGCGGCACCCACAGCTGGGGTGCTTCTCTCTAAAGGAGCACATCTGGGGTGGACTCCAGCCTCATCACAGTCAGATCCCACCGAGGCCCAAGCAGCCTCCTCTCTTGTCTTGAGATGGCCCAGGGACCCCGCAGGTGTGGGTGAAGGGCTTATACTCAGGGGCTCTTGGAAATGAGAAATGAGAGCTGCCAATACACTGTCCATCTGTCCTCTCTCCAACTCACCTGCCTCTCTTCCTCCTCCATCAGCCCCAGCATCTTCCCAGTGTCCAAGTCAGGCCTGGACCCCAAATCCTCCCCACCCAGCCTGTTCTCCTTCCTCTACTCATCACACATCCTGCAGGACAAGGCCAGGGGCTGGGGGTCCTGCAGAGCTGTGCCAGCTATTGATTTTGGTAGAAAATTGGAGACATTTTCTCTTGTACACGAGAGAGGGGAGACTCTCAACCAGCGGGGTTTTGTAAACTTTTGTTTTTTCCAAAATATTGTGTCTTTGTCTTACTAAGCTGAGATTCCAGGAGGGATGGGTAAAACTGCATGCACCTGCCCCCATCTCCGTTGGTTTTTTAACTCTTAACAAGTCTCAGTTATTGGGAGAATTAGGAGAGGGCCAGAGAGGGCTGTAGACGGGAGCAGGTCTAGGATGAGCCACATCCCAGATGCCCCAGAAGGTCAGAAATGAAGGGGCTTTGGGGCAGTCACATCCAGGCAGCTCCCCCTTATTCAGATGAGGAGTCCAGGGTGCAAGGGGAATGGGCTCTTTCAGAAGTTCCACCTCCCAAGGAGAGGCTGAGCCATCACAGACCCAGCCCCACCTCCCCGGGCTCCTCCCACCTGACTCCTAGACCAAGTACCTGACTGTGATCTCCCCTGACCCTGGCTCCCCCATGAGAGGTGACGGCTCCTGGGAATCCTGCTCAGGGAGGGGGAAAGATCCCTCTGCTCCGCTCATCAATGCTGAACCTCAGACACCTCCCTCCCCTCTGAACACCACGGAGGGAACACCTGCCCCATCCCTGAAGCCCCAGGAAGCCACGCAGACCACACCCTTACTGTCCACCCTCCCCGCTGCTGCCCTGGAAATCAGACCCTGAATATTGGAGGTAGCATTGAGATGAGTCTAGAAACTTCTCTTGAGCTGGGAGTGGCTGGTTTTGTCACCCATGGGGTCAGGACATAGGGTTTGGGACCCCCAGAGGCTCTGATTCTGAGGTGGAGACATCAGGAGGGGAGCGGGTGGGGTCTCCGTCTTCCACCCTCAGTCTAATCACATCTCTGAGGTTCACCACCCGCCCCCCCGCCCCCGTCTCCTCCCAGCCCTTCATGCTCTTTACTGAGACTTCAGGGGTGGGAGCCAGGGGTGGGAGGTCCCTGCCTATTTCCACTCTCCCATGGGCTGGACCCTCCCCTGTGGACCCTCCCGCTTCACTCCCCTCATTCATTATTGTCCCAGAGCTCTGCTGGGGGCAGGGCCTGAGCTGAGCCTTTGAGCTCGGAGAGGACAAGATCAGGGCCCTCACCTGAGACCACGAGCTCCAGGGGGTCACTGGGGAGAGACAGCAGGTAGGGGTTGGAGCTGAGTGAGCTGTAGCATCTGTAGGTCCCCACGTGGGCTGAGGTCACAGGACCCATGCGGAATTCAGCCTGGTTCTGCTGAGCTTGGTGCTCTGATCTCAGATGCAGTGGGGGATGGCCTGCCCCCTCCTTGGTCAGAAGGAAAGTGTGGAACTGCCCCCGTGACTGACACAGCAGGGTCACGTTCTTTCCTGGGGCTACTGTGGGGACCGGCTGCACCGAGAGAGAGGGTCTGTCATAGAACTGTCCTAGAGAGAAGAAGGATGGGTGAGGGGCTGCCCCACCTTGTTCTGAGCTGAGACCTCCCCAGGCCTCTCCCTGGGACCCTTAGTCTCTCTGTCTCTGTTTTCTCTGAGTCTCCCCTCCCCGCCCATCCCCTGTCTCTCTCTGTCTCTCCCTCCCTTGGGACCCCCAACCCTCATTCCGGCCATCACCACCTGGGCTCCCCTGGCAGGGCCTGTGCAGAGCCTGGGTCCCTGACTGAACCCGCTGGGCTCCTCACCTGTGATCAGGATGTCCAGGGGGTCACTGGGGGCCGACCACTCGGAGGAGAGGTTGTGTGCACTGTAGCATCTGTACTGGCCCCCGTGGGAGGGGCTCACAGGGCCCAGGGTGAAGTTGGCCTGGGAGAGCCCAGCCTGGGGCTGCCAACCAGGGCGCTGGAGGAAGTCACGTTCTCCCTCCTTATACAGAACAAATCTGTCGTAGCCGACATCAGAGACACACTGGAGGGTCAGGCTCTCCCCAGGGGCCACCATAGGACCTGGCTGCACTGAGAGTGATGGCTTCTTAGAAACACCTGGGAAAAGGTGTTCATGGTTTCCAGGAGCCGACCCTCAGGCTTCCCCACAAACCCTCCCTCTCCCCCGCTGATCTTCCTGTGTCTCCGGCCCCAGGAGCCCTGAGCCCTCTCGCCCCAACATCATCCCACCTGGAGCTGCCCTGAGACGCGGCTGCTCCCCACCTGCCTGGAGACTCAGGGAGACTCAGGGAACTCCAAGCAATTCTGTGAATTTCTCACCTGGGACCAGGAGCTCCAGGAGATCACTGGGTAGAGACCACACATAGGGAGAGTTCGAGTCATAAGCATAGCACCTGTACGACCACCTGCGACTCGGGCTCACGGGGCCCACGGAGAAGATGGCCCAGGACCACCCACGGGCATGGGAATGGGAGTTCAGGCGTTGTGGGTGTTCATCTTCTCCTTCCTTACACAGAATGAAGCCGTCAAATGCCACCTGTGAGACACACTGGAGGGTCACGTTCCCTCCTAAGGTCACCACAGGGCTGGGCAGAGCTGAGAGGGTGGGTTTGCTGTAGGCTCCTAGGAGAGAAGGAGGCACTGTGTTAAATGGGGCTCCCACCTCCCACATCATCCCCAGGGTTGAGCTGTGAGAGCGGAGATGCCCCTGAGAGCCGACCCCCTTCCTGAGGGCAGAGCCTGGGGCTGGGACTCCTGAGTGTCCTCTCACCTGTCACCACCAGCTCCAGGGGGTCACTGTACTCTGATGAGTGATTGTGGCTGTAGTACTGACAGTGATACCGCCCTGCGTGTTCCCAGGTGATGGATGGGATGGGGAACTGGCCATTCTTCCCAGGCTCTTGTATCCGTCTAACCCAGGATGCTGATTTGTTTTCCCTATATAGATGGTACTCCTCAGCCTGAAGGCTCCCCTGACACCTGAGGGTCACAGGACTTCCCTGGATGATCACAGAGCCTGGCTCAGCCCAGAGGGTGGGCTTGGGGAGGTGCCCTGGAAGGAAATCAGAGTTCAGATTCTAAGTCATTTCCCACCCAACAGATCTCAGCTCTCAGCTGCAGGACCCTCCAGACACCCCCATCAGTCAGCCCAGAACTGCTATTCCCCATCCCCAGCTGCACGGGGGTGGCCCCTTGTCCCTAGTGAGGAGGAGGGACCTGGGACAGCTGGGAACAGACTCACCTGCCTGCACGTGGGTCCTGGGGCCCAGACTCAGCCCTGGAAGAGAGTTCCCTGTGAGGGATTTTTCCCCTGAAGCCTGGGCAGGTCCTCCCCTCCCTGGGATCTTTGTGAGCCCCTGGGGTCTCCTTAGGGACCAGAGTTTGGCTGTGGGGTGAGGTCCCTCCTAGGTTAGAAGCTCCCCTCCCTCTTCAAATCTCACCGAGACAGATCAGGACCGTGAGGATGGGGGTCATGGCGTCTCCTCCCACTGCCCTGCTCTGCGGATGGATGAGCCCTCAGTGCTGGCAGGACAGAGAGACGCACAGGGTGTGGACACTCGGAGGCTGGATCCTTCTTGTCATGGGGTTTTGTTATGTGCAACCACACAGGAAGTGCAACTGCCCTCTCAGGAGCCTGGCTGTCATACCTTTAGGGCTGAGGTGGGGGCAGGCACCAGGCCCTCTGCAGACATTTCAGACTGTAATGGGGTCTTTCCTGCCCCCCAGCCACTGTCTGTCTGGTTTATCCTCATCTCCTTGAGACCTGGGATGTAGCAGCAAATAGAACTGGTGCCCTCCTGCGTCTGCCCTTCCAGATGAGGGTGAGCAGAGGCTTCCTCTTCCTTCTCAGAGCTTCCCCATGGGGTCTCCCTCCCTCCTTCAGCCCGTCCATCAGCTCAGCGTTGCGGGGTCCTTACCATGGCGGTCGTCCCTCCAGCCCTGGAGATGCTTCAGGGAAAACCCAGGTCCATGCTGCAGTTAGACTCAGATCAGCAGAGACGCACCTGACACCTGGCTGTGTAGCTCAGGTTGAGCTGCGTGTGGCAGTGAGCACAGAGGAGTAATGCAGGGTCTACCATGGTGGCTCATGCCTGGAATCCCAGCACTTCAGGAGGCTGAGGTGGGTGAAGGCTAGAGGCCAGGAGCTTCAGATTACCCTGGGCCACATAGCAAGACCTTGTCTGTATAAAAAAAGCAAAAAATTAGCCAGGCATGGCAGCTCACATCTCTAGTCCCAGCTACTCAGGAGGCTGAGGTGGGAGGAATACTTCGGCCTGGGAGGCGGAGGCTGCAGGGAGCTATGATCACCCCTTAGCATTCCAGCCTCAGTGACAGAGTGAGACCCTGTCTCAAAAGGGGAAATGCAGGGATTAACTATAATAAAACATATTTGTTCTGTCTTGAGAGTGTGTGTTTCCTTCCTACCAAACCGTCCCTCTCCTGTACTTCCCCTTTTCTCTTTGTTGCAACATCACCCACCCCCACCCCGGGAATGAGGCTCTGAGTCGGTCCCGCCCCCTCAGTGTCCCTTGCGTCCTTGGCCTTCCCTCGGCACCTCCGTCCATGTTCAGAGTTTTCAGAAGAATTTGTTAGGTCTGTAATCTGATTCTGGGGAAGGTGAGCTGATTTGTATTTAATTCCTGATTATCATCCAGGGTTTATGTGACTTTGGACATGAATGTCACCTCTGAGCCTGCTGTCGTGAACCCCACTCATCACAGTGGCTGTGGGGGTCAGTGGTGCCCAGGACATGGGAGGCTCAGCCATGGTGAATTTCCAGACCAGTTCAGACAGGAGGGTGGGGACGGGAGAGGATCCTGGTGCTGGGCTCCACAGTCCAGGAGGATGATTGACGCCCCCACTCAAGAGCCCACATCGGCTCCAAATACCATGAAATTCTCCTTGTGATACATCTGAAATATGCAGATCATCACAGCCACGGGCACAGAAAGAGGAAGAACAGTTCCTCACATTGAGACGCATCCCCTTCCATGAGCAGAGTTCAATGCTGAGTGGCCACAGGTGTCTGGGACCACCCAGGGTCATTAGGGAGGAGGAGGCTCCCACCTCCGTGTGGGACAGAAGAGGAACCCCACGTCCTCCCAGGCAGGGAGGGGTCAGGGCTCTGGGTGACGCTGGAAGCTGTGGCTCCCCCTCCCCTGTGTGTGTGGACAGGCGCTGGGGGGTCTCTGCTCACTCACTGGAGGCCATGGTCAGTGCTCAGCCCCTCCCCTGTGTGTGAGAAACAGATTCAATCCACGGTGGTCTGACATGGGCGTCTGCTCTGCCCCACAGGTGAGTGTGAGACTGGCGTTGGTCCCATCCCTGCTGGGCACAATCTTGAGCTGACACTGAGTTTGGGGGAGTGGGGAGGAGCAGCGGCAACAATCCCCTTCATCAGGCTGATGCCTGGACAGCCGTGGGAGAAACCCTTTATGAAAGGTCAGGTGCGTGGGAGGAGCCGCCCCACAGGAATGACAACCAAGATACATGAGGAAAACACAGACAGTTGTTGAAATGCATTAGACAGACATTGTGAAGGTGAATTAATTTTTATATTAATTTATATATTATATAAAAGAGTCCCAAGCCCTTCTCAGCCTTTTCCCCTGCTATCATTGCTACCGAAACTTTGGGGCTTCTGTCTCCACCCTCAGGTGCCCCCCTCTTCCTGTCACAGAAGTTTTCTTCCTGGACATCAGCAGCTGGGCTGGACCCGGGGAAGGACATGGGAGTGTGAGGGCCAGTGAGGAGGTTGTGGGGGTAGGTGGGCGTCTGGGGTCTTCGGGCAGAATTACCTCCTCCACAGGCCTCTGTCGTTCTCTGACTCCACAGTCCCCACAGGACTTTGGAAATCAGCCTCCCTCTGGGCTGGGTGAAGAGGGACAGAGCTTCAGCCTTGGGATCATGAGAGCCACCTGCCCTGCACAGAGAACTCAAGAGAAAAGAAGGAAAGCTGAAAACACACTTGCATAGATGTTTTAAAAACGTCGTTAGATGAAACAACCAAAAGAATAAGGTATGTTCATGTATGTTCACATTTATTCTCTTCTTTCTAGGTTTTCTCACTGGGAAATGCTGGAGCCGTTTTTCTGAGCTGAACTTTCCCATCTGGAATCTGTCTGGTTGGTGGTGCCCTGACCCCACCTTCAGTCAGCCCATGGGTCTCCCCGCCAACTTCCTACTCACCCAATGTCCTGTGTTGGCCCTGAGGCCAGTGTCAGAGGAGAAAGAAGAGGAGGAAGAGCACCAGCTGAAGGCCACTGAGACCCCGATCACAACCCCCAGGTGCTTTCCCAGACCCTGAGGTAGGACTGTGAAGGTGTACTGATGCCCTTGCCAAATGAAAGGAAACTGTTCCTGATGGTTCTTATTAACAGTGATGGAGAAAAAAATATTTAACACATCAATGGCTGAATACTGGGTATCAGGGGATGTATTAATTTGCTCAAACTACAAAACCACATCTGTTACAACATCTTCAATTGGATCTGATTAAGCTTACAATAATCTAATATCATTATCCAAGATCCCTGCGTCTTCTGTGGAGGTAAAATAGGAGAGGTGAATGGCAAGGTTGTGGGAATCACTGTCTCTGCACGCTTCAAGTCCCAATATATGGAATTCCTCCAGGAATGCAAGACTGCTTTTGGTTTACAGTTTAGCTGGGAAGAGGCAGTTCTAGTGGCTCCCACTGGGCCCACTCTAATAACCCTCACTCAACAAGTGAGGGAACCACTGTGGGGGTTGTGATAGTTGTTGAATATGTCTATTCCAATGTTGCCCTCTGGAACTGGGGATACAGCCACAGGGTGGGTTTAGGGATACACTGGATTCACTATGGAACACGTGAGCTCAAACTCCACCAATCACCTTGCCTCTAGCAACCACTACTCTGACTGGAGGGCCACAGTGACGTTTCGGGTCTCCTGGAATTAATGTCAGTTCATACCCCATTTCCAGTAATGCCCAAATTATCTGATTATTTTCCCCAAGGCTCCATTGCCATTGTAAAAGGCTGCAGGTCCCTTTAACCAAAGTCCAGGAGAAAGATTAAGAGTATATATTCTTGGTAGTGTACCAGGGACAGTGCCCTCACGGGAACCCTGCCTGGGATCCCTTTAATTCAGGGGATTCTGGCTCTATGAACTGACTCAGTGCTAGCCATTGATTGAGAGACTGTGGCTCTCTGCTTTTATGATTTGGGTTGACTTTTGTTCACTTGACATAGAAATTTTCTGCTTATACAGATCAAGTGAGAATTTAGTAGGTTTCCTATCTATCTCCCTTGTTAGAATGCCGTGATCAACTAGCCAACACCATAAGTCTGCGGGACTATTCCGATCGCTGGTTTGACTTTGCTGTCCATCATGGTAACCAAACCCACCTTGCCTTTGGTGGCTGAGTTCCTCTACTTGGCCCCTGTCTCTCTGGGGGCCAAGAGGTAGGGGCCAAATTACTCCCATTACATTTAGATTTTTTAAAATTCAGCAGTTCCACTGTAGGTTCCAGCTTCCAGAGAAGAGAAATCACAGAGCTCCTCAAGGATGCCAGAGCTCCCTTTGCAATATTGTTGAAAGATACATCTTCTGATGCTTCCAATGTGGGTTACTAGGTTTGATACATGCATGGTAACATTACAGTCTTCCTAAGCCTTTAAGTTAATTCCTCTGCAGCAAACCAAGGCATGTCTGGCATTTTGAGTTTATTTACTGCAGGCCAGCTTTTGCTCCATGTTTCAGCCAATCAACCAGACAAACTGGTAGAATCATTTCCGGTTCTCCAAGATGCAACATTAAATGTGCAATCTCTGTTTAGTGAGCTTATATATATAAATTCGGTCCGACTCAACTTTATGTTCTTTTCACCATTATCCTAAACCCTTAATATCCACTCTGACACGTGTTCCTCAGACTTCTGTATGGATAAATTAGAAAAATAAATAAATTACTTTGGAGTGTAGCACAACTTCTCATGAGCCACACTTTGTAACACACTTTTCAGGGCCTGCGAGACTTGAATCTAGTTATAGGTCTAGAAGCAAAGAGGGTTGGTCAGGATGTATCCTAAGGAGAATCAGCATAGCCTTGCATGGCAACTGCCTCAGGGGAGGCCAGTATTGTTTCCTCAGACAGTACAGGGTTAATCTCCTCCCTTGCAGATAGAGAGGATGCTTCTATTGGCAAAGAAGACTCATTCAAAGTTAGGGGCTTGATATCCTCAGCTGTATCAGGGTCTTAATATACATCCTCATTCCATCTTTCAAGATCTCACCCATTCCTGACCAATGGCATTACTTGAACAGTAGATACCCTGTGAGGCTGGGGACTCCGCTTGAATTGTAATACAGCCACTTCAAGGATGAGATTCTCGGTTTGATTTTCAGCAATCTCACCCCTACAGCTACAGATGATAAGAGTCTCTTTCAGGGCACACATAGAAACCTCAGATATTTATGTAGTGGTGCTTGAACTGGAAATTCTAATCTCTGGGCTCATCTTTTTCTTTACCTCTTTATCCAATGACAAAACAGCCACACATACTATACTTAATAGTTTGACAACAATCTTCAAAGGTGTATGCAAGGCCACCCAGATTCTCGTTCCTTATAAGTGTAGGATTAGGAGCATCTAGTGGTGTACCCCTAATGCCACATCATGCCACGGACTATCACAGACTTCCTTCCTTCCTTCTTCCTTCCTTCCTTTCTTCCTTTCTCTTTCTTTCTCTTTCTGTTTCTGTCATACTGTCTTAATGTCTTTAAATCTAATCAGACAGCCAGTTCCATAAACCTCAGAAACAGTAGACAAAACATATTAAGATTCAGTTCATCTAGAATCATTCCTATGATCAAATTATGTATTTGTAAGTGTTCTCCAGAGAAACAGAACCGATATATGTACATATGTGCATATCTATATCTACTTATCTTGCTATCTAGGAATGGGTTCATGTAATTGTTGGCACTTGGTGAGTCCAAAATCTGCAGGACAAACAGCCTGAAGACTTGGGGAAGAGTTTCAGCTCCAGTCAGCCAAACAACCTGCTTGCAAAATTTTTTACTATTCTGTGGAGCACATTACTTCTTTTCCTTCTCACAATGCACTTATTATCTTTTAACACAATGCATACTCTATCTATTATTTATTGTGTGTAATGTCCACTTTTCTTGACTACAATATTGACTTAATACAGGCAGGCTCTTTGGAAGTTTTCATGTCCTTTATTCTGAGACATCTCATACACCATGTTTGACACAGATCAGATACTTCACATGTGCCTATGGAAACAGGGAATAAAAGTTTCTCCACTCCTGCCAAGTTCATTTCTATCACAGAGACAATTTGTTCCAACTTGATTCTTTTCTTCTCCCTTCCAGGCAGCCTTTTGTACAAAGTTCTCAGAATAGAAAAAGAATAACATTCAGGAGGCAAGACCCCAAGGTTGGGAAGAAACACATCCAGACTCATTGCCTCCTCCTTCATCTCAGTTCTTAGACATCAGGGTCCTCATCTGATATCTTATTTCCATGTGGTTTCTCCAAGAATTTCAGAGATGTTTCTTTCTTTCTTTCTTTCTTTCTTTCTTTCTTTCTTTCTTTCTTTCTTTCTTTCTCTTTTTCTTTCTTTCTCTTTCTTTCTTTTTCTTCCTTCCTTCCTTCCTTTCTCTTTCTCTCTCTCTCTCTGTTTCTGTCATACTGTCTTTATCTTTTTTCTGTCTCTCTTTCTCTCTATCTCTTTCTATCTCTGTTTCTGTCTCTTGCTCTCTTTTTCTCAGTTGAATGGATCTAATCACTACTATTAGCTCTCAGTCATTTGAACATTTCAAAAATGTTTTTCTGAGAGCATCTCAAATCCCCATGCAAATACTGTCAGTGTACTCACAGATGATATAATAATTACCTGTCAGCAAGAAGATGACCTCATGGTGTCCCAAACCTTTATATCAGGGATAAGATGTCCCCTTTTGCACAGGTGCCCAGACTGTGACCATGAAGGCTACTTCTTCAGCAAGAAATGGCATTTGGTAAGAGGAATTTTCTTTGATACAGAGCCATATTCTCAGGGAATTAGAGTGTTTATCATAAAAAACTTGGTGTGTACACAAAATTATTGTTTAGTCCTAGCATCAGCATGGACCATTAAAAAAAAACCCTTAAAGTAATAATATTTTCTGAGGGTTCCTGAGACATAGAATTGCCCCAGCCTTCCCGCTCAAGAGTTGCCTGGCATCTCTTATTTTCCTCTTCTGTCATAGCCCCATCCGAAACACTGTCTCTGAATGAACACGCCAAGCCTCACAGTCTTCACTCTGCTGCTTGTATGAGGGTTAAGAGTGTGTCAGCTCTTGCCACCTGCTTACACACTTCCTGTCTAATGACACCTGCAACTTAGGAGATTTAAAATTACCTGTGGTGGTTGCGTGTTGTGCTTTGGTTGGCAATGGCATATGTCTCCGGAAACTTTCTGTCATAAGTGCAAAGCCATACACCTCCATCTCTTTCCCATGGGTTCTGGGGATTACCATGCACTTAACTGCAACAATAATTTCATGTCCGTAGAAAATCCTGGAACCAGTGTAAAGAAGGTAAACTCTATCTCTCACTTCACCAAATAGAATCTCACCTTTTAAAGTGAGTGACTGTTTTCAAGGCTTAGGGAGCAGGGATAATCAGGGACTATAAATGTGTTCAGGTATAAATGCATCTCTGACTCTTAGCCAGCTTTAAAAGTGCTGTGCTACACCCCAAACCTTTGCACCTGGTCCAGATCCGTTGGAATTTAAAGATCAAGCGTTCTAAAGCTGTCACTCCACTCAGTCTTAAAACAGTGAGCACTTAGTCTGTTCTGACAGCTAAGATCCCAGCCAGAAGAGCCGTGGGGTGGGGATTTTCCTGCCAGGATCTCAGGAAGTAAGATGTGCCTCATTTAGCCTACTATTGTGCCTCTCTGCAAATCACTTTGATAAGAGATGAAACAGAGGTTTTCATTTCCCCACGAATGACTGCCATTCTTAAAGAGCAGATGAGACCCATAGTCCCAGCTGGTCTAGGACTCACAGATATTTTCTTGTGTCCATGATTTTCCATCATTTTGTTGTTCTCACTGCTGCTCAACTAAGTTTAGTGGAATTTAAATTTAGTTGTATGTTTCCTTTATGATTCGTGCATAGCTCCTTTCTTTCTCTTGTTTGGATTTGCTGACCAATGTCTACTATAAATTTGCTAAATTTCTCATACTTGTCACAAGACATTTTCTTTCCAAGAAAATTTTGAATAAGTTTGTGTGTATATGCTACATAAAATGCATGGTTTTATTTCTCACTCTCCTACTTTTCTCCCTGTCCACTGGGACCAAACTGTTATCATTATTATATAGCCTTCCAGAAACGGTTTTGATTTTCTAAAGCATCTATTTCTCTAAACTAATCTACACTTTACCAAGATTCTAGTATTTTCCAAATTTTAATGACAGTTAAATCCCATTGTAGCTTAACAACGTTTTAATTATTAAACCAGTTAAAAAATTATTATAAAAATGCTGTTCTTGTTTTGGTAAGTCCTAATGTTTTTGCAATGCATCTACATTTTTAGGTATTATAAAATAGTATGTCAAGTTAAATATGGCTAAAATACTCTATCTTCTACTTCATAGTATCATATAAGGTTTCACTCGCATCTCACATTCATTCATTTCAAACTGAGAAACCATTACTCTTCATTTAATTTTCACCCAGATATAAAAATCCATAGCTGCAAGAAGAATAGTAATTATGGGCCAGGCACGGTAGCTCATGCTTGTAATCCCAGCACTTTGGGAGGCCAAGGCGGGTTAATCATCTGAGGTCAGGAATTCAAGACCAGCCTGGCCAACATGGTAAAACCCCTTCTCTACAAAAATGCAAAAATTAGCCAAGCATGATGGTGGGTACCTGTAATCCCAGCTACTCATGAGGCTGAGGCAGGAGATTCGCTTAAACCCAGGAGGCAGAGGTTGCAGTGAGCCAAGATTGTGCCACTGCACTCCAGCCTGGGTGACAGAGCAAGACGCCATCAAAAAAAAAAAAAAAAGAAGAATAGTAATTATGTACAGTGACGCTATGACCATAAATTAAACATGTAACAAAAAAATGGATTTCAAATTTAAAGAAATCTTTTTTAAATTTTATTTTGCATTTGGTTGATAATCTCCGAGAAAAACATATATTTGTGAGGCTTTTTTTCTTACCCACAGAAATCCTTGTTTACATAATTTCCCTACTTAGATAACAAATGATATTTTATTTTACTGTTTAGAATGAGCACTTAAAATATTAATGACAGCCTCCTTTTTTCAATTTTGATATATAAAATATTTCTAATATTCTGAGTTCCATATTATATGTCGTTAGTCTTAAATAAGTTTTACTATTTGAAATATTGTAATATTTTTAATTGTTCTATGGCTCATGTTTTAAAATTGCTTACTAAGTATTTGCCTCAACTCATGTTTTAAAATATATATACCTGTTTCTATATGCTTAATCTACTAGATATTAATTTATATGGTTATATGCCTTTACATAAATATTTTTATTTGCCTAAATGGCATCCAGTAGAAACTGGTTTTAGTTTTTAAACTAAATGTCAAAATATTTAAATCCATGTATTTAACAAATATTCTTCCAACTCATTTTGGAATTAACTTTTACTCAAATACTAAGTTCTTAATTTTTTTATACCTATAATTCTCCTGGTCTCTAATCTTTGGAATTCAAAGATCAAACAAAATTTCTATCTCTGATCTGCATCTATTTCTTTACATATCTACCTATCAAATACTTCACATTATTTTGTAGACTGTTTTTTTCTTTGGTTTACTATAACCAATTTTTATCTGTAATTTTAAAATATTAGATAAAACTATTTTTAATATTATAATTAATTTTCTTTCTGTGTCTTTTTTTTTTTTTGACCAGTACAGGACATTTGGGAATGTTAGTATTTGGTTGTAAAATACATTGTTGATGCACACATATTTTGTTGGTCAAATTATTTAAGATATTGACTCACTTCACGCAGTATAGTGGTTTATTGCATTTTGTCAGGTCTTAAGCACCCTTTCTTTTTTTTTTAATAGTATTTCTTCCAGGGGCCGGGCGCGGTGGCTCACGCCTGTAATCCCAGCACTTTAGGAGGCCGAGGCGGGCGGATCACGAGGTCAGGAGATCGAGACCATCCTAGCTAACAGGGTGAAACCCCGTCTCTACTAAAAATACAAAAAAATTAGCCGGGCTTGGTGGCGAGCGCCTGTAGTCCCAGCTACTCGGGAGGCTGAGGCAGGAGAATGGCGTGAACCCGGGAGGCGGAGCTCGCAGTGAGCCGAGATCGCGCCACCGCACTCCAGCCTGGGCGACAGAGCGAGACTCCGTCTCAAAAAAAGTATTTCTTCCACATTTACTCAATTGAGTGGTTGATTTGTACAATTACATACATTTTCTTAAGCCATTTTTTCATCAAAATTGCAAATACAATACTGCCTCTACAAAGAAGAATTTACAAATTATTTTTTACCCAGTGTTGTATGTATTTGCACAACTCATAAATATTAATAAATATCTGTTGTATTCTATGTAGCAGTTTATTAAGCAACTATGAAACAGAATTGTGTCCAAATGTTACAAAGGTAATATTTTGATTGCCAAAATATACATTCATGTTTAAACATTTTTTTTCAATTCTTAGTTGGATTTACTAGAGATATATTATATTTTAGAAATGGGTGAGGCACTGTGGCTCATGCCTGTAATCCCATCACTTTGGGAGGCCATGGTGGGCGGATCACCTGAGGTCAGGAGTTCAAGACCAGCCTGACCGACATGGTGAAACTCCGTCTCTACTAAAAATTCAAAATTAGCCGGGCATGGTGACACATGTCTGTAAGCCCAGCTACTCAGAAAGCTGAGGCAAGAGAATCACTTGAACCCAGAAGGTGGAAGTTGCAGTGAGCCGACATTGCACCATTGCACTCCAGCCAGGGCAACAAGAGAGAAACTCCATCTCAACAACAACAACAAATTAAAAATTAAAATATGGTGAATTTCAGGGTTGCGATCTTGTTTCTGAACAATTTCCATGTGCTGCTAATTATATAACTGTAATAGTAAAAAGGGGTGCTTTTTAATATTGAAAAATAGTAAAAATAGTAGAAGAGATAGTGACCCTTAATATATCACAGGTTTGTCCATCACTGAGCTCAGGAGGCAGTGCTCGTAGGTCTCACCTAAATAACAGACTCATTTTGTTTTTCCACTTTGAGTATTTTTAAGGCACATATTAAAGATGTATACCTTGACGACTTTATATATATAGTGAAATAATCACCACAATCCATCACCTCACTTGTGTGTGTGGTAAAACTACTTAGAATCTACTATTTTAGCAAATTTCAAGCGTATAGTACAGTACTCTTACCAATAGTTTTCATTCTATACATTAGATATCGATAATTTATTCATCTTGGAGAATTAAAACGTTGTACCCCTTGGCCAGGCACAGTGGCTCACGCCTGTGATCCCAGCAGTTTGGGAGGCTGAGGCGGAGGGATCACCTGAGGCAAGGAGTTCAAGACCAGCCTGGGCAACACAGCGAGACCCCCATCTCTACCAAGGATACAGAAGGTTAGCCAGGCGTGGTGGTGCACGCCTGTAGTCCCAGCTACCCAAGAGGCTGAGGTGGAAGGATTGACTGAGCTTGGGAGGTTGAGGCTGCAGTGAGCTGTGATCACACCACTGGGCTCCAGTCTAGGAGACAGAGCAAGACCTTGCCTCAAATAATTAAGTAAATTTGTTAATGCTTAAAAAAATGCTGAATAATATTTTATGATAGGTATATATCACATTTTCTCTATCCATTCATCCATCGATGAACATTTATGTTGTTTTCGTATCTTGGCTACTGTGAATAATGGTGCAATAAATATAGGCGTGCAACACCTCCTCAGTATTTTGATTTCAATTGCTCTGGCGAAGTATCCAGCAGAGAAATGCTGTGTCGTGTAGTTCCATTTTAATTTTTTGAGGAATCTCTATGCGTTTTTCAAAATGGCTGCACCAATCTGCATTTTTATTAATGGTATTCCAGGGTTCCTTTTTCTTCACGCCCTTCGAAGCACTTACCTTCGTTTGCCTTTGTTATCATCCTAACCAGAGAGGTGATGCCTCACTGTGATTTTAATGCGTTTTCCTCATGATTAGGTATGTGGAGCCTTTTTCTAAACCTGCCGTCCATTCCTGTGTCTTTGGAAAGATGTCTATTCGGCTCCCATGAGTCTGTGGGTCAGATCTGCAGCCATTTTGTTAGATCTGCGTGATGGCTGCTGTGAGCGCTCACAGCTTCCGGTGCTCCCGCCTCCTCCAAGACTATTCCGCCATTCCAGTCCCCTCGACGATCTGGTGCTGAGAGGCTGACGTGGGCAGTTTCCCCTGAGGCTGAGGAACCTGGGTGTTCCCTCTGCTTTCACTTTCCTCTGTGGGAGAGCTCGCAGCCCGCGGAGTCTCTCCTGGCACTGAACTGTGCCTCCCTGGGGAAGAAGAGATGCAGAAAGAAGAGAAAAGCTGTTCTTTCTCTTTTCTTCAAAAATCTTTTTTTTAATTTTCAAATATATTGCTTTATGCCATTTCAAAAACAAACCTGCACGTTGTGCACAAGTACCCTAAAACTTAAAGTATAATAATAATAAAATAAAAAAAGAAAAAATAAAAAAATAAAAATAAATGCAAGACACTGGGAATATATTGCAGATCAACATAACTCTCCCTGTCTCCAATGAGTCTAGACGTTTTGAGTAATAAAAAAGTGAAACAGGGCTAGTGAATAAAGCTTGATTATAGCATTCTGCTATACTATTACCTAATTTTGTAACTATTTCTTGTATCTTATTCTGCAATTTTTTGCTCGTTGTGGTGCTGGCAACTCTCACTGCACTTCTAGGTTGTCACAGAAATATTTCTGGTCCTGGATGGCGGTCACAGCTGATGTTTCTGTGGGGCTATGAGGAACAGAATCACGTAATCCACCGTCTTGGAATTCCACTCCTCCTGCCTTGGTTTTAGCGGTAATTTTTTAAACAAAAATTAAAGATTTTGAAAATATGAATCTGAGGGCAAGATAACACAAAAGTTTTTTTAAAAAATTAGATCTGACACAGTAAGTGACTCATTTGTTTGCGTCTTGCATTCTCCAGCTTGCATTCCTGCCCCCATGGCTTTGTCATCAACAGGATCCATCCAGTACTACATTCACCACGAACCTGAAGTCTAAGGGTTTGGGAGGCCATTGATGTTTATTGCTTGTACACTCAGTGTACAGATTTTGCAACTCTGTCCATCTTCCAGTTTGGAAACTATGTCCTGTTTCACTTTGGAAGTATACACATATTTTCATGAATATACGTGCAGTGCAAAAATATTTTCGGCCGGGCGCGGTGGCTCACGCCTGTAACCCCAGCACTTTGGGAGGCCGAGGCGGGCGGATCAAGAGGTCAGGAGATCGAGACCATCCTGGCTAACACGGTGAAACCCTGTCTCTACTAAAAATACAAAAAATTAGCCGGGCGTGGTGGCAGGCGCCTGTAGTTCCAGCTTCTCGGGAGGCTGAGGCAGGAGAATGGCGGGAACCCGGGAGGCAGAGGTTGCAGTGAGCCGAGATGGCGCCATTGCACTCCAGTCTGGGGGACAGAGTGAGACTCCGTCCCAAAAAAAAAAAAAAAAAAAAAAAAAAAAAAAAAAAAAAAAAAAAAAAAAAAATTCACATATAATTCATAAACCCAAAGACAAAACCTAGGTAAAAAATAAACTAATCTTATACCAAGTTAAGGTTTCACTAAACAAAGATGAATTATTCCCACAGAATAATCTGTAGATTATTCAGATTATGCAGATTATTCAGACTAAAAATGGTCTGAAATTTTCTGCAGAAATCTTCTACAGAGAAAAGAATGTTTCCTGTGGAATACTTCAGATAGAAAAGGGAGATACTGGTTCTTGCGTCCATTTCCACTTTTGGAATGTGGTAATTTGGTGCTGTAAATGAGGTATTTTGTTTGTTTGGCTTATTTTCTTTTGTTTTAGCACTAGTAAACATATATGGTTTATATATATTCATTTATTTCAATCCATTGAAATATTATTTGATGCTATAAATATTCCATTCTTTGTCAGTGGGATCCTTCATGATTGCCTTTCTGTTTAAGTCAAATGAATTTGAAGGTAATTGTGACTCCTTTGTTCTCTTGTATAATAAGGGGTTCTGAGTTCATTTCATGCATTCTGTCTTAATGTGGACTCACCTATTTCCTCAAACAGAAATAAAAAACATTTCACTATCTAAGTATATTTTAAGATTAAATATTTTCGATGATATATGTATTTACTATACATCGTCAAAATTATTTATTATAATAATCATATATATTATTTGATTATTTAAAAATTTTAAAAAATTATAATATAAAATGAGGTATATGCAATCGTCAAAATTCTTTATTACAGTAATAATTATAAATCAATATATTATATATCATATTTGATTATTTTAAAACATTAAAAATCTATAATATAAAATGATGTATAATATGTATTACTTATAAAACATAGTTAAATAATTTTGCTTAAAATTCAGTGGAAATAATTCACCTTTGTTTAGTAAAATCTTAATTTGGTGTTAAGATTAGTTTCATTACTCTTTTTACTTAGGTTTTGTCTTTAGGTTCATAAATCGTATGTGAAAATATTTTGGCACTACACCTATTCAAGAAAATATATGTCTATTTCCAAACTGAAACAACAAACAAAGCACAATGAGGTTAGTCTAGCTTCATCCCATCTCCTCTGCTGTTTTCTCCCTCCGTCACAAGTACCTAGGGTTTTGTTGTGGTTTTTGTTGTCGTTTTGATTTTGTTTTTATTTTTGTTGAAACGGAGTCTTGCTCTGTCACCCAGGCTGGAGTGCAATGGCACGATCTCAGCTCAATGCAACCTCCGCCTCCTGGGTTTAAGCCATTCTTCTGCCTCAGCCTCCCAAGTAGCTGAGTGTACCCAGTTTTAAAGGTTTTCATGTATTCTTTCATTTTTAAAATGTAAAATACAAACACACACACAGAAAAGCATAGCAATATACTAGTTCTCTCTGGCTCTTTCTCAAAGAAAGCTAATGACTAATAATGTCCTGAGTGTTGTCTTTTTCTTTTCTAACTCCCCACATAGCTATGTGTCCTGGAGGGTCATCCGTCAGGAGAACTTCCCCATGACATCCACAGCTGCCCAGTGCCCTATTGAGGGGACGCCTTGGGATTGATTCCGTTTCTCTTTGATCCAAGTCAGGTGGGTTACAGTCATGGTTTTACAAATAACAACTCCATAAGAAATAGCTTCGAACTTGTAAAAGACTTGTTTTTTGTTTTGTTTTGTTTTGTTTTGTTTTGTTTTGTTTTTGACAGATTCTTGCTCTGCCACCCAGGCTGTAATGAGTGCAATAGTGCGATCTTGGCTCACTGCAAGCTCCGCCTCCCGGGTTCATGCCTTTCTCCTGCCTCAGCCTCCCAAGTAGCTGGGACTACAGGCGCATGTCACCATGCCCAGCTAAATTTTGTATTTTTAGTAGAGATCAGGTTTGGCCATGTTGGCCAGGCTGGTCTCAAACTCCTGACCTCAAGTGATCCACCCGCCTCAGCTTCTCAAAGTGCTGAGATCACAGGCGTGAGCCACTGTGCCCAGCCATAAATACCGTATTTTATGTCACATTCACAGGCCAATTGGCTAAATTTAGATCTGGGCATCCCAGGGTGGAACTATCCAAGACCCAGTGCTGAATTCATTGTTACAGTCTGAGGATCCCCATACAAAGTGAGAGGCAGTAAGGGAGAAGTTGCTGGTCCATGGTCTCAGGGAAAACCCTCTAGATTCTCATGCATATCTCTGTTCAAGGCTAGATCAGGTCCAGTTCAGCTCATCTTTCCTGCAAGTAGGAGAGATGTCCTGACCTTGGTATTCTAGGGTGAAAATTTTGAAATCTCTTGGCACTACCGAGTTGGCAATGTTCATAAATCAGAAAAAGTGCTAAACTCCCACTGGGCAGTTTTATAGATGAGCTTTTGGTGAAGAATTTCTTAGTAAAGTGAAGTTCAATCGGCAATACTGTCTCAAAGGTGGAGCATATGTTTTTTTTTAAAAAAAAGAACATTAACGGCAAGCTTCCCGAAGAAATCTTGAGATAGAAATAGAAGAAAAATGAAAAATGTATAATAATATAGACCATCCTCCTGACATTATTATCTTGATGACTGGTTAAGAGTAATGATCAGGGCCGGGTGCGGTGGCTCACGCCTGTAATCCCAGCACCTTGGGAGTCCGAGGCGGGTAGATCACGAGGTCAGGAGTTCAAGACCAGCCTGGCCAAGACAGTGAAACCCCATCTCTGCTAAAAATACAAAAATTAGCCAGGCATGGTGGCAGGTCCCTGTAATCCCAGCTACTCAGGAGGCTGAGGCAGAGAACTGCTTGAACCTGGGAGGTGGAGGTTGCAGTGAGCTGAGATCACACCACTGCACTCTGACAAAGCGAGACTCCGCCTCAAAAAAAAAAAAAAAGAGTAATGATCAAGCAGTTCAGAGGGTCAATATTATCAGATGCTTCAGAGAATTCCAGGCTGAGAAATAACAATAAAAGCCAAGTTAATGTTTCCAATGACTTAACTAGCTTTATATCTGCACCACACACTTCAGTTCACCTTTCAAGTGTCTTCATAAAATCAATTAACTAAAATTAATCCATTAAATATAAGTTAGAACAAAATACACTTAAGCTTTTAATTAAGACAACCAAATGTATTCAACTTCATTGGAAACAAAAAGAATATGAAGCACCAGTTAAAAGCAGTGTGTTGTACTCAATGTAGGATTCTTGATTGTGATTCATTTGAAAGACTATTCCCAGATTCATTTGTACTAAATCATGCTGTTTGTTTAATGTGTTGTGTAGCATTTTCTGAGTGGTATTCTATTTACAATATACAAAGTTACTCTAACAAATTAATTTATAAGTGCATTAATATCACATATTATTTGTAGCATAATAAATTCAAAATATTTTTGCACCCACATCTTTTCACCAGCAGCAAGATAACTTGAGTTATAGCACAAAATAGTTGAATATTTCTATGTCAAAATAAGTTTCTTGGGAGGTATGTAAAACCTTGTCGCATAGGATGAAATGTGTGGATGGAAGAATCTGAGAATCAGAAATGCCCAAATAGTTCTGAACTTTCCAGGACAAAAGAAGCAATTTAGTCCACTTGTACTTGCTAAAGTCAAGCAAATTTCTTGCAAAGTCTTCTTCTGCAGCTGCACCAAAAAATTACCTACACCATTGGAATTCGACAGGATTAGTAAAGACCAATATATGAAAATTCTGGCTATAAAAATAGTTTACAAAATTATCTTATAGATCAAAAAAGAATCTCTCTATATACATCTGTTTTCAACACCAGTAGACTACTTCTTAGCTTAAATATAAATTACTAGAGTATAATTAAATTTAAAACACCAAGAAGAAATAGGCCAAGGAATAATTAGGAGGCGCTTTTTTGTAATACATACTTTAAGTTTTAGGGTACATGTGCACAACGTGCAGGTTTGTTACATATGTATACATGTGCCATGTTGGTGTGCTGCACCCACTAACTCGTCGTTTAACATTAGGTATATCTCCTAATGCAATGTTCTCTTGTCAAACTAATACATAAATATTGTTACCATCATGATCCTCTTTGCAGAATAAAAAGGAAATGTGTCCTCCACCTAATGTTAGTAGGCTGAATATTTGCAATTCCCTTACTTCTCCTGACAAATAAAACCAGTTAACTAGAAACTTCGGCATTTCTAGAAGAGAATAGGGCATGCAAATACCAGCTGGTGGTGTTTTATCTGAAACCACACTTTAGCTATGACTCAAAACTCAGTTCCTTCTGTCTCTCAAACAAACAAACAAAATTCATGGCACATGTGTGTATAGAAACACACATACACTACATAAGTATGAATTCAGAGAGAGAGGGGATGGGGGTTGGGGGAGATGAGCAATTAGTTTTCTAGGCTGTCATAACAAATTATTATTGGGTGGCTTAAGACAACATAAATTTATTCTCTCAGAGTTGCGAAGCTAAAAATCAAGGTGATGGCAGGGCCAGGGCCAGCGTTCTCTCTGGAGGCTCTTGGGGAGAACCCTCCCTTGCCCTTTCCAGCTCTGGGTGGCTGTTGGCATTCCCTGTGGCTCCTTCAGATAGAGAGATTAACTGATGAACAGATCCATAGGAATACAGGTAAATAGGTAGGCAGATAGATAAGTCAATGAGTCGATTCACAAAGTCTGCCATATTTGACATTGTCGGATTCCATGGTTTTTCCTGTTTTCCAGCTAAGTTCCATGAGACCTGTAGATGGATTTATTGGTACAATTTAGTTGAGCTAAATTATCTGCCAGGAGGGGATGGATGGATCTACAATATAATTATGTATTTGACTAAGCGACTCTTTAACTTGTGATTAAACCTTTTCAAAAATTAAAAAAAAAATGCATGTTAGACATTAAAGTGACCACTCTGATTCCCAAGCTGAGTTACAAGGTTATTGAAAGAGAAGTGGATACAGGAATCCCAGGACATCATAAGGAGAGGCTGCTGGAAAGACACCCCCTAGAGAAACACAGGACCAAGGACCTGCCGGAAATGAAGAAGGTTATAGTGCCTAAACACGTGAAGAGCGTGTAATTGCAGATTTTGCTTACGTGTCTGGAAAGATGTTTGTGGGTGTGTTTGCTTGTTTGTTTTTGCCAGAAAAATTGGGTCATGGTGTTTATATATTTAGAGAATTTTTTTTTAACTGTGTGAAGTAGAAACTTCCGGAACGACAGAGCTGGGGCATGGGGCAAACCATTCCCCAGGAACAAGGGAGAAGCTGGACGAAATGCTCCAAAACAACCACCTCAGGAAGCCCAGGGCTCACACAAGCTGAGAAGCGTCTGCCCACGAACACGGCTGGACTTCAGCAATGAGAGTGCGTCCATGGTGCTGCTGCTGGTGAACTCTGATGGAGCGACAGTGCCTCTGCCCCGATAGGGGTTCTGCCCTGGCTATAGGCGCTCTTCACCTGGAGCGCTGTCTATAAACATGGCCAGGGCAGGGGAACGTTGCAGCTGTGGCCGTGCAGGCTTTGGAGCCAGGTGCATGGCAGCGCTGGAATCGTAACCACAACCCTTCACAGAACGCTGAGTCTGGGAGTCCAACCTCGGTGGGTGGAGGCTCAATGATCTCAACTTTAAAAGCTGGGTTGCTCCCCACCTCTAAGGTGTGCCGTGAGGATCCGCTAAGAAGATTCGGGATAATGGGTGCGCATAACGTTTTGGGTTTTTTTGTTTTGTTTTGTTTTTTGTTTTGTTTTTTATCTGAGACAGACTCTTGTTCCGCTACCCAGGCTGGAGTGCATTGGCACAATCTCGGGTCACTGCAACCCCCACCTCTCAGGTTCAAGCGATTCTCCTGCCTCAGCCTCCCGAGTAGCTGGGATTACAAGTGCCTGCCAACAGGCCCAGCTAATTTTTGTATTTTTAGTAGAGATGGGGTTTCACCTTGTTGGCCAGGCTGGTCTTGAACTCCTGACCTCAGGTGATCCTCCCTCCTCAGCCTCCCAAAGTGCTGGGCATACAGGCGTGAGCCACCGTGCCTGACTGATTTTTGTATTTTTAGTAGGGACAGGGTTTCACTATGTTGGCCAGGCTGGTCTTGAACTCCTGACCCCAGGTGATCCGCCCGCCTCACCTCCCAAAGTGCTGGGATTACAGGCATGAGCCACCGCACCTAACTAATTTTTGTATTTTTAGTAGGGATGGGGTTTTGCCATGTTGGCCAGGCTGGTCTTGAACTCCTGATCTCACGTGATCCACCCGCCTTGACCTCCCAAAGTGCTGAGATTACAGGCGTGAGCCACTGCATCCGGCCAAACATTTTGTAAAGGAAAAATAGAACAAAACCTCAGGACTCCCAAATTCCTAATGTAAAAGGGGAGGTCAGCCTGGAGGCTGAGTCAGCGGCACCCTCTTCCAGTTGGACAGCGGTTGCTGGCATTTGGCATCAGCCAGATCCCCCACGGGAAGAGGCTCCGGGCATCCACCGAGGCCCTCACACATCATTCATAAGGAAATTCCTTGCTGGCCTCCAGGTCTGCAATCTAAGTCTAGCTAAAACTCAGGTCTGTTTTATTCCACACTGATAATGTCCGTTACAAGCTTATCTTCCCAGGCACAGAGCAAAGACAAGATGAGATCAGCCATTCTTCCACCTACCCAGAGACGTCTGCGTAATTGATTTTTCCTTTACTCCCCTTTTCTCTTCAAGCATGCACCTTATCTTAGGTAAAAGGTAGATTTACTGGGCAGTAACTGGAACCATTCACCTCACCACCTACCTGCCCCTCGGCCTCTGTGCCTGTCTTTCTTTAAGGAAATGAGTAAAGAATAAATCTTCGGAGAGCCTCTTTGGAAAAAGGAGACACAGATGTGTCTGTGGCTTGCGTTTTTCCCGGCTGTGCCTTAAAGCTGGCTTAATAATGCCTCCATTGAGGCCGGGCGCGGTGGCTCGCGTCTGTAATCCCAGCACTTTGGGAGGCCGAGGCAGGCGGATCACGTGAGGTTGGGAGTTCCAGACCAGCCTGACCAACATGGAGAAACCCCGTTTCTACTAAAATACAAAATTAGCCGGGCGTGGTGGCGCATGCCTGTAATCCCAGCTACCCGGGAGGCTGAGGCAGGAGAATCGCTTGAACCCGGGAGGCGGAGGTTGCAGTGAGCTGAGATCGTGCTGTTACACTCCAGCCTGGGCAACAACAGCAAAACTCCGTCTCTAATAATAATAATAATAATAACAATAACAATAATAATCCTCCATTGATTGAGACTTTTGCCTCGGTCACTCATTCTGGTCGTCAGTTTGATGATGCTCCTGACTCTGCTGTGTCCACGTCCGCAGCTCAGGCTCTACTGAGAGATGCCCGCCCACCCACGTCCTGACTCTGAGGGACAGGGTGCAGGTCTGCGGTGAGGGGACAGCAGAGGGTCCGTGGTCCTGCGTAGGGCCGTCCCGTCCTCCACAGGACCAGAATGTCCTTTAAAAGGCTAAAGCTGCAGGGCGCTACGTCACTAGCACCCAGGATGAGGCGGAGTCAGCCTTGTCTGTCTCTTCCCGCCAGTGGACATCATTTTTCCAGGCAGTCTGGGGGTGTATCCAAGAGTCTTGGCCCTGCCACAGCCCAGGCTGCCTGGCCCTGTGCAGAGAGCGGGTGGGCAGGGTTTTACAGAATCTCAGATGCTGCTCCTGGCTGTCGGAGAGCCCTCAACTCAGCGTTTCCCCAACAACACGGTGACATGGCGGAAGAACCAGGCGCACCTCGTGACCATCTGTGCTATGCCGTCTACACACATGCATGCACACACACACGCACACTCATACAATCTCACACACACTCACATACACACACACAACATGCACACACTCATACAATCTCACACACTCACATACACACATGCGCACTCACACACAATCTCACACACACACGCACACACACCATGCAAACACTCATACAATCTCACATGCACACACACACGCACACACATGCACACTCATGCAATCTCACACACTCACATACACACACATACACATGCACATACAACATGCACACACTCATACAATCTCACACACTCACACACATGCACACTCACACACAATCTCACACACACGCACACAACATGCAAACACTCATACAATCTCACATGCACACACGCACACACAATCTCAGACACACACAACATGCACACACATACAATCTCACACACTCACATACACACACGCACACACAACACACACACACATACATATACTCACACACACTCATACACATACAAATAAACCCACACAGAAACACACTCAAACTCACACACACACACCTACACACACACACACACCTCCCCACATACACACAGATGCATGCAAATGCAACTACAGAGAGAGAAACAAAAACACACAAATTCAAACACGTACAGACAAAAACACACAAATATACACAGACACAAAAATACAAACATGCATACATATACACACCCAAACACATACAAACACACACACACAAGCACACACAGAAACACCCCTACAAACGCACACGCAGCTCTGCACAGAATTTTGGAACTTGTCTGAACCCACTGGGCTCCAACCTGCGATCAGGATGTCCAGGGGGTCCCTGGGGGCCGAGCACTCGGAGGAGAGGTTGTGTGCACCATACGTAGCATCTGTATTGGCCCCCTTGGGAGCGGCTCACAGGGCCCAGGGGGAAGTTGGCCTGGGAGAGCCCAGCCTCGGGCTGCTGGCCAGGGCGCTGGAGGAAGTCACGTGCCCCCTCCTAGTACACAGCGAATCTGTGGTAGCCGACATCAGAGCTGCACTGGAGGGTCAGTCCACGCAGGGTCCTTGGGGGTCAGGAGGGAGGGCTTCCTAGACACACATGGAGGGAACAATGACCTGAAACTGGAGGAGGCGGCTCCTCACAGACACCTCAGACCCTCCTCCGGACTTCCCATCTCATTATCTCTCATGGCTTATGGGAAAATGAGCTATTTTTGAGACCGTTTATGGTATAATGTAGGTTTGCTGAGGATCTCCCCAACAGCTCTGAAAGAATGTATTATATCTTTTTTAGGTCTTCAGAGTCTAAGGTGCTTTTGGGAACATTTGTTGAAAATATTTTTGCTGACGATGTTAAGAACCTGTTGAAAGGTTATTCTTAGGAGAGATACTGGAGAAGTGGGTCTCCATATTCAAATGACCTGGAGAAACCCCAAGAGGATGATTATTCATTAGAGCGGCAAGTATTTAGCATAATGCCGTTGAACCTGACTGTATCTAGAAGACACACACACACACACACATGCACACAAACAACCCTATGCACAACTAGTAAATAGCAAGCTCGGCTTTCATGTGGTTTTACACTTTCATGCAGATACGGAGGTGTTTGTGGAGGGGTCTCTGTGGGTTTCCCGTGAGTACAGAGAAGGAACAGCTGTGTGTGTGTAATGGGCACTGTAATTTCTAAAAATATAACTCACTGTAAGCAAGGTATTTGAGGACACACTGCCATTACAAAATGTTCCCAAATCTGGTGGCTCACGCCTGTGATCCCAGCACTTTGGGAGGCCGAGGCGGGCGGATCATGAGGTCAGGAGATTGAGACCATCTTGGCTAACACGGTGAAACCCCATCTCTACTAAAAAAATACAAAAAATTAGCCGGGCGTGGTGGCGGGCGCCTGTAGTCCCAGCTACTCGGGAGGCTGAGGCGGGAGAATGGTGTGAACCCGGGAGGCGGAGCTTGCAGTAAGCCCAGATCACGCCACTGCACTCCAGCCTGGGCGACAGAGCGAGACTCCGTCTCAAAAAACAAACAAACAAATAAAAAGTTCCCAAATTTGCCTCTGATGATTAAACATTACTGAAGTCCTAGATCTGTGCACACTTCCCTGAAACTTAGCATCACTCAGAGTTGCCAAGAGGCACATCATGTAACCTGGGATGAGTTCACAGCGCATGGTGGGCCTGAGACTAAGCTCAGGTATCTAAGCAGACTCAAATTAGGAACTTCGTCATTCTTGCACCGGAAATTATGGTTTTGTTGCTCAAATATTCTAAGTCAGAGAATGGGAAAGGAAAAAAATGGAGAAATCATGATTTTATATATATATATATTTTTTTTTTTTTTTTTTTTTTTTTTTTTTTTTTTGAGACGGAGTCTCGCTCTGTCACCCAGGCTGGAGTGCAGTGGCGTGATCTCGGCTCACTGCAAGCTCTGCCTTCCAGGTTCACGCCATTCTTCTGCCTCGGCCTCCCGGGTTGCTGGGGCTACAGGTGCCCACCACCATGCCCGGCTAATTTTTTTGTATTTTTAGTAGAGACGGGGTTTCACTGTGTTAGCCAGGATGGTCTCAATCTCCTAATCTCATGATCTGCCCACCTTGGCCTCCCAAAGTGCTGGGATTACAGGCGTGAGCCACCACTCCCGGCCATCATCATGATATTTTTAAAAGTTAAAAATATCAACTCGTTTTCTTTTTTAAAAAAAATAATGCAAGCTAGTAAACTACAAAAAGTTCAACATAAAATAAAAGCAACCTTCGTGACTTATATTTACTGAGTTGGTGGATAAGCAAGAATTAGGACCTGGCTCTGGGTAGCTGGGAATGGAGGTGCTGTTCTCAGCGTGCAAATCTACATTGACTGTTTTCAGGAGCTTTCATTGTAGAGACCTAGGGAACAGCTCCTCATAACGGCCGCAGGGATGGTCATTCTGACTTCCCGTTCCACTGCACATCTGTCCTGTGCAGCTGAGAGGCGAGGCTGTGGCTCACTGCAGCATTATTGCACACGAGTGCTGTTCTGCCCCATAGAAGGCTCCAGACTACGCTCCACATTTAGGTCTTTTTCTTTCTATCTACCCTTTTCCAGTCAAAATGTTCATTTTGTGTTTAAGCTGTGGTGGACAGTGAACCCCCTACACACATTCCAGGGACTGGAAGCCTGCACACGGCTCATGTATCCCCTCACTTCGGGGCCTAGGTGCTGGCCGGGGATGTTAATGTTTCTGCCTGTCCAGGTAGCAGTGAGGGAGCCAAGGAGCGGTGCTGCGGGAATTCGCCAAAGCTCAGAATGTAATCATTTCCCAGGAAGCAGAGAGTCTAGGGGGAATGAATCTTCCTGGGGCCCTGAGCGAAGACAGAGGCATCAAAGGGACCCACATCCATGATGAGAGAACGCAGAACAGAAAGATTCCGTCAACAGCCACCCCGTGGGCAAGGCCGTCTTCCCTGGTGTGTTACCGGCTTCTGCTCAGTGAGACAAGTCCTGGTGGTGATAGGAGCTCGGCTGCATCACAGTCCTCCACCTGCGACCTGATGGTCTTGAGTGGCCGCTCCTCAGGGTGGGAAATGCTCTGCATGTCCCTGTGGCAGGGAAGTGCTCGGGTGCACGTTGCCCATGGTCACCTCTGTCGTGCTCTGAATCCCTGACACTCCAGACTGGATCCAGCAGAAGAGACGCTGACAGAGACTCCCTGGATCACAGAGCAGCGTGGTGACCAGAAGCAGAACAGGAGACTCATCTGTCCTCAGAAGTGATTCACCTGCAGCATGCGCCCTAGCCCGCGTCCACAGTCCAGAAACAGAACCAGAGACTCCTCTGCCAGGTGAATGTCCAAGGGGCTGCTCGGGGAAAGGCGCTGAGGCTGTTCCGGGAAACACGTGAGATGGGTGTGCACCCAGATCTCCACGTGTGGCTCTTACGTGATGGGATGGAAGCTGATTGGTGCTGCTGCCCCAAGGTTGTCAGTGCCCTCGACTGGAGGACAAACACCAACCCCGCCATCCCTGGATGGACAGACAGGTATAAAGACGCCGGCTATGCAAGGGTTCTGCAGGGAGCACCTGCAGTTCACCTGGTTCAACAACCCCAGTTGCCCCACAGTTGAGACCAGCCTGGTTGGTATCATGCAGGTGACTAAGCCTTAAAAAATGTTAAGACTGGGCCGGGCTCGGTGGCTCACGCCTGGAATCCCAGCATTTCGGGAGGCCGAGGCGGGTGGATCATAAGGTCAGGTGTTCAAGACCAGCCTGGCCAACATGGTGAAACCCCGTCTCTACTAAAAAAAAAATACAAAAATTAGCCGGGTGTGGTGGCAGGTGCCTGTAATCCCAGATACTCAGGAGGCTGACGCAGGAGAATTGCCTGAACCCAGGAGGTGGAGGTTGCAGTGAGCTGAGATTGGGCCACTGCACTCCAGCCTGGCAACAGAGTAAGACTCTGTCTCAAAAAAAAAAAAAAAAAAAAAAAAAAAAGTTAAAATTGAAGCTGGAAGCCATCATTCTCAGCAAACTAACACAGGGACAGAAAACCAAACACCACATGTTCTCACTCATCAGTGGGAGTTGAACAATGAGAACACATGGACACAGGGAAGGGAACAACACACACCAGGGCCTGTCTGGGGGTAGGGGAAGGGGAGGGAGAACATTAGGACAAATACCTAATGCGGGGCTTAAACCTAGATAACAGGTTGATAGGTGCAGCAAACCACCATGGCACATGTATACCTATGTAACAAACCTGCACGTTCTGCACATATATCCCAGAACTTAAAGTAAAATAAGTAAATAAGAGTACAACGTGAGAGTTTTGAGAGAACTATTAACTTTTTGGTTATCTCAAATTTAAACCTGTCAAATGATTGTCAAGAATTTGAAGTATTCAAAAACTAAAAGTAAATACAGTAAAAATAAAATCAAAAGAAAGTATGAAGGAACATGGAAAAATGGACAAACCAGGAGAGTAAGTGCAAACAGGCCGGGCACGGTGGCTCACGCCTGTAATCCCAGCACTTTGGGAGGCCGAGGCGGGCAAATCACGAGGTCAGGAGTTCGAGACCAGCCTGGCCAACAGTGTGAAACCCCATATCTACTAAAAATACAAAAATTAGCTGGGCATACTGATACGCACCCATATCACTCATATATGGGATTACATATGAGTAATCCCATAGACTCAGGAGACTGAGGCAGGAGAATCACTTGAACCCAGGAGGTGGAGTTTGCAGTGAGCTGAGATCGCACCATTGCACTCCAGCCTGGGTGACAAGAGCGAAACTCCATCCCCCCGCCCCACAAAAAAAGTGCAAACAATTTTCGTCCCAAATAATTATGAAATTTATAATTTCTCAGGGCACATAATGTTTCTTGATAGAAAGGAAAATGAAGAGTAAAACACTCATGTGTGGAAAGTTGGTTGATTCATTTTTCCACCAGATAAATGTTGAAGCTACACTTAACTATGAAGTGTAGGAACATGGAATACTTGAATTATCTTATCAGGTCACATTTATCATTGGTTGTAAATCACTTTTTAAAATGCTCACTTTTGGCCAGGTGCAGTGGCTCATGCCTGTAATCCCAGCACTTTGGGAGGCCGAGGCAGGCAGATCACAAGGTCAGGAGTTTGAGACCAGCCTGACCAACATGGTGAAACCCTGTCTCTACTAAAAATACAAAAAGTAGCCAGGTGTGGTGGTGGGTGCCTGTAATCTCAGTTACTCCAGAGGCTGAGGCAGGAGAATCGCTTGAACCCGGGAGGTGGAGGCTGCAGTGAGCTGAGCTCGTGTCACTGTACTCCAGCCTGGGTGACAGAGAGAGACTCCAGAAAAAAAAAAAATGCTCACTTTCTGTTATTTTTGAGAGGATGGTGTGGAAGCAAAATTAAAATCATTTCTGGCTTGCATAGTTTCCCTTTAGCATCAGTTGACTCTGCGGCATAACCACCCTGTGTGCAGAGGCTCAGAGAGAAGACACGTTTTGGTCTTTCACTTTTACCCTGCTTATCAAAACGAGATTGCTGCAGGACCAACCTAGCTGTAGAATATACAATAGTAAGGGTAGGGCCGTCATGCAAATAGCCAGGCTGGGAGTGTGCCTGCCATTCACCCTCACATCCACTAACCAGCATTTGTCTCTTAGCTCACATATCCCAGACTGTAGAGGAAGCATGATCCTCCCTTTGGCCCAGGGAGACAGAGAAACTACTTCTGGGTAACATCAGAGGATCTCTGATGTTTGCTCCACGCTCTGCTCCCTGGAAGGGTTGGGTGTCCTCATCACTTACCAGACCTGAGTTGCTGATACCTCCTCCTATGGGCAGGATCCTTGGAGGGTTGCATTGAGTCCCAGAGGTTAATCAGACTCAGTCCTGCCTCAAAAATCTCATAGTCCCATCCTGGCCAACATGGTGGAACCCCGTCTCTCCTAAAAATGCAAAAATTAGCGGTGCGTGGTGGCACGCACCTGTAGTCCCAGCTACTCGGGAGGCTGAGGCAAGAGAATCTCTTGAACCTGGGAGGCAGAGATTGCAGTGAGCTGAGGTCACACCACTGCACTCCAGCCTGGCAACGACAACAACAAAAAAAACTCACAGTCCACACATGAAAGACCAGTGGGGATCAGGCCATAAAAACTCAGCCTATTGGGCACAGACACTGTGAGTCAATCAACCTCCTCACTTAGCCTATGAGATAAAGACATGTGTATGAAGGTGGATGTCTGCACTGAGATGCTCAAAAAAGGGAGATAATTACCAGGTGAAGAAACAGCATGTGACAATTCCATGAGCCAGTGACAGCTCGTTGCAGGCAGCAGTTTGTGAATTGCTCTGGGTAGGTGCCAATTCAAGTAGAAAGAAACAGAATAAAGGCTCAGAGGAAGACGTCATCAGAAAGCAGCTTCCAGAGCATGTTCTGTGCGGAGAATGGATGTGTGCTTTCTCTCCATGTGAAACCAGGGGACGAGAAAAGGTACAAATAGGAGGTTGTCATGAGCGTCTGTGTGAAGAGACCACCAAACAGGCTTTGTGTGAGCAACAAGGCTGTTTATTTCACCTGGGTGCAGGTGGGCTGAGTCTGAAAAGAGAGTCAGCAAAGGGTGGTGGGATTATCATAAGTTCTTATAGGTTTGAGATGGGCGTACAAAGTACATTCTCAAGGGCGAGGAGAATATTACAAAGTACCTTCTTAAGGTCGTGGAGGGGGCTGGCGTTGGGGGGAGGATATTACAAAGTACCTTCTTGGCGGGGGGTGGGTGGCAGTGGGGAGAAATATTACAAAGTACCTTCTTTTTTTTTTTTTTTTTTTTTTTTTTTTTGAGACAGAGTCTTGCTCTATCGCCCAGGCTGGAGTGCAGTGGCGCGATCTCAGCTCACTGCAAGCTCTGCCTCCTGGGTTCACGCCATTCTCCTGCCTCAGACTCCCAAGTGGCTGGGACTACAGGCACCCGCCACCATGCCCAGCTAATTGTTTTGTATTTTTTTAGTAGAGACGGGGTTTCACCACATTAGCCAGGATGGTCTCGATCTCCTGACCTCGTGATCCACCCACCTCGGCCCCCCAGAGTGCTGGGATTACAGACATGAGCCACCGCACCCAGCCTCGAAGTACCTTCTTAAGGGGAGGGGAGAATATTACAAAGTACCTTCTAAAGTTGTGGGGGAGAATATTACAAAGTACCTTCTTAAGGGGAGGGGAGAATATTACAAAGTACCTTCTAAAGTTGTGGGGGAGAATATTACAAAGTACCTTCTAAAGTTGGGGAGAATATTACAAAGTACCTTCTAAAGTTGTGGGGGAGAATATTACAAAGTACCTTCTTAAGGCGGGCGAGCGGGGGCAGGGCGGTGGGGGGTAAGGGGGCGAGGAATATTACAAAGTACCTTCTTGGGCGGGGCAGAATATATGGTATCAGTTAGTGGGGCGGGAACAAGTCACAGTGGTGGAATGTCATCAGTTAAGGCTATTTTCACTTCTTTTGTGAATCTTCAGTTGCTTCAGGCCATCTGGATGTGTACGTGCAGGTCACAGGGGATAGGATGGCTTAGCTTGGGCTCAGAGGCCTGACAGAGGTGACCTTCTCAAAGTTTGGGAGAAAATCTCTATGGCAGAAATTTGCATGAGGATAAGAGGTGATAAGACACTCCACAAGAGAACTCTGCTTGTTCCCCGCATTTCGTAAGATAAAGACATGTCACCATTGATGTGAAATATTATCGTTTTGTTACATTAGGTCTCTTCCAGGAGCCTGCACTGCATGAGAAAATAGGCTCTGCATCTTCAAATTTGCACCTTTAATCTAGAACAGCTAGAACTTCCTCTGACAAGGAAAACATTTTGTGTTCATGCTATTCTCTCCCACAGCCAGCAGCCACACGTGGCTCTGAGAACTCAAATTGTGGCCATGTGGCTGAGGAACTGAATTTTAAACTTCATGGAATTTGATCTATTCTAATTCTAAGTTAAAAAGCCATATTTGGCTAGTGGCTACCATATTAGATGACTCAGATATAGAATACACTTCATCTCTGCAAAATTTTGTTGAGTAACAGCAAAGACGTGGAATCAACCCAAATGCCCATCAATGATAGACTGGATAAAAATAAAGTTGTACATATACACCACGGAATACTACGCAGTCATAAAAAGGAATGAGATCATATCATTTGCAGAGACATGAATGAAGCTAGAAGACATTATCCTCAGCAAACTAATGCAGGAACAGAAAACCAGACACCGCATGTTTTCACTTATAAGTGGGAGCTGAACAATGAGAACACATGGACACAGGGAGGGGAACACATTCACTGGGGCCTGTCAGAGGAGGGCAGGGGGTATGGAGAGCATTAGGGAAGAGAGCTAATGCCTGCTGGGCTTAATACCTAGGTGACGGTTTGATAGGTGCAGCAAACCACCATGGCACACGTTTACCTACGTAACAAACCTGCACATCCTGAGCATGTACCCCAGAACTTTAAAAAAATTTTTTTAAAAAAACCTTATTGAGTAATTTAGAGATTAAACTGGCTGAGCATATACATCGGCTTTCCAGAAGCATGTCTGTAGAGTTTCAGGATAACTCAGATGATATTAATGAGATATCCAGGATGAGTGTGTGGGTAGAGTCAAATCACCTTAAATGGTTGGATGCTCAAAATAGAATTGTAGAATGGCTAGTTGTCTGTTCAGCAGTGCTGGAATTTTAAGATAATCCCACAAGCATTCAGACACTGCTGTTGCCAGCTTCGAGGTGTCAAGATGGTACCAGAAGGAGGAAGAATGTCCGTGGAAAAAAAATCCTCCTAGGAATAGATCCAGGTCCTTGCGTATTAATGCCCTTTGTGCCAAAGACTGGGGGCAGCTCTGGCCTCAGCCTGGGCTTGGTGGACAGTGATGTAGATACTAGGATCCTCCGAGAGGTAGTGGGGACACTGGGAGGCAGGAGGGAATCCTGTCTGTGAGAGGGCCTGGTGGTTTAACTGGGCATATATGATCTCCTGTGTCTCTTCTGCTGCAGGCTCCTGAGAGGATGAAGGTGAAAAGAGGAGCATATTTAGTGGCTGAAGGCAGGGGCACTGGGAATGGGAGGGGATGAAGCTGTGGTGATGGTTTCGGCTGGGAGAACTCACCTCTTCATCCGTCCGTTGGCCTTCCGTGGGCTCTGTGTTTGCCATGGTGGTGTCTGTGGGGTGAAAAAGAAAGTCTTCCAGATCTTCACTTCAGAGGTGGCAATACCAAGACCAAAACAAGGCAAGGGCGTGCCTGAGGCTGCAGCGTGATCCAGCCTCCCCCACTAAATTCAGAGAACCACCCATCAGCAACCTTGGGGCAATCTTGACTGCCCCAGGACCGCTCCGATAGATGGCCCCCATCCTTCTGCCTCTCTCATGGACCATCTCCTGCAGGTCAGTGGCCTCCCCAGAGGTGAGGTGGAGGTAGGGGAGGGGTTGGGGTGATTGGTCAGTGAAGGGAAGGAGCAGGGTTTCTCCATCAAGAACCTCAACGGAGGCCGGGCACACTGGCTCACGCCTGTAATCCCAGCACTTTGGGAGGCCGAGGCGGGCGGATCATGAGGTCAGGAGATAAAGACCATCCTGGCTAACATGGTGAAATTCCATCTCTACTAAAAATACAAAAAATTAGCCGGGCATGGTGGTGGGCGCCTGTAGTCCCAGCTAATCGGGAGGCTGAGGTGGAAGAATGGCGTGAGCCCGGGAGGCAGAGCTTGCAGTGAGCCGAGATTGCGCCACTGCACTCCAGCCTGGGTGACAGAGCGAGACTCCGTCTCAAAAAAAAAAAAGAACCTCAGCGGAAACACAGATCAACCCACAGGACGTGAATAGCACCCCCGTGCCCCAGTCACATCCCCACGGGGCTCACATGATACTGTCCTCCCCTCCCTGAGACTTACGATATTTTATGTAACACCAGAAACCAATAAAAGCAGAGAGGCAAACGCCAATGGAGATGATGGCTACTGAGAGTCCAGTGAGCATATGCAGGTTGCTGGACTGTCCTTGAGGGCGAGGTGTGTCTGTCAAGAAGCAAATGATAAACCCTCTCATTGACTGGTTGCCTGTTTTGTGCCAATACATACTGAACACACAACATGCTTTATCTGAAGCTCTTCCAAGATCCCTACACCCGAACAGTTACTTTCTCCATTTTCCATCACTTACACAAAAAATTCCAAGAGAAGTGAAGACACGTGTCCAAATCAAATGGCCAGTAAGAGAGATGCAGAGGCCTGGTGTGGTGGTTCACACCTGTAATCCCAGCACTTTGGGAGGCAGAGGTGGGCAGATCACCTGAGGTCAGGAGTTAGAGACCAGCCTGGCCTACATGGCAAAACTCCGTCTCCACTAAAAACACAAAAATTAGCCAGGCGTAGTGGTACACGCCTGTGATCCCAGCTACTCAGAAGGCTGAGGCAGGACAATCGCTTGAACCCAGGAGGCAGAGGTTGTAGTAAGCCGAGATTGTACACAGGGTGGGTGACAGAGCAAGACTCCATCTCAAAAAAAAAAAAAAAAGAAAAAAAAAAGGAGAGACATGGAGGTCTGAACCCAGGCCTACCAGGCTCCAGTGTGCCTCCCCTCCCACTTCCTCATGAGACAAGACAGTTTGTTTTTGCATGACAAAGGAAACCCTCTGCATGTACCATAGCTGAATACCATTTCCCTCGTCCCTTCTCAGCCCAGGACAAATACACTTTCTGAGAATGGAGATAGAGGTGGCCAGAGGATGACTCTCATGCCAGTTTCTGAGAATTGAACTTGCTCCAAACAATGTTGGTGTTTTTCTGAGTAATGAGTAAGAGCAGGTGGGTGGAGGATTCAGGAGAGAAAAAGGGGAGGGGGCACAGGCTATGTCACATAGGAGCATACCCTCCGTACCAGGACCCATGCTGAGAGGTGGTGGGAGGACTTCCACATGTGTGGACACATCTCATCACTCTCTCATCCATGATATAGTCCTTGAAAGAGAAAAGACTGTAGCCAGCCGTACTCTTGGGCTCAATTCTAGACATGTCTGCTACTTCTAGACATTCAACTTGGGAAGCTTTTCTTTCTTCTCTTTCCTACTTTTTTTTTTTCCATAAGGAGGGAGGCATCATTAGCCCAATATTCTATCCAACAACTTGGATGCTTTGGCCAGGTGCCATGGCTCATGCCTGTAATCCCAGCACTTTGGGAGGCACAGACAGGCTGATCACTGGAGTTCAGGAGTTCAAAACCAGCCTGACCAACATAGTGAAACCTGTCTCTACTAAAAATACAAAAATTAGCCGGGCGTGGTGGCAGACACCTGTAATCCCAGCTACTTGGGAGGCTGAGGCAGGAGAATCACTTGAAACTGGGACATTGCAGTAAGCCAGTTTCATACCACTGCACTCCAGCCTGGGCAACACAGAGAGACTCTGGCTCAAACAAAAAGAAGAAAACAAAAGAAAAAAGAAAAGAAAAGAAAACGGATGCTTTCCAAGATGAGTGACCATAACTAGCAGAGCCATCCATTGAGCCCAAGTGTCTGATTATAATCTTTTCTCTTTCAAGGACTATGTCTCGTTCCCCCATAAGGCTCCCTGCTGAGTTGCTACTTCTCTGATAGCCCAAGTATGAGTTGCCATCAATGGAATCAGAGGCTCAGAGAGAAATGAGCGTGCCCCAGGTCATGCACTGAGAAATACTGGAACAAGTTTCCAAACTCTCCCTCTTAGTGACTCCAGCTCTGAGCCTCTCCTGAATCCACCTGCTCAACTCCTTCTCCAGCCCCAGCACATCTAAGCTGCCATGAGTGTCCTCTACAAGGATGTCACAGCCCCACCAGGCTCCTGGCTTCCACTCCTGCCTCCCTGTAATAAACACTATTCACATCGGCCGATTGCTATCTCTAAAATAGAATGTGGATCATGACACGTTTCTGACTAAAACCTTTGTCTTCGGCCAGGCACAGTGGCTCATGCGTGTAATCCCAGCACTTTGGGAGGTCAAGGTGGGTGGATCACCTGAAGTCAGGAGTTCAAGACCAGCCTGGCCAACATGGTGAAACCCTGTCTCTACTAAAAATACAAAAATTAGCCAGGCTTGGTGGCGGGCCCCCTGTAATCCCAGCTACTCAGGAGGCTGAGGCAGGAGAATCGCTTGAACCCAGGAGGCGGAGGTTGCAGTGAGCCAAGATCACGCCATTGCACTTCAGCCTGGGCAACAGAGCAAGACTCTGTCTCAAAAAAAAAGAAAAAAAAAAACGGCTGGGCACAGTGGCTCACACCTGTAATCCCAGCACTTTGGGAGGCCAAGGCAGGCGGATCACAAGGTCAAGAGATCGAGACCATCCTGGCCAACATGGTGAAACTTGGTCTCTACTAAAAATACAAAAATTAGTCGGGTATGGTGGTGGGTGCCTATAATCCCAGCTACTCAGGAGGCTAAGGCAGGAGAATCACTTGAACCCGGGAGGCAGAGGTTGCAGTGAGCCGAGATCACGCCACTGCACTCCAGCCTGGAGACAGAGTAAGACTCTGAAAAAAAAACAAAACAAAACTTGTCTTCACCTCTTTATTGGAATAAAATCCAAACTCTTTACTGTTGCTTAGAAACCCTCACTTGGTAGCACCAACAGGCTGGCTCTAGTCAATAAGAACTTTACTGTACATTTTAAAATAAAAAGCATAATTGGGGCCAGGCATGGTGGCTCACACCTGTACTCCTAAGACTTTGGGAGACTGAGGCGGGCAGATCACCTGAGCTCAGGTGTTTGAGACCAGCCTGGACAACATGTTGAAACCCTGTCTCTACTAAAATACAAAAAGTTAGCCAGGCATGGTGGCGTACACCTGTAATCCCAGCTACTTGGGAGGCTGAGGCAGGAGAACTGCTTGAACCCAGGAGACAGAGGTTGCAGTGAGCGGAAAGCGCGCCAATGCACTCCAGTCTGGGTGACAGAGCAAGACTCCATCTCAAAAAAAAAAAAAAATCTTAATTAAATTGTTTGTAACTCAAAGAATAAATGCTTGAGGGGATGGATGCCTTAACCTCCATGATGTGCTTATTTCACATTTCATGCCTGTATCAAAACATCTCATGCGCCTGATAAATATACACACCTACTAGGTACCCACAAAAATTAAACATTTTAAAAACGAGAAACGTTCACACAAGTTGGTCCCTGTCCTCCTCTCTCAGCTCCACCCCTCTCCCCCGACATGTCAGCCTCACTGGTGCTGTGAACACACACAAGGCATTGCCATGTTGAATTTTTTTTTTTTTTTTGAGACGGAGTCTCGTCCTGTCGCCCAAGCTGGAGTGCAGTGGCATAATCTCGGCTCACTGCAACTTCCGCCTCCCGGGTTCAAACAATTCTCCTGCCTCAGCCTCTGGAGTAGCTGGGACCACAGACATGCACCACTACGCCCAGCTAATTTTTGTATTTTTAGTAGAGACAGGGTTTTACCATGTTGACCAGGAACAGCTCGATCTCTTGACCTTGTGATCTGCCCGCCTCAGCCTCCCAAAGTGCTGGGATTACAGTTGTGAGCCCTGCGCCCAGCCCTGCCATGTTGAGTTTATGGCACCACTGTTTACCTGCTGGGAACGTCCTTCCATCAATCCTTCCAACACTGGCTGTCCTTGTCATCAGGATCACACCTTAAATGTCAGTTCCTTGAGTGACATAGAGTCTTCCCTTCCACCTGCTCTAAAGGATCCACTTAAGCTTTCTCTGTCACATGACTCTATCTTAATGAATACAAAATTAATGGATCTGAATAAATCAGTTCACACGTTTATTCATTATAACTTTTCTCCTCCCTGCACACACCACTGGAACACAGGAACTGTTGAATATGTCATAGGACATTAGAAGATGGACAATAAGGCTGGGTGCGGTGGCTCACACCTGTAATCCCAGCACTTTGGGAGGCCAAGGCGGACAGATCACTTGAGGTCAGGAGTTTGACACCAGCCTGGGCAACATGGCGAAACCCTGACTCTACTAAAAATACAAAAATTAGCCGGGTGTGGTGGTGGGCACCTGTAATCCCAGCTACTCGGGAGGCTGAGGCAGGAAAATCGCTTGAACCCAGGAGGCAGAGGTTGCAGTGAGCTGAGATTGTGCCACCGCACTCCAGCCTGGGTGACAGAGTGAGACTCTGTCTCAAAAAAAAAAACAACAAAAAAAGACAGACAGTGAATATCGAATATGGTCTTTTAAATCCTTCCCATCTTCCAGCATTTTCATGTTCACAGACCTCCCTGGAGGAATGAGAAGCATTGCTTTTCAGCAAGGGTCAGGTGACTCTGACCTCTTCCTCCCCTGTGGATGAGGCCTCAGTCCCAAAGCGTCTGAGGCTGAAAGGCCTTACAGATTCCCGCACTGACCACAGTCTCAGATGTGGATGAGGAATGTGGGGACCTGGGAGGGGCTGCCTAGCCCAGGGTCATGGAGCTGGGAGGTGGCACAGCTTTCACTCACACTGGGGCCTTCTGTCTCCCCAGGGACTCAGACACTAGGATAAGAGTTATTTGCTTACCAGATTCAGGGGTGGATTCTGTGAATGACAGAGGAGTACTCTTAGTGTTTCCTAGGAAAAAAAAAGGCAGAGAAGGGGTGAGCAAGCGTCATTGATTGCCCCATTAAAGTAGGACCATTTTCTTTTCTTTCTTTCTTTCTTTCTTTTTCTTTCTTTCTTTCTTTCTTTCTTTTTTTTTTTTTTTTGAGATGGAGTCTTGCTCTGTCGCCCAGGCTGGAGTGCAGTGGTGCCATCTTGTCTCGCTGCAACCTCCACCTCCTGGGTTCAAGCGATTCTCCTGCCTCAGCCTCCCGAGCATTAGCACCATTTTCTTTGGAGGCTTGGTCCCTGCACACCCCCTACTCTGTCATCCACCTAAAGACTAATGGGGGCCCTGGGGTCTCTTCCTTGGAATCTCTGGGGGACAATTCCTTCCCTGGGATGGGAAGGTGATAAGGAGAAGCATGGTGGGTGATGTCAACAGACATTGTCTCCCATCGGGATGATAAATCTCCACGTTCCCCAGCAGGGAGATCTCTCTGTGTTGAGGGGTCAGGAGGGGCTTTGGAGAAATGGAAAAGGGTGAGGGGCAACCTCTGACCTCGACAAACTACATCTGGCCTCACCTCCCCCTGTGTTTGTCCTGACCTCTTTCTTCATACAGAAGGTGGCAGAGGGTGTGGAGCTGCCCCGTCTTACCACCCTACACCCTGACAGCCCCATCATGCTCAGCTTCTTTTTTCCTGTGTGTGTTTGTCACTGTTTCATTTTATCCAGAGTACCTAATACCCCTGTGTGCCCAGCGGGACGCCCCTCACGTGTGGCTCTGTGATCCAGTGGGCACCAGAGCATGCAGCAGGCATGGGCTCCTCACCTGTGGTGTAAAGTTGCAGCGGGTCACTGGGGGCTTATAGGGAGAGTCATTGAAGGAACCATAGCATCTATAGGTCCCGCCAGGGACTGGCGTTGCACGGCCCACAGAAAAGTTGGCCTGGAATGCTTCCCTGTGTCTCTGCCCTCCACTGAGCCACTGTCCATGAGCAACCCCGTGTCTGAACAGATGGTACTGGTCAAATGAGATTTCAGAGCTGCAGAAGAGGGTCAACTTCTCTCCCAGCCTCATCATGGGGTCCACCTGGGTGGAGAGAGAAGGCTTTTTGTATTTTCCTAGGAGAAAAAGAGGCTGATTTTAGAACACACGCCTGAGTGTATGAACAAAGTAATCTCTCTCCCTCTTTTTTTTTTTTTTTTTTTTTCCTTTGAGACAGATTTTCACTCTTGTCTCCTAGGCTGGAGTGCAGTAGCACGATCTCGGCTCACTGCAACCTCAGCATCCCGGGTTCAAGTGATTCTCCTGCCTTAGCCTCCTGAGTAGCTGGGATTAGAGGCACGGACCACCATGCCCAGCTAATTTTTGTATTTTTAGTAGAGACAGGGTTTCACCATGTTGGTCAGGCTGGTCTCGAACTCCTGACCTTGTGATCCGCCCACGTCAGCCTCCCAAAGTGCTGGGATTACAGGCGTAAGCCACAGCGCCCAGCCTCGCTGTTCTTATCTTGGCAGCAGATTCCGAATGTCGGCTGGTGCCCCTGTCAATCTCATGTTCATCTCTAGGGTCCTGAGTCAGCCTATGTCTGTGTCTTTTTACTTCCTCTGCATTTCTTTGATTCTGCTTTTGACTGAGTCCCTGTGGTTTACCGCCCCTAGAAGCCATATGAGATGTGGGGTTCTCCTGGAAAATGGGAATTACTCTGTGCTTTGAGACCCTTCAGAAAACATAGTGCTGGCCTTGAGTTCTCTGACATGGGGCTACGGGGTTATGAGTCTTACTATTTTTCAATTGTGTTTGTTGAAAAATATAAGAATCTCGGGAGGATCAGAAGAAACCTCACAGGATCCCACTGCAGGGAACAACTGGCTGTACCCCCAAGCCCAAGGAGTTAGACGTGACTACTTGTTGGGGAGGGTAGAAGTGACCCCTCCTGCCTCTTTAAGCAGTAAGACATGTTAAACCCCTTTGCTGAGCACTTTTTCACAGTCCCTCTCTTCCTTTATTTCTCTTCCTCTACTGAGGTTTGATTAACAACCGCATTACATGAAGCTCCCATGGCACCAACAGACCACGGATGGTCCAGCCACACTCACCTGTGATCACAATGTCCAGGGGGTCACTGGGAGCCGACCACTCATAGCGGGAGTGACTGAAACAACCACAGCATCTGTAGGCTCCTGCATGGGCAGGCGTTACAGGACCCATGGAAAAGACAGCCTCGACGTAATGGATCCCAGCCTCCATCCCCTGGTCAAGCTGCTGGGAATGCTGTATGTGCCCCTCTTTGTATAAGATAAATTCATCAAAGGCCAGTTCTGAGTGACAGCGCAGGCTCACCCTGGCTCCTGCATGCACCAGGGAGCTTGGGTGCGCTGAGATGGAGGGTTTTGTGAACAAGCCTGAGAGCAGAGACAGAGGAGTTCACATGAGTCTCCTTCCTCACCCCTCGCCTGAGACCTCAGGGGGAAGCTGTCCCTCATCACCCCCAAAGCCCGTCTGCGTCCTTCCTGTTTGTGTGCGTGCATGTTCTCTCTGCGCGGATCCCCATTGTCTGGCTTGAAACCATATGAGATGTGGGGTTCTCCCGGAAAATGGGAATTACTCTGTGCTTTGAGAACCTTCAGAAAACACACTGCTGGACTTAGGTTCCCTGGCATGGGACTGTGAGGTTATGAGCCTCACTGTTTTTCAACTCTGCGTGTTGAAAAATACAAGAATCTCTGGAGGATCAGAAGAAATCTCACAGGCTCACACTGAAGGAACAACTGGTTTTGCCCCAAAACCCAAGAGGTTAGACGTGACTACTTGTTGGGGAGGGTGGAAGTGACTCCTTTTCCCTATTTAGGCAGAAGGACACGGTAAACTCCTTTCCTGGGCAGCCCCTCACAGTCCCAATCTCCATTCAGATCCTCCAGGAGCTTTCGTAGCCTGGATCTCCCTGCCTCACCCCAACCTGCTTTCCCCGCTCTCTTGGTGGAAAGACCCAATCTCTTCTCTGTTTCTTCTGAGCTCCTTGAATGTGAGACTGCCAAATTAAAATACATGCATTGTCAATGTTGTAAAATGGTTGTACAGCAAAACTGAAATGTTTATTCTGTCATTTTCAAAGTTACAAATTAATGACTTGCAAATTGAGAACTATTTTCTAGTTCTTAAATTTTTCTCCCATGCTTCAAGAAGTTAACAACAAAAACTGATTTTGCATTATTAACACAGAACCAACCGTGAAAATCCTGGTTCTTGATGTTTTCTCTGAAATCCTTCCTTGACTCACGGTTCAAGGCACAGATCTCTATCTTTCTCTTCCAGAAAACTCTACTCTCTCTCTCTCTTTATGTGTATATTTACATACATATATAAAATATGAATAACTCCACACTCTCCCTTCCCTGCTTTATAGGATGGGCAGGGGCGACTCCACAGGATGAGTTTCTAACTCTCCGTGAGACACTCTGCACATCCATGAGAGAGAAGGGATGAGTGTCACGAGACTGGGAAGGAGGAGGAGAGGAATGGGTGCATTTCCCAATCCATGTCCCACTGAGCCACTGGACTCATCTCCCGAGGGAACTGTCACTTCCCCAAGCCTCTGGCTCCTTCGAGGCAGAGTAACGACTTCCCCGAGGGAAACACTGGTGCTGGGGTCAGGCAACATGGCTCCTCCCTGGATCCAGCTGGGGTCAGGCAACATGGCTCCTCCCTGGATCCACCCTGCTGCAATTGGTACCAGCACCCTGCGTCTGCTACTCCCCAGGCAGATTCTCCTGCTGCTCGGCTTCCTCCCTCCTCCTCCACCTGGGTACCTGATTCCTCACAGGAAATGCCCTCTCTTTAAATTCCCAGGATGGCTTCTGTGTCCACGGTTAGTGCATGACTAGGAATCCCACAACAACTCTCTGGCTTCATTGGGTGTGGACTCTGGGCAGGTCCATCTGGACACCGGTTGGACGTGGGGTGGGCTGGACTTCTCCTACCTGTGACGATGATCTTCAGGGAGTTGCTCTCAGCTGACCACTTTGAGGCGTGCTTGTAAATTCCAACACATCTGTAGGTCCCTGCGTGTTCTGGGGTCACAGGGCTGATGGTGATGTTGTTGGAAAGGCCAGTGTGCAACTCATGGCTTCGGGTCCCAGTTGTTTGGAATATTGTCCATATGACAAACCGAAGATGGGAATGACAGGAGAGAGTCACACGTCCTCCTAGGGGAACCACAGGGCTCGGCCAGGCTGACAGGGAGAACTTGTCCTGAGCACCTGGAAGAGAAGGAGGCACAGCCTAGAGAGGGAAATGTGGAGCCCCCCGTCTCCCGCTGTCCTTGGGGGCATTTCCTTCTTTACATTGTTCTGGTTTGCCCTGTAACGTGGGGTCCCCTGATGCCCTGGGATACCTGGTCGCAAGCCAGGGACACAGCCACCCCAGAGTGGACATGGAAGGTCTCCCCAGAACAGAATTCTACTAAGCATGATGATACAATATTGAGCCAAGTTGCTCCTAGTTCTTGTCTACAACAGAAATCTGTACATGGAGGAGAAGGAGGAATCTACCAGATTCAAGCAATACAAAAAACATATCAACTCATTTAACAATTCCCAACACAAGTGCCCAGCACGGGTCCCTGCCTCCTGACAGAGAGTACTCCTACCCTACCCACCCCCAGACACGCTGGATTCTGAGCATCACAGGCTCCTTCAGGAGATTGGATGAGCCTGAGGGGCTGCCTATGGAGGGTTTCTAGAACAAAATGGAGCCTAGGGTCTCCAGAGGACTCCCTTCCTGTGTTCCCAGTGCTCACTGCAAAGCCCACCCCATGTCATCTACATCAGCCTGACTTCGTGTCCACCCTCCCTGCCTGGAGAATCATTTGTGTTTGGCCAACACAGCATCCTAGGACTGGGATAGGACTCACCCGCATGTGGGCAGATCTTCTGGTTCAGGCAGAATCCTAGGCAAAAAAAAAAAAAAGAGAGGAGAGAGAAAAATAGCTTGTCTTCATGTGAATCCTTCCCTCCTTGTAACTGGGTTTGTCAGCTCAGCCTGGATTCAGAGGGTGGATGAACCTGGCTTCCCACCACCAGACCTGGGTTGTGGAGAGGCCAGGTCTTCAAGAGAGCATTTTCCATCCCAACCGTGTCCTCCTTTCCCTTCCAGGACTTACCCAGACACAGGACGGTGATGAGTTTGGGGGCCATGGTGCCACTTCTATTGGGCAGGACACAGGGGTTGAGCTAAATTGGAAAATGAACAGGATGTGGTAACCATGGTTCCAGTTTCAGTTTGCAGAGTTTAGAGGGTGCCCCACACAGGAAGATGACCAGCTCTCACCCTAAACATAGTGGGTGACACAGGAAACTTGCAGACGGTATTCTTGGTTCAACAGAGCCCCTAACAAAGGCCTGACTTGAACCCTAGCACCGACCAATCCATAATGTCTATATTTCAAATTTAATTTTTCTATGTGCAAAAGTGTAGAATTGTATCTTAATATCTTATTGCCTTTTTTGAGAACTATGCATGATTTGATTTCTGTGATGCAAGGTTCTCCGCCAAATTAAAATAGATGCACTGTCAGTGTTGTAAAACGGTTGTACAGTAAAACTGAAATGTTTATCCTGTCATTTTCAAAGTTGCAAATTAATTACTTGCAAATTAAGAACAATTTTCAAGTTCTTCAATTTTTCTCCTATGCTTCAAGAAGTTAACACCAAGAAAAACTGATTTTGCATTATTAACACAGAAGCGAGCGTGAAAATCCTGGTTCTTGATGTTTTCTCTGAAATCCTTTCTTGACTCACAGTTCAAGACACAGATCTCTATCTTTCTCTTCCAGAAAACTCTACTCTCTCTATGTGTATATTTACATACATATATAAACTCTGAATAACACAAACATATGTGCATATAACGCTGAAGGTTCTCCCCAAAAGCCAATTCATTTTATTAAAAAATTAGTAAGATTATAGCAAGAAAAAAAGCCCTGTGAAATCCACACTGAAAAAAAACAGCATATTCATAAAAATAGTATCAACTCATGCTTTGTCTCTCATCTGTCCCAGAACTTCTCAATGTATGAAAACCACACACATACAATTTTGGATCTTTTCTGTGTTATTTTTGTAAATATGTGTCTCTGATATCATAGCTATCATCTGGTAATATTTGTGTGTGTGTATGTACGTATATTTTTACGTTTTAAATATAACACAAAAGGATAGTTTGTTTTGTGTTTTTGATTGTAAAATGATACCGCTATGCTCCTAATGCTCTGCATAGCTCTTGTTTATTTAACAACAGACAGACTGCAGTAAATCGCTTGCATATTCCTCAATGTATTTGTCCTTTTGGGCAGATATGATGTATGTTTTCACCGGACATTTTGTTTTTTGGAGCAATGTTTGCCGGAGCATTCTTGCCTGAGTGTCCTGGGTTTTATGAGTGAGTTTCCCTGAGTACACACCCCAGGGTGGGACTGCAGGACATGGGGAATGTCAAGATAAAAATAAACTGACAAAAACACATGTTTTACAGAGTGATGACCCCAAAACTGCCAGCAACCGTTGTCAGATTCTGTTGTTTTTTCCACTTCTCAGAAAATACCTGATTACAGATGACAGAGGATGAACTTGATGTTAACATTTACTTAAATATATTCTACAATAGAAAAATATGTTGAATAAATGCTGTGATACAAATATCTGTACCTGTAAGCAAATGTATCACCTATGAGAAATAATTTTTACAAATCAATGGTGCCATTTATTAAACATTGTGCTATGTTTCATAAAATGTGTTATAATTGATTGACTTGGAAGTGAGATTTGCAAAGTTCAAGACCTCAGTAGTGGACAGTCACCCTGCAAGCAAACACACGGGACAAATACCCACTTAAAAATATGACGCATGCATTGGTTAAAAATGAGGAGAACTTGTTAATTGACGTTGCTAAATGTACTTCATGGTGTTTACGGGTTTCTTGCCAGGAAGACAGCTTAGCAGTGTTTACACATTGGGATGAGGCCAACAGCTTTATGAAGTAAACTGTTTTAATCCAGTGCAATTTTTATTTAGTACAAATTAAAGTTCTAAGAAGTAAGCGTACACTGGACTGTGAGAACAAGACACAGCATAAGTAATAGCAGAGGGGCCATGGCCTTTGAAGAAGGAAAATTTGAACACTGATAACTTCAAAAGTTTGGCTTTTGAAGGTGAGGGTTAAGTCCATAAAAATTTCAAAGCGTTCCATGAAATTGGAAATTTTTAATTTTATATTGAAGAATGTGATTCTGTGCTTTTTAAAGCAGTGTTGAGAAGTATAAATAATTACAGGAGTTAATTTGGGATATTGATGTGGGGCATATTTTGATTACTGAATTCAATACCTAAATTCGCAACTCTTCACTAAAACAAGCTCTACTAAATATTGAATGCCCTTGATGCATTACATGGTAATTAGTATGTCTTTAAACTATTTTCCTTCATGAATTATTTCCAGAAGGACCCACATCATCTGTAGATCTTAGGTATATCGTGCAAATTTTCCAGAAGTGCTGCCCAAACAATAAATACAAATAGTTGATGAATTAGGTAAAGAAACAAGGCTCTTGCAGGCAAGAGCCAGTGGTGAGTTTCGTGTCCATTCATGATGATTTAAAAGGTTCTATTCACTTGAGGTACATTTAAAGAAATTTCGTAGCCTAATCTCCTAACAGGCTTATGGATTCCTCTGGAAAAACATATAAAAGAGTAAATTCAGAAGGTCAGAAATAAGCCATACCTGAATTTTTCAAATATGGATCCTGGACAAATAAACTAGATCCTATCTATTCCTTGCTTGCGTTCTCTTCTTCAAAAATTCCAATTTTAAAAACATTGGGTGTTCTTGATCTGTCTTCATATGACTGTACCCTGGCTGATTATTTTTTAAATATGTATATGTTTCCATCCCTTTTTATATACTTTCTGCAAGCATGCCTCTCTCTGTTTCCAGCTACAGTTACTTTATCTTTTCTGTATTTTAATATGTTTCACTTATTTAATACATTTCTTATAAATTCACGAATTTCTTTTTATTTTTACCTCACTTTTAGCATCATTAAAATGAGGGAAATAACTCTTCTAACTTATATAACATTTCTATGTTTTGGTGTTTTAATGCATTTTATTTATTTATTTATTCATTTATTTATTTTAAGACGAAGTTTCACTCTTGTCGCCCAGGCTGGGGTGCAGTGGCATGATCTCGGCTCACTGCAACCTCTGCCTCCCAGGTTTAAGAGATTCTCCTGCCTCAGCCTACCGAATAGCTGGGATTACAGACCCCCACCACCACACCAGCTAATATTTTGTAATTTTAGTACAGATGGGGTTTCGCCATGTTGGGCAGGCTGGTCTCGAACTCCTGACCTCAGGTGATCCGCCTGCCTTGGCTTCCCAATTGCATTTTATTTTTGAAAGAAACTCGAGGTGCCTCAAATTTCTCTGGGGCTATCTCATATTTGTATCACTTTCACTTTCTGAATAGTTTCCCTTCTTATACACAAAAATTTTATTAGGGTATACTTACGCTTTGCTTTTTCTTTACAGCAACCATGACAGTTTAAAATCTGATTACTCTTCATTGTTAAGAGGAATGAGCTCCTTCCTCAATACTAACGTGAAGTAGGCAGCACCTTGAATTCTGGTCATCTCTTATCTTCAATTGGTGGAGGGAAGTCAACACATCCCAATAAACCTCCAGTTTCTTCTGCCCATTGGACAATTTCTTCTGCAGTTTTGCCATCTTGGAGCAAGGCAAAATCTGCACACAAAATAGCCTCTTCCATCGGAAGCTCTGTGAGCTATCGTCACCATGCTTACATTAGATCTCTAGAACATTTTCATCCTGCATAACCAAACTTTGTAGCCTTTGACCAACGTGTCCTCATTTCCCACACTCAAAACCCGCCTGACTATAGTGTAAAAAGACTGTATTACACACCTGAAATTTGCTAACAGGATACGTCTTACATATTCTCACCACATAAAAAAAAATGAAGACAAAAATGATAACCCTGTGAGGGGAGAGACACTTTCTTGTTAGCTCGATTGTGGTAATTATTTCACATACATCAAAACATCATATTCCACCCACCAAATATGTACAATTTGTATATGTCCATAAAGCTTGAAAGTATTTGTTACGATCATTGTCATTCTCTCCTTTTGTTTTAATAATAAAGACATTTAATGTTTCACTTCACAATAAGTTTTGAGGCAGGTAGTGCCAGTGTTGTCCCAGCAACCTAGTGACACTGGGGTTGTGGGTTGTGGGGTTCGGCGGAGGTATTCCTGGGATTCTCTAGGCCTCATATCTTTTTATAATCAATGTTATTTTGTTTATTTTAAGTTCCAGGGTACATGTCCAGGACGTGCAGGTTTGCCACATAAGTAAACTTGTGCCCTGGTGGTTTGCTGCACCTACAAACCCATCACCACACGGCCTGTGGCCCCTTGGCTTTGGATAATTTCTCCCATTTGGAATGGAAACATTCACCCAGTGCCTATATCCCCATTGTATCTTGGAAGTAGCTAACTTGTTTTTAATTTTACAGGCTTATACGGGGAAGAGACTTGCCTTGTCTTAGATGAGACTTTGGACTTGGACTTGTGAATTCATGCTGGAATGAGCTAAGACTTTGGGAACTGTTGGGAAGGCATGATTGGTTTTGAAATGTGAGAAGGTCACGAGATTTGGGAGGGGCCAGGGGCAAAATGATATGATTTGGCTATGTCCCCTCCCAAATCTCATCTCGAATTGCAGTTTCCATGTATTGGAGGGGGGCCCAGTGAGAGATGATTGGATCATGGGGGCAGATTTCTCACTTGCTGTTCTCATGATCATGAGTTCTCACAAGAGCTGGTGGTTTGAAAGTGTGACACGTCTCCCCTGGTTCTCTCTTTATCCTGCAGCCATGAGAAGAAGGTCCCCGCTTCCCCTTCAACATCCGCCATGATTGTAAGTTTCCTGAGGCCTCCCAGTCATGCTTCCTGTTAAGTCTGTGGAACTGTGAGTCAATTAAACCTCTCTTCTTCATAAATTACCCAGTCTCAGGTAGTTCTTTATGGCAGTGTAAAAATTATCTTATACACCAAGTTCTTTTTTTTTTTTGAAAGGTGTCTCGTGGCTGGATCTGGCAGCCTCCCGAGTAGCTGGGATTACAGGTTTGCACCACCATGCCCAGCTAATTTTTTGTATCATTAGTAGACACGGGGTTTCGCCATGTTGTGCAGGCTGGTGTCGAACTCCTGACCTCAGGCAATCCACCTGCCTCGGCCTCCCGAAGTGCTGTGTTTACAGGCCAATGTTCTACTACCTAGATACAAGTACCACAGGTCTTTGTGGTTTTCACTGTTAATCTGTGTCATTAAAAGTGATCACACATATCAGCTCTACTTTCTACTGTTTTGTCCATTTCAATCACTGTCAAAAGGATGGAGTTTAAAGATATATCATTACTCAGCTCTTCGTTTTGGAAGATAAGCAATTACTGCCGTTCACTTAACAATAATATAAACATGCAGAAATATCATAGTATTTTCTTTGGTATGAAGAATAGAGAAGAAATTTGTTTGTGTTCTCTAGGAACAAATTTCTGGGATGATGGCAGTGGAGTCAGCAGACACCTGGCTGAGGAGGAGTTTGGATATGAGCAGAGGCAGGAGCCATCGCATGGAAGATCTCGCGAGAGGACGGGTCTTCCGCGTGCCTTGAAGATCTCGGGAGAGGACGGGTCTCTTGAGTTGGGTGAAGATCTCGCGATAGGAGGGAATCTCATGCTAGGGGTGAAGATTTCGCGAGACGACGGGTCTCCTGCATGGGGTGATGATCTCGCGAGAGGACCTGTCTCCTACGTGGGGTGAAGATCTTGCGAGAGGACGGGTCTCCTTCCTGGGGTGAAGATCTCGGGAGAGGCCGGATCTCCCGCGCGGGGCGAAGATCTCGGGAGAGGACGGGTCTCCTGCGCAGGGTGAAGATCTCACGAGAGGATGGGTCTCCTGTGTGGGGGGAAGAGCCACACACAGAGAAGCCCAGGACCCTGTGCATAGAGCAACAGCTTTCAGATGATGAGCTTTGGTTAGAATAGTTTCCTAAAATTTGAGTCTATGGGATATTTTGCAAGTTGTGGTTGACATCGATATCATCAGACAAGTGTCCTTCGCTGACAGTACCAAAAGCCCTCTAAGTAATGTGTGAAAAGCAATTTCCTTACTCTTCACTTGCAGATTAACGGAGGCATTCATCAATGCACAGAGGCAAAACCAGTGTCCTCAGAGTATCCAGACCCTGAAAGCTGAAAGAAGGAATGAAAAACCTGCCTCTGGAAGTGGCATTGGCAAGGTATGACCACAAGGAAAGCAGCATGAGATGCTCCTTCCCTGCTTCAACCATGCTGAGACCTGACTCATTGGTGGACTAGAGAAAATCAAGGTGGGTGTTGGAAGATGGGAACACTCTAGCGATTGCGAGTGAGTAGCTGCTTCCTTGGTCCTAGAAAGCTTAGGACTGTTTTTTTGGTTTTGTTTTTGTTTTTTTTGAGACGGAGTCTCACTCTGTCCCCCAGGCTGGAGTGCAGTGGCGCGATCTTGGCTCACTGCAAGCTCCGCCTCCCGGGTTCACACCATTCTCCTGCCTCAGCCTTCTGAGTAGCTGGGACTACAGGCGCCCGCCACCGCGCCCGGCTAATTTGTGTGTGTGAGTGTGTGTGTGTGTATTTTTAGTAGAGACGGGGTTTCACAGTGTAGGACTCTTTGACATTCATGTTTCTCAGTGTTTCACCCAAATAACCCACGCTAAGGAGCAAGATCCAATATTCTCCATAGCAGAATAATTATTTTATCATAGGAATATTTACATTTGTTTTATGCCCTTATTTACATTCTCTGGATGAATACGAGAGATGTTAACAAAGAATCACTCCAGATCAAAACATCCATAATTGTATTGACCAGTATTAAACAGTGAAGAGAGAAAACACAATTCCTTGCCAAGATCAATTGATTGAGAGTCTTGTCTTCAGCTTTGGTTTCTCCAAGAATTTTCAGCACCTACCCTCCCAGAGTATCTTGTTTTCTCAACTGGACTGCTCATTTCTATCATTACTTTTGAAACAAGGTCCAAAAGGTGAACAAGATAAGAGCTACTTTCACGTAGGTCAGAGGGGTGAACGGCATCAGAGGCTTCAGAAAATCTGAGGCCGAGGGATGATAAAAGTCCAACTAAATATTTGCAATGACCTAACTAACTTAGTATCTGCCTCATGCACTTCCGTTTCTCGATTAAACCAATTACTTAAACATGAAAAATTAATGCAAAATAATGTCAAGGTTTTATTTGAAATGATTAATTAAAAACACACATCTTTAATGGGAATCTGAATGTTAGCAAGCACGGGTGAAAAGGCCTTTGTGTTGAAGCCAGCGTGGAATTCCTGAGCTGATCCATAGGAGGGCATATGCTCAGGTTACCCATCTGGGTGAATCAAGCTTCCTGTTGCTTTACGTTATTCCAGACACCCCATTCTCCCAATCCTCCAATACTTGTGAGCTCTCCATGCTGAAAACAGTGTGAAGGTCCTATTAGTTTGGACACAGGCTTCACCCTGTGTGTCTAGAATTCTTGATCCACATCCACCCATAGAATAAAGGGAGCGTTTATATCTCTGCCATGAATAGATTTCCCTGCCTGCTTCAAACCTGTCGACACAACCCAAGGGCAAGCTTTTCATTTGCAGTGATTCAATTCTCACCTGAGAAGATCTGTGAAATTGAGGCTTTGCCCAGGAGAGGTGGCTGCTTCCAGCCCTGGCCCATTGAACCCAACGCATTATGTTCATCCTTCATTTTTCCTTCTGACTGCCTGGAATAGGGACAATGACAGTGACCATGACAGGGGATGTGGGTGATGACCTCCAAAGTCTATCTCCTATCATCAAAATTCTGGCCTCACTTCTGGAGCCTCTGGAGAGGTTGACAGGCTGGCACTTCCACATGCAAACCTTTCTGTGTGTCTCCTATCTGAGCTGAAGATTCCTCATCTCTGATTCCACCTTTCCTTCACGGCAGGGCTGGAATATGTGGTATTCTCATCTGTACATAAATAGACACAATGGTTTATAACCCTTACTCGAAGCATACGTTCATTCAGATACTTCACTCCAAGTTTTAGATAAATATTATTACTTTATAAATACCCACATACACTCAGGACAGTATGTTGTCTTATTTACAGCAAAAGAAATGGATCCTTCACATTTCCCTCACCCCAGGACTTTTGCACGTGCTCTTCTCTCTATCTCAACTTCCATCCCTCTCCCCACACCTCATATCACTGTTGAGTGCAAATATCACCAGCTCCAAGATTTCTTTCCTTACCACCGTAGGCAAGTAGGCTTCTGTATTAGTTTTCATGGTTTAGTTTTAACATTTTCTTTCATAAAATTTATCATTGATGTCATTTATTTCTATTTCTCCACTTTTTCATTGTTTCTCCTCCAGTTCCCACCATGAAGACACTCTTTGTGTCTACAATATACCGTAATTGTACGAAGTGAGGAGCCCCGTACTTGGCACACATTTAGTGATTAGTAACTATACGGGGAATTACCGAATGACTCAATGAAGAATGAATAAATGAATGAATGAATGATTTGGGGCCAGGCAGTGTCTCACACCTGTAATGCCAGCACTTTGGGAGGCCAAGGTGGGCAGATCACTTGACATCACGTGTTTGAAACCAGCCTGGCCAAAACCAGCTGGTGAAACCCCATCTCTACTAAAAATACAAAAATTAGCTGGGCATGATGGCTCATGCCTGTAGTCCCAGCTGCTTGGGAGGCTGAGGCAGGAGAATCACTTGAACCCAGGAGGCAGAGGTTGCAGTGAGCCAAGATCTCACCATTGCATTCCAGCCTGGATGCCAAGAGTGAAACTCTCTCTCAAAAAAAAATTAAATTAAAAAAATACAAAAATTAGCCAGGTGTGGTGGTGCACACCTGTAGTCCCAGCTACTCGGGAGGCTGAGGCATGAGAATCACTTGAACCCAGGATGTGCAGGTTGCAGTGAGACAAGATCGCTCCACAGATCTGGGTGACAGAGCAAGACTCTGTCTCAAAAAAAAAAAAGGTGGGGGGGATGTGGAAGGATTCTTTCCTAGAACCTACAGAGTGAGCATGGCCTCCTTGACACCTTACTTGCAAACTTCTACTTCCCAGGATTATAAGTGAATTGATTTTGTGGTGTTAAGCCACGCAGATTGCAGGACTTTGTTAGGACAGCCCCAGGAAGCTAACACAGGTGGCAAAGCATTGTGGTCACAAGACTGGGTTCTGACCTCTGCCAGCCTGGGCTCATTCCAGGATCTGCGGCCTGTTTGCTCCGTGACTCTCAGCCTGCTGCACAAGCTGTGAAGCTCAACCTCCTCATCCTGTAAGCGTGGGTGATATTAGTCACTTCCTAAGGAGGCTTATGTGAAGACGTCACTATTTATTCCATTTAAAACTTCATAAAACTGCATGCCACTTTGTTAAGTAAAGATAATCCAACACAATCAACATGCTATTTTCATTCATACACATTCATACACTCAGTTACCAAGTCTGAGTCCCTGCAGTGCAGTGAACGGACTAGGTATACACAGGGTCTGTGCAGGGACACAGTCCATGTCCAGTATGACGACTGAAGCAGAGAGTGGCGAAGTGGGCTTTGGAGGCCCCCAGATCTGCAACCATCACCTCCAGGGGCACTTTCTGTCTGATGCATCTGGAATACCTGGCGTGTGTTGGGTGCATGCAGCTCTGGGATCTCGAGGTGCCTGGTATATGCTGTGTGCAATCCCCCAATTGCTTATGTCTCTGTGCAGGGCTGGCTTCACTGTCCAGGAGCCGTGCCATCAGAGTTCCAAGCTGAGTTTAATGCCCTCGTGTTGACATCTTGATGTTTGAACATGGGGCCCTCTATTTTCATTTTGCATGGGGTCCAGTGGATTATATAGTCAATGCTGCAGGTATGATCTTGCTTTAGGATTTGTCAGGCTGATCTGAGTTTGTGATCTCTGTGTGCGTCTCACCTGGGCAAAATGGACAAGGAGGAAATCCCTGAGCCAGGAAACTGAGAGCAGAGCTGAATATCCCAGAATTCAAGGGGGAAAGCAGCAGGAGAGGTTGCTGGCTTGATATACGACAGATTTTAAGTGTGCCTTTGAATACTGAATACATCATCAACTCTTCCCTCTGTGTCTGTCCATTTATAGTCCATCCATGCTTCCATCCATTCTGCCAGCATATGTCTATAAATGTCAACCTTATTTCATACAATTAACCAAGAATGAAAAATAAAGCATACGCTTCACTGACATGGATCCTGTCCTGTGAGCCCTGCTAGTCTAGGGGATGTGATAGATGTCTAGAAATAACTACAAAACAGGTAACTACGCACTATGACATTCGTATGTGGAATCATTCCTTGGCTATGGGTGATTAGAAAATAGACTGGCATAGCTCTTCTGTTGCGGAAAGGGAGTCATGAGGAAGTGATGTTTGAGGACACAGGTGAGTGGTCAGGAGGAGGCACTGAGGACACAGGTGAGAGGTCAGGAGGAGGCACTGAAGACACAGGTGAGAGGTCAGGAGGATGCACTGAGGACACAGGTGAGAGGTCAGGAGGAGGCATTAAGGACACAGGTGAGAGGTCAGGAGGAGGCATTGTCTATGTTTGCGAATCTCTCTCAATATCTGTTTCACATTCTCTGTCACTGTCTAACTTGTTTTCTCTTTAACTATCACAAGTTCTCTGTTTCTCCCCCTTTCCTTCATCCCCTCCTCTGGCCCTCTAATAAGTTACTTGGTGTTTCTATGTTCTGGTATTTTTCTTCCTCTACTGGCGGTTTGATCAACAACCACATCACCCTGGGGAGTTTCCTGGGCACCAAAAGACCACGAATGGTCCAGCCACACTCACCTGTGATCACAATGTCCAGGGGGTCATTGGGAGCCGACCACTCATAGCGGGAGTGACTGAAACAGCCACAGCACCTATAGGCTTCTGCACGGGCAGGCGTTATAGGACCCATGGAAAAGACAGCCTTGAAGGAGTGATCCCCAGCCTGGATCATCCTACCATACTGCTGGGAATGTTGTGTGTGCCCCTCTTTGTATAAGATAAATTCATCAAAGGCCAGCTCTGAGTGACAGCGCAGGCTCACGCTGGCTCTTGCGTGCACCAGGGGGCTTGGGTGCGCTGAGATGCAGGGTTTTGTGAACAAGCCTGAGAGCAGAGACAGAGGAGTTCACATGAGTCTCCTTCCTCGCCCCTCGCCTGAGACCTCAGGGTGAAGCTGTCCCTCGTCACCCCCAAAGCCCGTCTGCGTCCTTCCTGTTTGTGTGCGTGCATGTTCTCTCTGCGTGGATTCCCATTGTCTGGCTTGAAGCCATATGAAATGTGTGGTTCTCCTGGAAAATGGGAATTAGTCTGTGCTTTGAGAACTTTCAGAAAACACACTGTAGTGAGGAGGTAGAAATGAATCAGAGGTTTTGAAAGAGAAGAATGAAGAGAAGGTGCTGCTAATTATAGAACAAAGGAAGTCAGATGAAGGAAGTGTTTGGGAGGAACAAAACCACACACTCGGGCTTGGAGGGAGGCTCTGCTTTCTCTGAGGCCAGTTATCCATCTTATAAACACCTCCCCTGCCTGCTGCTTCTCCTGGGGTCATCCATCCCGAGACAGCCCCATCGGCTCCTCCAGTGAACCAAGGCAGAGACTGGAGCAACTCTCAGTTCCTCACGCTCTTCTGCTCCCCACACCGTGAACAAATCCAAACAGCTCTTTCCCCCAGTCCCTCCTCACCCACGTCCCCTGACCCATCCCCACAGTCCAAGCTTAGCTGGAGACTGAAGACATCGTGTCTCTGTCACCACATCAGCCTCCTCCCAGCCCCCTACTCCAGACCCTCACTGCTGCTGACGTCTATTAATTCTCATAGCCCCAAACTTTCCTGTTTCTGGCCCTGATCAAAATCCTTCCACAGGTCTGCATCTTCATCCAAATAAGACACAAGCCTTCCTGTTTGACATTCGTATTGCTGATGATCAGGACTGAGCTAAACTCTACAGCCCCAGAAAACACAGCTCTTCCCTACAGAGCAAACTCAGCACAGAAAACCACCTGGCCCTCCCCAGAGACACACACACACCCTGAGATATTAACACATTTGTAGGCCAGGCGCAGTGGCTCACGCCTGTAATCCCAGCACTTTGGGAGGCCAAGGTGGGTGGATCACAAGGTCAGGAGTTGGAGACCAGCCTGGCCAATATGGTGAAACCCTGTCTCTACTAAAAAAATAAATAAAGAAATACAAAAATTAGCAGGGTGTGGTGGTGGGTGACTGTAATCCCAGCTACTCGGGAGGCTGAGGCAGGAGAATCACTTGAACCCGGGAGTTGGAGGCTGCAGTGAGCCGAGATTGCGCCATTGCACTCCAACCTGGGCGACAGGGCAAGACTCTGTCTCAAATATATATATAATGACAAAAGTATTGGCAAGGAGTGGCAGGTGTATACCATAGATGTTTGGGTAGGAGAAATCCTGACTTGTTGAGAATCATCCTTTTCTACCCTATCCCCATCCCTTGTACTCTTTTCCTTTTTCTCTTCTCCGTTGATGCTTTTGGTAGTGTTTCCATTTCTGTCCAACAGCTTTGTGACTCTTCCCTTAGGCAAGAACCTATAGAGTTCCCTACAGGACTTTTCTACTCGCCGTGTCCACAATGAAAGTCAATATTGCTGCTACCCTCTCCCCAGGTCTGCAGTGCCTTTTGGGTATCCCATCCTGGAAATCAGTTTACCATTCCCACAGTCATCTTCTTATTTTATTTTATTTTTTTGAGATGGAGTCTCTCTCTATTGCAGGCTGGAGTGCAGTGGTGTGATCTCGGCTCACTGCAACCTCTGCCTCCCGGGTTCAAGCGATTTGTCTGCCTCAACCTCCTGAGTAGCTAGGGTTACAGGCACCTGCCACTATGCTTGGCTAATTTTTGTATTTTTAGTAGAGATGGAGTTTAGCCATGTTGGCCAGGCTGTTCTCGAACTCCTGACCTCAGGTGATCCACCCACCTCAGTCTCTCAAAGTGCTGGGATTACAGACGTGAGCCACTATGCCCAGCCAAATCTCCCTCTCTTTTAAAAATTTATCTGGCCAGGCACCATGGCTCACACCTGTAACCCCAGCACTTTGGGAGGCCAAGGCAGGCAGATCACGAGGTCAGGAGATCGAGACCATCCTGGCCAACATGGTGAAACCCCATCTCTACTAAAAATACAAAAATTAGCTGGGCCTTGTGGTGCATGACTGTAATCCCAGCTACTCCAGAAGCTGAGGCAGGAGAATCACTTGAACCCGGGAGGTGGAGGTTGCAGTGAGCCAAGATCACACCATGGCACTCCAGCCTGGGCGACAAAGCGAGACTTCATCTCAGAAAAAAAAACAAAAAACAAAAACAACAACAAAAAACATGATCCACGTTTAATTGCTTTCTTTCCCTGAACACTCCTGGAGGTTTCTCCTATTGCCCCAGTGCGCAGCCCTTCCATGGTCAACAATGAAAATTTTAATTTAACCTATTTGGCTCAACCCCTCACTCCAGCAATTGAGAATAATTCTCCTCCTAAATCTTTCCCCTTGTTTGAGCCTGTAGCTTCTCATAGCTACTGATGCTTCCGAATACACTGCTCTCTCATTTGAGGATGCTCTCTACTCTTTCCTTCCCCTCTTTTCCTCTCTGGATCAATTGTCTATATTTTTGGTACCATCTGAGGGGTTTTCATGGCCAAGGGGCTTTCCTTCACTCCTTAGGAAAAGATAAATTGGTATCTCTTTTGCGTTTCAGCAGCGCCTAAGCTTCTGGTAGCAGAGTCTTATCAGTGCATTGCAGATTTCTCTGTCAGAGTCTGTCAGGGGCAGGAGCTGAGTCTGACTCATTTCCACATCACCTGTTTCCTATACAGGATGTGGCACATCAGAGTCCCGAGTCCCAGGAGATGTTGCTGAGTAAATATTTGAAAAAAACAAATGCCGGCATCCGTCCAGGCTAAGTCTGTAAGCTTGAGATGGGGAGCCCAGAACTTTGGAAAGTAAATCAGGGAATATGTCAGATGTCCAAGGACCTTCAAGAAAATGTTAACAATGATTCATAAAAACAGGTATTATTACTGAGCAAAGTTTATCAGGCTCTGTGTAGCCACAAAACTATGATAATATTATCATCGTTTTTAGAGTAACATTATAGTAGTGATCACAATAGCCCACATTATTGAGTGAGTCTAACAACATGTTCAGAGTTTACTTTGCACGTCACATGCAGTAACTATGTGTTCTCCACCAAAACTCTATATAAGGTAGGTACTGGCATTGCCCTCATTTTATAAATGACAAAATTGAGTCAAGTGGGTAATTTTCCTAAATCTCATAGTTTTCAGAGACAAAGCAATGATCATATCCCAGCCTTCCTGGCTCCGGAGCCTTCCCTCCTAGCTAAACAGAGAGGCAGAATATAATAATCCCCGATCATCCGTCTTCCAAACATGCTTACAAAGCAGACAGCATTATTAGTGCCATTTTATGGAAAAGCAAAGTGAGTCTTAGACAGGTAATGTGACTCTCCCAAGCACATAAAGATAGCAAGGTCAGATTCAGGTTTTGAAAGCAGTTTGGTGTGATTTAAAGCCTGTTGTCGTTTGGCCATTACCCAATAGCTGGTATCTTGAAAGTCCGGGAAGAGATATTCTCAGCTAGATTGGAGAGAACCAACTCTTTCTGACACCCTGGATTATTCTAGTTGTCCTGATGAGTGTGGGAGCCCACATTCTGAGCTTTTTTTTTATGTATATACTTTAAGGTCTAGTGTACATGTGCACAATGTGCAGGTTTGTTACATATGTATACATGTGCCATGTTGGTGTGCTGCACCCATTAACTCGTCATTTACACTAGGTATATCTCCTAATGCTGTCCCTCCCCCTCCCCCACCCCCGACCCCACAACAGGCCATTCTACTTGCTTGCAGAATCCATGGAATGTAAGGGTTATTTTTTTTCCAAAAACATCGCCTTAACAACTGGCATCCTCTTTTTCCAATTTACCCTAATGCCTGAATATTGCCCTGAAAAAAAAGTTACTGATTAGATTTTTCCAGGAAGACTCTATTTCAGAGTCCCAAGATAGGGACTCAGCATATGCAAATGATCAACTAAGAGACGACAATGGAGAAAGCTGTGTGGCTTCCTGGACGCTGGCCATGGTGCTGAAACTACAGACAGGCGCCAGCATCCCAGTCAGTACTGTAAACAGTAACCGCAAGAACCACTCTCCTTGGACTGCATCCAGACAGGGGAAATAGGAATGGTGTCTAGATATAGGACCAGATATATTGGGAACATTTGGAATAGGAGTCAGAATTTAGCAAGAGGTGGAGAAGCTCAAGGTGTAGATGATGTTCATATGAACTATGGAATCTTGACATCTGGATAAGGCCATTTTTTTTTCTACTGTACACCATCGTGGGCAGAGAGGAAGCAAAAAGGGAATCACTCTGGCCTTGCCTTGGTAATAGAAAATAGTGTTTTGTTTTGTTTTTTTTTTTTTGAGATGGAGTCTCACTCTGTCACGCAGGCTGGAGTGCAATGGCATGATCTCGGCTCACTGCAACCTCCGCCTCCCTGGTTCAAGTGATTTTCCTGCCTCAGCCTCCTGAGTAGATGGGATTACAGGCTCACGCCACCATGCCCGGCTAATTTTTGTATTTTTAGTGAAGACAGAGTTTCACCATGTTAGTCAGGCTTGTCTCAAACTCCTAACCTTGTGATCCTCCCGCTTCAGCCTCCCAAAGTGCTGGGATTACAGGCATGAGCCACCGCGCCTGTCCGAAAATAGTGTCTTATTTCAATGCACTGTGTGTATAAATTATGAGCATGATAAGATTCTACTCATATTGGGACTTTGCTACTTGCTCTACAAATACTATATCATTACTTTTTATTGTAATAAAGTACGCAAACATAAAACTAACCATTAACTATGTAAAAGTGTACAAATCAGTGGAATTTGGTGCATTCATAATCTTCTTCAACCATCACCTCTATTTAGTTCCAAGTAATCTACAACACCTTAAAAAAAAAAAGGCCACACACTTCAGAGAAAACAGAGCCAATACTGTGTGTGTATGTGTGTGTGTGTGTGTGTGTGTGTCCCTCTCTCACTGGGAGAAGATATTCTCCGCTAGATTGGAAAAGACCAACTCTTTCTGAAACCCTGGATTACTCTAGTGGTTGTTTTGCTGAGAGTGGTTTGTGCAGACGTCGGTCGGCAGAACTTCTTGGACTTCAGAGTCTACACACACCCATTTAGGTCTTGGATGGTGGTGAATTCTCACCTAGGACCCTGATTCATCTCTCTTGTCAAGACACAGCACAAAACACGTAACTAAGGAAGGGTGGTCTCCTAGCCCCCATCCGTAATGAGTCTTCCCATCATCTCCTGTATAGTCAGGAAGTCTGCACCTCCCTCCCAAGCCACTGAGGAACTGGGGGCTTTCTGCATTTCCTTGTCTTTTTAGAGCTTCTCTTGTAGCTCTAAAGCCCTTTACATTTCAGTGGATTCTCATGCTTCTCATATCTTCTGTCTCTTAGGGCACAGTCCTTCCAGGTAGTTAAAAGCATCTGTCAGATTCCGAAATCTCCAGTCACTGCCAGCCTCATCTGAAATCCCAAGTCACCTGCTCACAGGATGGAGGAAGCGGAGGACTCTGCTCTGTCCTGGGGTTCCTGAGGCCTGCAGTGATGTTCCATGCAAAGGGCCATCCCCAAGAGGATAGGATGGACCAAGAATTAGGAACATGCAGAGAAGGGCTTGAGACTTTTTAGGGTCACAGGTGAGAGTGACTGGCAGAGGCCATGGGTACGAGAGGTCTCCCAGCAGAGCTGGGGTCCTAGGGGAAGACACTCCCTTCTGGTTCTTGGGGTCAGCAAGGTGTAGTCTGATAGAGATGGAGGACAGGTTCTCACTGTTGGCTGTGGTGTCCTCCTGGGAACAGGTGGGCTAAGCCTCTCCAAGGGCACAGACCTGTGGGTTTCCCCAGACCTCACTCTCAAGCCCAGGAGAGACCCAGCCCCAGTGGTCACATTTCTTCAAGAAGAAGAGAATGAAGCTCTTGGGTCTGTGATCCCTCCATGAAGCAAGGCCCATGAGCTTTGTGATTCTTGGTCTAAACCCTCCTCCCCAACACCTGCCCAGGCTCTACGTTCTCCCTTCAGATAGACGATCTCCTTGACCATGCTCGACTCAGGCTCCTCTGAGCTCTTTTCCAACGAGCCCTGACCTCTGGGCTTCCATGTTTATCTCTGCTTTGCCCAATTTTAGTAAGAATTGCAACTCTTTTCCAATTCTTACTTAAGAAAGAATCCTGCAGAGTCAGTTTAACTCTAGATATCTGATCACCCTTAATCAGATGGTTCACAGGTAAGAACCTTCATTCTCCATCAGCCTCAGGTGATGTCTGGCCGCCTTGGCCTGCCTTCAGCAAGAATCCTGCTGGGTCGGTTTAGCCAGGGTCTTCTTAACCCCTGAGGACTTCTCTTAGCAATTTTCCACTGACTGACCCCGCTCACCCTGCTCCAAGGCTACAAATTCCCACTTTTCCTGTTCTACTCAGAGTTGAGCCCAGTCTCTTTCCCACACTGTGCAATTCCATCACCATGGTCCCTGTACCTACAGCAATAGTCCTAAATAATGTCCTCCTTATTGTGCCTCAACAAGTGACACTGGATTTTTTTTTTCTTCAACACCCTGCCCAGCTGGTCCAACGGTCTGAGAAAGGGAAGTCCAGACACCTGGCCTCTGCTCTGGACAGAAGCCGAGAAGTGGTCTGCAGATCAGGATGCCATGACTGCCACTCTGGGCATCTCTCACACGCTCAGCGTGTCTCAGTTCCATGGTGGGAACCACTGTCCTCAGGAAAAGCTGTTTTCTTTCTGTGTGAAAGTAACCACCCGAATCCCCAAGGAAACAGGAAGAAAAGGTCGGCAACAAAATACCTATTAAAATTCTCCACATTTTGGCCAGGCACAGTGACTCTCGCCTGTAATCCTAGCACTTTGGGAGGCCAAGGTGGGGCAGATCACTTGAGGTCAGGAGTTCGAGACCAGCCTGGTCAACAGGATGAAACCCCATCTCTACTAAAAATACAAAAATTAGCCAGGTGTGGTGACACATGCCTGTAATCCCAGCTACTCTACTCAGGAGGCTGAGGCAGGAGAATCGCTTGAACCTGGGAGGTGGAGGTTGCAATGAGCCAAGATCATGTCACTGCACTCCAGCCTGGGTGACAGAGCAAGACTCCGTCTCAAAAAAAAAAAAAAAAAAACCACATGCAAAGAAACTGAAGCACAGTCCATACATAGCGCCACTGACTCCCTATCAAATGTGAAACATTTTAAGTGACGTTTCTCCACATGGAAAAGCCTGGTGGAGAGAGAAAGGGACAGGGCATGTTATCACACAAACCAAGCATTTTTCAGGAGGGTGTGCAGTGTGGGATGTGCTACAAACTGAGGGCTCATTGCGGACGTGCAACAGAAGGAGGGATGCTTCTGGTGAATTTTTAACAGAACAAGCAGTTTATAAAAGGGCCCGTAAAATATTGACCCTGTTGGGGGGGGAAGCCTGTTATATATGCATGATAAAACAGAGAAAAATAAAAATAGTCAACGTTTACCTGGCATTTTCGATGGAACAGACTCTGGTTTATTTCACTGAAGCATCATCAAAAATCCAATGAATTACATTTCTTTCCTTAGGTAGTTAATACCTGAGGAGTTAAATAGCATTGCACGCCAGTGAGGATTCCATCCGTGTATGTGTTGGTGTGGCTTCACGTGTGTGTGTGCAACAGATCAGCGTGCACTCAGTTCAACAGAAGAAATACGTCTTCTATGGAGCTGGATGCAGTGGCTCACGCCTGTAATCCCAGCACTTTGGGAGGGGAGGATCACGAGGTCAGGAGATCGAGACCATCCTGGCTAACACAGTGAAACCCTGTCTCTACTAAAGATACAAAAAAATTAGCTGGGCGTGGTGGTGGGTGCCTGTAGTCCCAGCTACTCGGGAGGCTGAGGCAGGAGAATGGTGGGAACCTGGGAGTGGAGCTTGCAGTGAGCCGAGATTGTGCCACTGCACTCCAGCCTGGGCGACAGAGCAAGACTCCGTCTCAAAAAAAAAAAAAAAGAAAAGAAAGAAAAGAAAGAAATACGTCTTCTATCATTGATGTCACTCTTCCTCATAAGCTGCCCCTGGTGAACACGCACACACTCCCTGGAGTTTAAACTCAGCCCTTCACAATCATTTTTCACTTTCTTTAGTATGATTTCCCCTTCCCACTTTCCCTCTCTCCTGAGCTCCTTCCCAGGGTAGTGCCCAATATGGAGGAAGCAGGGTTCAAAGGTGATGCTTGGGACAGTGGTTCTGTGCCCTCCTGCTGGCCTTTGGGCTTTGGGCCTGAGCTGACTGGGGTCTGTGGGGTTTGCTTACTAGATTGCCGGGGGGATCCCACTGATGTCTGTACCTGATAGCCATTTGTCCTTCCTTCCTCTCTCTGCTCCCTCAAGGCCTGGGGACCCTTCTTGTTGACTCAATGTCCACTTAGTCCCAGGGATTCAGGGACATTTGTGAGTATCTGCTGCTGCCCCATCTGGCCCAAGTGAGGCCTCCCCTCCCCTCCATGTTGGGCCCCACTGCAGCCCCCTGATGTTCACCCCCAGGACACTCCTCAGGGGAATTAGGGTGCGGTCATGATCACAGGGTGGGCCTTCCCTCTCTGCCTGGCCACACTGCACCACCGGGTGTGTTAAACGTGGCTCCTCCTCCAGGTGGGCTTGGGGGCGGTGGAGCAGGAGGTACATCCTCTCCATACAGCAGTGTCCCCAGACCCATCGCGCTGAGTCCCAGCCCCTGCATTGGGCGGGTTGGAGGATCCAGAAGAAAAGATGAGTCGCTGCCTCTGCTTTTCTGTCCTCTGCCTGGACCCATCCTCTTTCCACCAATCCCCACAAAAGAACAGTTGGGTGCTTTTGTTTAATTTCCCCTAAACCATGACTGTCCTGCTTTTCACTGTGGCCTGGCTGCCTGCACATCCTGGACTTCCTTACACTGGAGCAGGTACGGGGGTCGGCTCAGCCCTCCTGTGCTCTGCAAGGGGTAGAAAAATTCACACAGCCTCCTCTGCTAAGGTCAAGCTGCCACCCTTTGCTGAAGGCCTCATTTACCCACCTGTCCACCTCAGGGTCCAAGCCAAACAAACAAGACGTGATGGGAGAAGACACTGCGCTAATAGTTGAAAAACAACCAGAGAGAAGAAAGACAGAGATACAGAGATGCAGAGACACGCACACCACACACACACACAGAGAGAGCAGGGAGAATGTGTCCCACATAAAGAACAGAGAAAATCAGTCATCATGTAACAGAAGAAGGCAAAAATAAAGAGCACAGGTCTAGGAAACAGATCCTGGAAGGAAATTAAACTTGAGCACAAATAGAAAATTAAAGCTCGGCCGGGCGCGGTGGCTCACGCTTGTAATCCCAGCAGTTTGGGAGGCCGAGGCGGGCGGATCACGAGGTCAGGAGATTGAGAACACGTTGAAACCCCGTCTCTACTAAAAATACAAAAATTAGCCGGGCGTGGGGGCGGGCGCCTGTGGTCCCAGCTACTCGGGAGGCTGAGGCAGGAGAATGGCGTGAACCCGGGAGGCGGAGCTTGCAGTGAGCCGAGATTGCGCCACTGCACTCCAGCCTGGGTGACAGAGCGAGACTCCGTCTCAAAAAAAAAAAAAGAAAAGAAAAGAAAATTAAAGCCCAGTACAAATTAAAATTTGAGAGTATGGCAGGGCAGAAACCTCCCAGCGCGGTGAGCTGCAGCCTGTCCTGGAGTTCAGGCAGCCCCTGCCCCTGAGACCTGGCTAACCTTGGAGAGGTTGCTCCATGTCTCAGTCGATAGTTTCTCCGAGGAAAGGGGGGAAAATAATAAGGCACGCTGAGGACAGTGTGTACAAGGACTTAATGTGTCGATATTTGCATAGAACTAAATTAGCAATTGCCCCATAGAAAGAACTGGCTGAGCTCTTGTTGAAGTTTTAAAAATTATATATATCGGCCAGGCGCGGTGGCTCACGCCTGTAATCCCAGCACTCTGGGAGGCTGACGCGGGCGGATCACCTGAGGTCAGGAGTTCCAGACCAGCCTGGCCAACATAGTGGAACCCCGTCTCTACTAAAAATACAAAAATTAGCCCGACGTGGTGGCGCGTGCCTGTAGTCCCAGCTGCTCGGCAGGCTGAGGCAAGAGAATCGCTTGAACCCGGGAGGTGGAGGTTGCAGCGAGCCGAGATCCCAGGCATCTGGCGCCTTGCAGGCCGCCCGTCATCTCCTCCAACCTTCACCCTCCTCTGCACAGTGCACGCCACTACCCAATTCCCAGGTGGCTAAATGCGGTCCTGAGGGGCTCCCCCAAACCCAGGGTCCGAGCCAAGCGTCCCTCTTCCAGGAACAGCGTCCCTCCCCTCCCCCACTGCCGAGGCAGCATCTTCAATATCCTTCAAGAAAGGCAGACATTCTCTCTTGGAATGTCCTTCCCTCCTGCCTCCTCCACGGTCCAAGGTCCAGGACACCACCCGTTATTCTACACCATGACTTCCTGGGCTTGGTCTTCATAACATTTGCCACCATTTAAAATTACATATGTATTATATATGTGCAATATTACAGTTTTTATATTATTTATAGTTATATGTATCATGTATTATGCAAACGTATAATATATAACAAATATATATTAAATTATGTAATCTTGACATATACATCATAATTTAATGTATATAATGTTAATTGTATATGATTTATACTTATAATATATGTTGCATATATTCACTATAATATATAATGTATAATGTATATTACATATAAACATATAATTAAATATAAAATTTTTCTATTATAATTATAATCTATAAATAATAGATAATATATATTTATGTTTGTACCTGTTTATTAATTATAATAACACCTGAAATTTATTGTACTATATATTGTAAATAAATCTTTCATATAATATAATTATAGTGATATGTGGTGATATGTTAACATATTTTTATTATATAATTATGTTCCTTATATATGTAATACATTACGTGAACATATTTAATATAATTGAAATGATAGGTCTGAAATTCTCCATTGCGAATCGTATCTTTTTATTTGTATATGTATGTATAGGCATCTGTGCATTTCTATTGCTCATTCTAATTATTTCTCCCCATTGAAGTTCACAAGACGGGAGGCCATTTCTCCTCATTCATGGTGCATCAAATCCGGAGGCTTCAGTGCCTGGCACAGTCCCTGTGAGGACAAAATACTTCCTCAGTATTAATAGGAGCATCCCTCCTTTGGGGTTTTCTAATCAGCACTGATGTCAGCGCCGTGTGTACCTGAACTCAAGTCTGCCCTAAACGATTCTACCAGGACAGCTCTTCTATTGCCTCTGTTTCACATGAGGAATTTGGGACACAGGAGGTTTGGGTGAGTCACCGTCAGGCATAGAGCCAGGGGGTGGCAGAACCACCGGGATTTGAACCATGAACCCAGCAATCTGGCTGCAGGAGGGTCTGCCCTCGTGACCTTTATATGTCACTGCATGAAGGTGAGAGAAGAGAGAAGGAAGGAGAAGAAGAGAGGGAGAGAAACAGAGGCAAGATATTCCCGCAGACAGAAGGCTAATAAAAACCAGACACTGGACTTGAACCAGGTCTGCGGGACTCAGGAGCATGTCCCGCTGTGCCCCAGCAGCCCAGGAGCCTCTGAGGGGGTCCGGATGGAGCACGGCATCGCTCCTCCCACCTCCCCATGTGGCTTCAGCCCCTGGTCCCACCTGCCTGAGCTCACAGCCCGAGCCTCACAGGCAGTCACCGGGTCTAGGTCCAAGGACGTACTCTGGGGATAGAAACCCAGGTGGGGAAGGGGCCGCGAATGGCTTATGACCCCGTGTCCTCCCCTGGCAGTTTCTGGTCACAGATCACAGGCGGAGATGGACAACTTGAGACCCAGGGACTTGGGGCAGCTTCACTCCCATCACACAGAGTCCAGGGGCAGAGCCAGAGGCAGCTTCTCTCCCATCACAGAGTCCAGGGCAGAGCCAGATGGAAGGGAAGCCTCATGGCTTCATCCTGGTCACCGTTCACAGCTACGTCCCCTCCCTGTGGAGCCCTCCTCCTCTTAAGGGACCTTACTCCACCGTTCAGGCCTCCCCCGGAGATCACAGAGCCAACAGGAGCAGCCCCGTCCCTCTCCGGGTGTCCCAGGTTGGAAGGTGAGTTCTAAGTCCCTCCATCAGGTGCAGAGCGGGGTGAATGGTGAGGCCACGCCCACAAGGGGGCAGCGTGGAGCTCGGGCGAGCCCGGAAGTCTGGGGTGGGGCTGCCCGGGTGGGTGGCCCCTGCCCCTTCATGGCCTTGTGCCGTTAAGCACGAAACTTTAATTTATGTTTTGCATATTAGAGAGGAGGAGGAGTTAGAGGATCAGACTAGTACCTCCCCCATTAAGTGGTGCTTGCATTAAGTGCTTTCCACAGTTCCTGGCATGGAACAAGGTTGCAATCACGGTACCATTGCTGCTATGGTCTCTGTGAGCATTAGCGACCTCCCAGAGCTTGGTGGGTGTCGGTGCCTTCCCGTGGCCTCCCTAGACCTTGACTCCAAGCCCAGGGCAGAGGGCTGGACCCGGAACAGCATCCGCAGCACAGATTCCCCTGTAATCCCCTCCAGCTGAGGGCCCTGCTACTGACCAGCTGAGGAGCCGGGCTCTGTGTCCGGGGAGTCCGGGCCTCCAGAGCTTTCTGTAAACAGGGGCAGGAGAAGGATTTAGAACCCGTCCCAACCAACCTGCCCTCCTCCACCCTGAGCCCCCATCCAAAGGCCGCATGACCATCACGCAATCCCAGACAATGTCTCGAGACTCCTGAGAAAACGGGGCAGGGGACAGGAGGCTGGGGAGAGCCCCGCTGCTTGCCCCATTCTCCCTGGGGCTGGTCACTCCCTCTGCTCCTCCCACCACAAGCTCTTCTTGACCTCAGGGGACTGCTGAGGTCCTGGGGGGACATGAAGATGGGTTGGATCCTCTCCAGTGGACTTTGACTCCAGGACATCTCGGGCTGAGCACACACAGGAGTGCATGTGGTCACATACCAAAGGTTTTCCCAAAGCACTGTCCCGCCCTGGTCAGGGGCCATCCCTGGACCCTGTGTTCTGCCCAGTGGGAGATGAACCACACCAGGAGAAGCACATTGCCTGGGGCAGGTTCTGGCTCAGTGGAAAGGAATAACAAATGGGACCATCAATCCTGTGTGAAAAGACACTCATCCCCTTGTAGGGGGGTTGCCCCCTAATCTCTGGGAACCCACTCCCCACCCAGCCAAGCAGAGCCAGCTCTGAGCCAACCCAATGCTGGGACTGAGTGTCCACGCCATCTGTGGCATCCAGAGGAGATCAGGGCTCCAGGGACCTAAGCAGGTGTGAGGGCAGAGGGGAGGTGTGTGCAGAGGAAGAAGGGGAGGGCTTGGGGTCAGGAAGAGGGCAACGGTGGCCACAGAGAGAGGACAGCAGCCGGGACAGGGTCCAGGGACCTCGGGACAAGCTCGAGGGTTGAGCTGAGACTGGGGCAGGGCCCAGGTGACGTCCTTACCTTTCACCAGCAGCTCCAGGAAGTCACTGTGCTCAGACCATCCAGGGGGCTTATAATAGAGGCAGCGATAAAGCCCGGCATTTCCTTCACTTACTGAGTCAATGTGGAATCTGGCCTCTGACTCAGATGGACCAAGTCGAAACACATTATAACTATCTTTGTACTTGGCTCTATCCTCCCTCTCCAGGCGGAATGTTTGAACCCCAACCGGGCCCCGGCACATGAAAGTCACATGGCTCCCCGGGGAGATCACAGTGCCTGGCTCAGCCGAGATGGAGGGTCTGGGAAGGGCCCCTAAGAGGGAAGCAAAGAAGGATCTCAGCGTCCACTGTAGGAAGTCACCATGCCACACACGTCATTTTAGGATCACAATTCAGGGATTTTAGCAATTTTATAGAGTTATGCAGCCACGACCACAGCCCAACCTTAGAACATTCCCACGCCTCCTGCACCTTCTACGTGCATGTGATTCTCATCACTGCAGAGTTTTTTCCCAGTTGACAGTGAGGACCCTGAGACTTGCTCACAACTTGGGCCTTGCTCAGGGTCACGTGGGAAGTGTCGGAGCAGCCTGGAGCCCTTCATGCCTGCTGCAGAGCCCAGGGCCACTTTCTAGAGGGACAGAGGGTGGGAGGGAGGCACACGATGGGGATGACAGGGTCATTCGTGAAGGACAAGGGACAGGGAAGCGAGGGCTCTGGAGATGGCTCGTGCTGGGGCCTGAAGGGCACTGGCCGGTCCCCGGGTGGGACTGAGTGTGGGACGGGGGTTGCCAGGCTCCTTTGAGGGTCTGGTGGGGTGAGGGTGAAGCCCCCAGCCCTGATCTGCTCACAGCAGATGCCCAGCCCGTGACAGGTCCCCATTGCTAATGCAGATCTCTGTGGAGACACCACCTCTGGGTTTTCCTCATAGTTTCTACTTTCTTCTCAGCTTAATTTGCATTTCCTTGTTATTAAGGCTCTTGAAAAACCCCATTTATCTCAACTGGGCTTGGGGTGGAGGAGGAAGGGCGGGTTTGACGCCCTGAAACAGGAAGGTTGTGTCAAAATTAGCAAAATCCCTGAGCGGGGCAGAGAGCTGGCAGGGCTTCAATTCACTCGTCCCGTCTTCATTCATTCCTTATTATTGACAAATTAAAACTGCATGTATTTAAGGTGTACAACATGATGTTTTGATACAGGTATACACTGTGGAATCGCTGAATCAAGCTAATTAATATAACCTCACTTTGCGTAGTTAATTGTTGTGGTGAGAACATTTAAAATCTGCCCTCTTAGCGATTTTCAAGCGTATGATATATTGTGATTAACTCTAGTCATTATGTTACACAATCCTGAACTTACTCTCCCTGTCTAGACGAAATTTTCTATCCTTTGACCAGCATCTCCCCAAACCCACCCATTTGTTCATTTTTCTTTCTTTTAACCATATCTCAGTTACTTATCAATCTGTTTAAAGACGCTTTTCATGAGCTGCTAATTCCGCAAATGTGAGAAACACATACAGGATGCCTGCCCTTTGGAGGTGGACGTCTAGAAGGGAGGACAGATATTGATCGAAGAATTGTCCAAATCTGCAGCTGCGAACTGCAATAAGTTTCCTGTGGGTAAGTGTGCAGGGATCTAGGGGACAGGTGGGCGGTGGAGCTGACCTCCTCTGCAAAGTCAGGGGAAGCTCTCTCTGAGCTGAGAGCTGAGGGAGGAGTAGAAACTCCCTGAGCTGAGCAGACAGGGGACACCAGGGCACTCAAAGTGGGAAAATTCCTCAAAGGAAACAAGGTTTTAGTTAGAGAGGAGAAATCAATTGAAGAATCATCATGTACAACACGGTGACTACAGTTAATAACAATGTATTACATTATTGGACATTGCTAATCCAGGTGATTCTAAGCATTCTCACCACAAAAAAATGATTCGCACAGGAGGAATGCCTACGTTGCCTAGCTCGATGTAGCCATTCCTCGCTGTGTGCAGAGTCCACAACATCATATTGGACATGACAAATACATGCAATTTTCATCGGTCAATTTTAAACTGAATTAATTAACTTTTAAAAATCAGACCAGGTGCGGTGTCTCACACCTGTAATCCCAGTACTTTGGGAGGCCGAGGTGGGCGGCTCACCTGAGGTCAGGAGTTCGAGACCAGCCTGATCAACATGGTGAATCCCCGTCTCTACTAAAAATACAAAAACATCAGCCAGGCATGGTGGCAGGCACCTGTAATCCTAGCTACCTGGGAGGTTGAGGCAGGGAGAATTGCTTCAACCAGGGAGGCAGAGGTTGCAGTAAGCCAAGACCGAGCCATTGCACTCCAGCCTGGGCAACAAGAATGAAACACCATCTCAAAAAAAAAAAAAAAAATCAGCATGTGAGAAGAACCACCATGTTGAGCGGCATATGGAGTGTTTGAGAAAGCGAAAGAACCTGGAGGAATGTAGAGATGAGTGAGCCCCAGGTCACAGGGACAGGATGTGGCTGGGAAAATGGGCATGTCCAGAACAAAGAGAGGTGCCTGGGTTGATTCTATCTGAAGATAAACAGGGGAAGGGCTCTAAGAAAAAAACTTCATCTTACGATGAGATATTAAATGAAAATTTTTGAATGCAATTTAAAAACTGTGGAAAGTACAATGGTCATGGTTGTGCTTTTGCAAATCGCCAGTCCCTGGGGTCAGGAAGGGAGCAGGCAGCAGTGGCATGGACAGGCTGAGGCCGGCCTCGGGGAGCCACGGAGGGGAGAAGGGCTGTCACCTGGGGGTGATGCAGGAAAAGTCGATGAAGAGAGAGGGAAAGATGAGAAAAATTTAGAGTGAAATCACCAGGACTGGGTGACATGGTGCATCCAGGAGGATGGAGAAGAGGATGAGTGTTCAGAGTCTGCCCTTTGTGACTGTCACGTTCCCCGCCAAGAAGCTGCCGAGTGAAGTGTGGGCTCGTCTGGGGAAAAGTGCCGGGTTCAGCCTTGGTTGTGTTGGGTTTGAATTCTCATTGTGGAAATCGGTGTGTGGAGGTGATGCCTGCACTCCCAGGGTGACCGCAGCGCTACTCACAGCTGCCAAGACCTGGAAATAACCTGAGTTATATAACCACCACCAAATGAATGGATGAGGAGAATGTGGTGTGTATATGCAATGGAATATTATTCAGCCCTAAAAAAGGAAGGACATTCTGTCATTCACAACAGCATGGATGAACCAGAGGACATTATGCTAAGTGAAATAAGCTGGGTACAGAAAGACAAATACCGCATGTGGAATCTAAAAAAGTTCATCTCGGCCGGGTGCAGTGGCTCATACCTGTAATCCCAGCACTTTGTGTGGCCGAGGTGGGTGGATCACCTGAGGTCAGGAGTTCAAGACCAGCCTGGCCAACATGGTGAAACCCCATCTCTACTAAAAACACAAAAATTAGCTGGGCGTGGTGGCATGCACCTGTAATCCCAGCTACTCGAGAGGCTGAGGCAGGAGAATCGCTTGAACTTGAGAAGTTGAGTTTGCGGTGAACCGAGATTGTGCCATTGCACTCCAGCCTGGGTGACAGAGTGAGACTCCATCCCAAAACAAACAAACAAACAAAAAAGGTCATCTCACAGAGTTAGAGATTAGAATGATGCTATTAAAGTCGGGAAATGGGGGGCTTGGGAGAGACACTGATCAAATGGTACAAAGTTTCGGTTAAACAGGAGGAGTAAGTTTTTGAGATCTATTGCATAGCAGGCTGACTATAGTTAATAATAACTTATTATATATTTCAAAATTGCTAAAAGTAGGTTTTAAATGTTCTCATCACAATAAGTATGTGATGTGATTGATATGTTATTTAGCCTTATTTAATCTTTCCACAATGTTTACATACGTTGTAACATCACATCGTGCCCCACAAACATATACAATTATTTGTCGATTAAAAATAAGATTTTTGGCTGGGCACAGTGGCTCATGCCTGTAATCCCAGCACTGTGGGAGGCTGAGGCGGGCGGATCATAAGGTAAGGAGTTCGAGACCAGCCTGGCCAATATGGTGAAACCCCATCTCTTCTAAAAATACAAAAAAAAAAAAATTAGCCAGGGGTGGTGGTGGGTGCCTGTAATCCCAGCTACTCAGGAGGCCGAGGCAGGAGAATCGCTTGAAACTGGGAGCAGAGGTTGCAGTGAGCCGAGATTATGCCACTGCATTCTAGCCTGGGTGATGGAGTGAGACTCCATCTCAAAAATAAAAATAAAATAAAATATAGGATTTTTGAAAATAAGAAAAGCAAAACATGACAGGTGGAGAATGAAGGAGAGAAAGGGGTGAGGGTTATGCATTTTACATTTGGAATAGTTTGCAATCTAGGGTATATTTAAAGGGATCTCTCCAGGCCCTCTAAGAATCAACATCACTCCCACCCAGCACTGCCTTTGGGGTGACAGAGGGGACTGGGAAGACGGGACGAAGGCATGACTTACCCTCCTGCGTGTGGATGGTCTGGGCCAGGCAGAGCACTGGAAGAGAAGCCCCAGTGAGAAAAATGCCCACTGCCCAGTCTCCTTACAGGGCTGCTGTCAAAAGGGGGCTTGACGGAGCTGGGGGGCATTCAGCATTTCATAACGACCAAGCCAACCCTCCTCGACATCACTGTCTCCATGTAATCCTTCTTGCTGCAAAATGGTTTCAAGATAAATCCCAAAGTCTCCTCTTCCAAAAAGGCTCCTGCTCCCCCAGCCCTTCTTTTTGGTGTTGTTGTTGGAGACGGAGTTTTGTTCTTGTCGCCCACGCTAGAGTGCAGTGGCGCGATCTTAGCTCACTGCAACCTCCACCTCCCGGGTTCAAGCAATTCTCCTGCCTCAGCCTCCCGAGTAGCTGGGATTACAGGTGCCCGCCACCATGCCCGGCTAATTTTTGTATTAGTAGAGATGGAGTTTCACCACGTTGGCCAGGCTGGTCTCAAACTCCTGACCTCAGGTGATCCACCTGCCTCAGCCTCCCAAAGTGCTAGGATTACAGGTGTGAGCACCGCGCCTGGCCCCCCAGCCCTTCTTAAAGCTGACCTCATCCCCACACCCGGGCCCCTGTTTTTAGGACAAGGTTGTCTCTGATCAGACTTAGGCCCCAGGGAGAGCAGTAGGGCAGTCTTGGGGGGAGGAGGACACTTTCCTCCCCAGAATCTTCTGGACTAGAGTCAGGCTTGAGCAGGGAACTTTCCAGACCTCCCGACCCCCTTTCCAGTCCTTCCCGCTCCCTCCAGGACTCACCTAGGCCCAGGAGAGCAGTGAGGTGTGGAGACATGGCCCCGGTCCCAGAACTCTGCAGCAGACACAAGCAGACAGGATGTGCTGGCCGGGGGCCTCCTGCCCGTGGGGTTTCCACAGCAACTGCCTCACACAAGAGGGAGAGCTTTCTGTTCTGTTCTTTCCACCCTTCCCACTAGTGAGATGAGAGGGAGGGCCTTGGTTTCTGAAAAATGTCGCTTACCCGCATGATCAGATGACCTTAAACTAGTTACCCGATGTGTCAGCCTCTTTCTAAATCTATGGGACAAGACAGAATAAAGGTCGTGCAACCAACTGACTTGGATGTCATCCCAACTCCACACGTTAACGACCACCGCTCTTGGGCAAGATGTTACAAAACTAGAAGTCGACATGTCCTCGTATTTAAAATAAGAGTCATAGAAATCCTTCCCCAAGTTTTTAATATTGTGATCTCTGCTAAAATCTCAGCAAGGTATATAATGCATTGAAAAAGATCCTACAGTGCGCCGGGCGCGGTGGCTCACGCCTGTGATCCCAGCACTTTGGGAGGCTGAAAAATTGTGCACTCACTATAGAGAACAGTGGGGAGGTTCCTCAAAAAACTAAACATAGAGCTACCGTATGGTCCAACAATGCCACTTCTGGGTCTATATTTAAAAGAAACAAATTCAGTATGCAAAGAGCCGTCTGAACTCCCCTGATCACTGCAGCACTATTCGCAATAGCTAAGACGTGAAAATCATCTAAATGTCCATTGATAGAAGAATTGATATAGAAAATGTGGTGCACACACAGGGGAATACTATTCAGCCTTAAACAAGGAAGAAAATTCTGCCATGGGCGACAACACAGACGAAACCTGAGGACATCACGCCAAGCGACGCAGATGCAGAGACCAAGTACTGCATGATGTCACTTACAGGAGATCTGCAAAGTCACCAGAGTCACAACATCACAGCAGGGAATGGTGGTTACGGGGGCTGGGAGGAGGGGGAAATGGGGAGTTATTAACAAACAGGCCTAGAGATCTGCTGCACCACATACAACCCATCGTCAGCAATAACGTCTTGTTCACTTGAAATTTGTTAAGAGGACAGAGCTCATGTTAAGTGTTCTAACAATGATACATAATAATAAATATTATATATAAATAATTATAATTATTACATCTAATAATAATATAATTAATATAATATTATTAGTTAAAATTGTTTATCTATTTTATACAGTCATTACATATATAATTGTTTATATATAATAATACAGCAAATACTATATATATGCAAGTTTATATATAATTGTTAATATATATAAACTATTATAATTATACATATACAATTAACAATTTGTGTGTGTGTGTGTGTGTGTGTGTATGTGTGTGTGGAGATGGAGTCGTACTCTGTTGCCCAGGCTGGAGTGCAGTGGTGCAATCTTGGCTCACTGCAACCTCCGCCTCCCAGGCTCAAGCAATTCTCTTGCCTCAGCCTGCTGAGTAGCCGGGACTACAGGCGCACGCCACCATGCCCGGCTAATTTTTGTATTTTAGTAGAGACGGGGTTTCACCATGTTGGCCAGGCTGGTCTTGAACTCCTGACCTCATGTGATCTGCCCGTCTCAGCCTCCCAAAGTGCTGTGATTACAGGTGTGAGCCACCGCGCCCGGCCCCATTAACAATGTTGTAATTATATATATTATGTATAATACACACACACATTCACACACACACACACACACACACACACACACACACACACACACTCTACTAGCATAAGTTCTCTTCCCCTCCTCCTACGGTGTCATTTGGCTCCAGGTGGGAGTGAGGTGGTCCAACAGCACATGCAAAATCCCGAAGGGGTTGAAGGGTCAGGAGACAGTGCTTAGAACCTCGCGTTGAGGTCTGGGGTCAGATGGGCACTCAGCCGGGTGTGGAATGAGGAGCAGGACCAGGACCAGCAGTGCATTTCGGCATCACGGAGCTGAGGGGGACAGAGCCCACCCTATCATGGATTCTCATCTCCGCTGCTCCTGAGGACACTGGGGAGCTTGTCTCCAGGTGTAACCGTCGCAGGCATTGACGAGGGTCTACACCGCAGCCGTTGCTCACTTCTTCCTTACTGACCAAAAGCCAGTTCTGTTTGAGTGGTTGTGCTCCAAGCCCAGGGAGCAAGTGGGAGGGAAATGGAGTTTAGATTAAGGCGATTTTAGCAATCCCATTTTCAGGGTTTTCAGGGCGTATGACCAGATATGACCAATAATAATAAAGCAGAACAGAGCAATGTTCCTGGGAATCATATTTATCTCTTACTAACAGAGGGTTTCAAAAAAGAAAAAAAAAACCACCCTAGGCGACACAGTGAGACTCTGTCTCAAAAATAAAAAGAAAGTTTTTTGCATCAGAATAGTCCAAACATTTCAAAAACATTGAAACATTCCATCATAATCACTGCATTGCAGACTAGTCCTCCTCCCGAGACATGGTGGCTGTAATGATCTCAAGCTGGGATCTCATGGACGGACAGGGGAACTCAAGCTAAACCCTGGCCCTCAAAGAGTTCTGCGCAATGCAGTCCCAGGTATGTTCTTCCAATCTAATCCAACTTTCTGTGAATATGTTAGACTAAGTCCATAAGACAGCAATCCATCCAAAAAATAACAATAAACCAATTAAAACTGCTTAATATAATATATTAAAGACTTTTTTAGGCCAGGCGAGGTGGTTCACGCCTGTAATCCCAGCACTTTGGGAGGCTGAGGTGGGCGGATCACGAGGCAAGGAGATCGAGACCATCCTGGCTAACACGGTGAAACCCCGTCCCTACTAAAAATACAAAAAAATTTAGCCGGGCGTGGTGGCGGGCGCCTGTAGTCCCAGCTACTCGGGAGGCTGAGGCGAGAGAATGGTGGGAACCCGGGAGGCGGAGGTTGCAGTGAGCCGAGATCATGCCACTGCACTCCAGCCTGGGCGACAGAGCTAGACTCCATCTCAAAATATATATATATATTTTTTTAATTTTTTTAATGCCTAAGAGATATAAAAACTAAGTGAAGGCTATTCAGTCAAAAGTTAAAGAAAGATGGAGTCCCCAGCCTCAAGCTGAATACTGAACCTGGTGCTCACCTTGATGATGATGAATTAACTGAGCTTTATTTTCATGGTTTTGTAAATCATGAGGACAAGGATAAAGTGCAGGGGTACAGAACAGATTCCAAAAGCTTCCGCCTCATCATAAGAATGATTTCAAATCACTCACCAACTTCTCGTGGTTGCAAGGAATACTACATTTGTTTTGAAACTTAGCATTGAACACGAGGCCAAAACACAGCGGCTCCTGAGAATGACCTTCCTGCTTCTGACTCTTCTTTCATGTGTAGAATGGTTTCTATGTATTAGATTCTCCTCCCTGCCTCTTTTCACTTTAGGTCTTCATTAGCGATTTTTAATCAGCTTTATCAAGGAATCCTTGGCAGACAAACTGCCTTCTTTGAATCTGTGCCATTCAGTGAATTCTGACAGCTGTGAAACCACCAACATATCCAAGATTTTCCTCACTACTCAGATGATTCCTCCTGCTGACAGAATCAACATCAAAGGTCACAGAACACATGGGCAGTTATTCTGGGTTTTTCCATAAAAGGGGTGATACAGAGCTGTCGTCGTTCCATATTCTCAAAGGGCCCCTCCACCTTTGCATTCCTCTAAGACTTCAATCCCAGCTGGAGAAGGTCTATGTCCAAGGCATGCTACAGATTCAGCACAGCACAGCTTACTCATTCAAAAACATTACTTGGACGGGGCTCAGTGGCTCACACCTGTAATCCCAGCACTTCGGGAGGCCAAGGTGGGCGGATCACGAGGTCAGGAGTTCAAGACCAGCCTGGCCAACATGGTGAAACCCCCTATCTACTAAAAATACAAAAATTACCCGGGCTTGGTGGCGGGCACCTATAATCTCAGCTACTCAGGAGGCTGAGGCAGGAGAATGGCTTGAACCCAGGAGACGGAGCTTGCAGTGAGCCGAGATCATGCCACTGCACTCCAGCCTGGACAACAGAGCGAGACTCCATCTTAAAAAAAAAAAAAGAAAAAAAAGTTACTTGGTGTGGGATGCACAGGCATAGAGTAATGATTCTCACACTAGACTCAGATACATACACAATATTTGCAACTTAAATTAAACACCAATTAAATGTCAAGTGGAAAGACAACATCTACATAAATAAAATGACATAAGATGCAACGTGAAATGTCATTAAAAGAAGAGTTTGCATTAGAATAGTTCAAATATTTCAAAACTATTCCAGCACGTCACTGCATTGCTGACCTATCTTCCTCCTGAGATGTGGTCGCCGTAATGATCTCAAGCTTGGACCTCGTGGACAGACTGGGGAACTCAAGCAAAACCCCGGTCCTCACAGTTCTGCACGTTGCAATCCTGTGTCGTTCCGTCCAATCTAATCCAATCTCAAGGACCCCAGTTCCTGAGCAACCCTGGCTTGGCTCGGCCAAAGGGAAGCGTCTACAGAATCTGAGTCTAGAATGCCTGGAGGTCTGTACTTCTTGCTGTTTTCAGGAGATTCAACTGCAAAGCCCTCCCCAAGTCATCCACATTGGCTCACGTTTCTGTGCCCCACCCTTCCTGCCTGGGAGGACCCTTCTTGTTCAGCCAAAAAAGCAACCTGAGGGTGGGGTGGTAGCAGGGACTCACCCATTTCTCTTTCCATCTTCTGGCCCGGATGCAACCCTGGAAGGAAGACCTCAGGACGATGATCATCTTCATAGGATTCCCGACCTGTGCCTGGCTTTGTCCTGAATATTAGCCTTGGCAGCCTGGCCTGGGCTCCGATGGTGGATGAACTTGGCTTTCCACGGGCTGCCACCTCCAGCCTGCGCTGTGGAGAGACCAGGTCCTCGGAACAGTATTTTAACCTTGTCCTCCTTTCCCTTCCAGGGTTTACCAAGACATAGCGGGTGTCATAGATGTGAAAAAGCTTCTGCTATACCAGGGTCAGGAACAGAGCAAAACTGAAAACCGCACAGGATGTGGTCTGCCAGGTGCCAGCATCACAGCTCAAATCCTTAAGAAGCTCCAACCGCAGGCATGGAAATAAACAGCTTCTCCCTGCCCTGTATACGTCTCCGATTTTACCCAGGATGGGCTGAGGAAGCAACACAGATTCCCAAATGTTACTTTTTTATTTTGCTTGAGAGCCAAGGCAATATTAGACAAGCCTTACTCCCTAATTAGTGCCTGACAAGAACCATATCTCTGTCCCAATCCTTCTATTCAAAGTAGGCACAATTTGCTTTTACCAAATGTAAAACTCATGTCAAAGCCATGCTGTGAGTATTTACACCAGAGAAATCGGCAAATGCTACACGTCGGGGTTGTTTTTTGTTTTTCTTTTTGCTTTTTTTTTCAGAGAGCTGATTGTCAAGACTTTACCAGCACACTGCTGGTAAATTTCCAAAGGCCAATTTAAAGAAATTTTTTTAACAGAACATGTAAAAAAAAAAATCAACGTGAAGTCAACATGCTCCAGGGAAATCAGAGGCTTGATGAAGCATGACTATCTCTGTAGTGTATACTCCAGCCTGTTTCCCCCTCCTACCTCAGGTACCGTAACCAGCATCTGAAGTCTTATATTCAAATTTCCCTTGCATGGCCAGGCACGGTGGCTCAAGCCTGTAATCCCGGCACTTTGGGAGGCCGAAGTGGGCGGATCACAAGGTCAGGAGATCAAGACCACCCTGGCTAACACAGTGAAACCCCATCTCTACTAAAAATACAGAAAATTAGCTGGGTGTGGTGGCGGGCGCCTGTAGTAACAACTACTCGGGAGGCTGAGGCAGGAGAATGGCATGAACCCAGGAGGTGGAGGTTGCAGTGAGCCGAGATTGCGCCATTGCACTCCAGTCTGGGCGACAGAGTGAGACTCTGTCTCAAAAAAAACAAATTTCCCTTGCACTTTTGTATATACAGTGTTATCTCATCGATGTATCAGTTTGGCATGTGTGTGTATATATATGTAGGCTGTCATCTTTAAGATTTATTTATTTATTCATTCATTCATTTATTTGAGACAGGGTCTCGCTCCGTCACCCAGGCTGGAGTGCATTAGCACAATCTCAGCTCACTGCAGCCTCCACTTCCTGGGGTCCAGAGATCCTCCCACCTCAGCCTCCTGAGTAGCTGGGACCACAAGCACACACCACCACGCTCCGCAAGTTGTTGTTTTGTTTTGTTTTGTTTTGTTTTGTTTTGTTTTGTTTGATAGAGATGGGGTTTTGTCTTGTTGCCCAGGCTGGTCTCAAACTCCTGAGCTCAAGCTCACCCACTTTGTCCTCCCAAAGTGCTAGGATTACAGGCGTGAGCCAACACACTTGAGCCATGCTGTCATTTTGTTGTTGTTGTTGCTGTTGTTGAGACAGACTCTCACTCTGTCACCCAGGCTAGAGGGCAGTGGCACCATCTCGACTCACTGCAACCTCTGCCTCCACAGTTCAAGTGATTCTCCTGCTTCAGCCTCCTGAATAGCTGGGATAACAGGCACCCACTACCACACCCAGCCAATTTTTGTATTTCTAGCAGAGACGGGGTTTCGCCATGTTGACCAGGCTGGTCTCGAACTCCTGACCTCAGGTGATTCACCTGCCTTGGCCTCCCAAAGTGCTGGGATTACAGGCGCTCAATTTTAATTTTAGTGCAAAGTATAGTTTTCAAAACACTGTTTGCAATGTCATCAAATACAGAATGAGCATGCATCAATGTTTCCTTAATTCATTAATGATGAAATCATCATTCAAAATTCCTATCTTTACCCAAATATTTAGCTTCTTCTGTTGCTCTTCATTTGTTCCTGCGTTTCTCCATTTCCACTGGGATGATTTCCTCTTGCCCAAGCCTTTTATTCTGGCAACCAATGAACTTTACACTCTTTCTATAGTTTTGCATCTTCCAGAATGTCACATATTTGGAATCAGACAGTGGATACGCCATTTGGGCAGGCTTATTTCGTGTAGTGATATACGTTGAACTCTCCTCCACGTCTTTTCATGACTTGAGAGCTTGTATCTTCTTAGCATGGGATAATATTCCATTGTCTCGACACATAGTTAATCCACTCACTTACTGAAGGGCATCTTGGTTGCTTCCAAGTTTGGGCAATTATGAATAAAGCTACTGTAAAGATTCATATGCAGACTTTATGTGAACATACATTTCAAACTTCCTTGGGTAAATACCAAGGAATGCAATTGCTGGATTACATGGCAAAGCTACATTTAGTTTTAGAAGAAATTGCCGCACTGTCTCCCAAAGTGACTGTACCATTTGGCAATCCCACCAGCAATGAATGAGAGTTCCTGTTGCTCCACATCCTCACCAGTATGCCAGTATGTGGTATTGTCCATGTTTTAGAATTTGGCCACTCTAATAGGTGTGTCGTGGTAACTTGGTTCCTAAGATACTGATAGAGGTGCAGAACACCAGCTGGGAAGTCAGCCAGAATGAGCTTCTCCTGTGACTTCCTGTCCCACAGCCTCAGAGACCTCGGACAAGCCACTTCACCTATAAACTTCTCTCTTCTTTTTTTTTGAGACAGAGTCTCGCTCTTGTCACCCAGGCTAGAGTGCAATGGCACCATCTCAGCTCACTGCAACCTCTGCCTCCCAGGTTCAAGCGATTCTTCTGCCTCAGCCTCCCGAGTAGCTGGGATTACAGGCACACGCCACCACGACCAGCTAATTTTTCTATTTTTAGTAGAGACGGGGTTTCCCCACGTCGGCCACGCTAGTCTTGAATTCCTGACCTCAGGTGATCCACCCACCTCAACCTCCCAAAATGCTGGGATGACAGGCGTGAGCCACCCCACTCGGCTACTTCCCTTATAAATTTTTCTAAGTATAAATGTGTGAATTTTCTTTCTTCAGAAGCCGATCAACCAATATTTATCAATTGCTTATTATCTGCTTGGTGTTTGAGATTCAGGAGTGAACAAAACAGATGCAGCCCCTGCCCTCAACAGAGCTTGAGTCTAATGATGATAGGGACAGGATCAAAGAGCAAATCACAAATTGTTTAGCTACTATTGTGAGATAAGAGTTAGGGTGACACTAACCACCGTTATAAGTAAGTCTTAAAATACTGGCCGGGCGCGGTGGTTCACGCCTGTAATCCCAGCACTTTGGGAGGCCGAGGCGGGTGGATCACGAGGTCAGGAGATCGAGACCATCCTGGCTAACACAGTGAAACCCCATCTCTACTAAAAATGCAAAAAATTAGCCAGGCGTGATAGTGGGTGCCTGTAGTCCCAGCTACTCAGGAGGCTGAGGCAGGAGAATCGCTTGAACCTGGGAGGCAGAGCTTGCAGTGAGCTGAGATCTCGCCACTGCACTCCAGCCTGGGCGACAGTGCGAGACTCCATCTCAAAAAAGAAAAAATACCGATGGCTTAACACAGTGAGGTTTGGCATCTCACTCATGTAAATGACCAATGAGGGTTTCTCTGGGCAGAATTTGAATTTTCTCCCCAGGATGACTCAGGGACATCCGCTTCTTCCATTGTGCTCACATCATCCCCTTGGGCAATGGCATCCCATACTTCAAACAGAAAGAGGAGACACAGAAAATATTTGTAAACTTGCAAAATTGATTGACGCACATCATTTCTGTCCAGATTTTTGGCTATAAGTAGTCATTATGGTCAGTCACACATGGATGCAAAGGAGACTAGGAAAAAAGTCCCTTGGTGAGGGTAGCCACCTCCCAGAGATTCAAATGCTTGCACTGTAAGAGGAAGTAGAGAATTCTTTTTTTCTGGTGAGCAGCCACACATCTCTGCCTCACGTGAAAAATAATCTCAAGAAGAAATGTACCTGAGACTGTATAGCCAAGGAGCACGACGTTGTGATACCCTGACTGATGGAAAATGTGGGGTGATTGAATCTCCTGATCTTAGAAGGAACTTGCCAAACGAAAGTTTCAAGTAACATCAAAGAGAAACATCTCCATGTTCCTTCTGGAACCCATGCACACCTTAGCTAACCTGCATGGAGTTGTAGAAACCACTAGAACTGAGGGAGGCAGCTCCATGCAAGGGTGACGGCCTTCTCCCCTCCCAGTTCTCTTAGTTCTGGAGTTCGATGAAGGACGGGGTCCACACGGCCCACTCCGTTTCCTCTTTCTCTGAACCGGGGTTGCAGACCCTGAACCCAGACAACCTCTGGGTATGAGTCCGGCCCCAGATCACAGCTGTGGTTTTGGCTGCCGCGGTGGCCGTGGCAAAGTCCTGAGTCGTTTGCTGTTGTGGGTATGATGGACAGCTGCGACGTTTTCCTGGACTCCCACTGAAATCTTTAACTTCAAGATCATCTTCTCCATCCCAACAGAACTCATCAGGCCCAGAAGGCTCTCAGCCCCAGAGGTTCCCAGAGCTCTTCAGGTGGAATGTTGAGTCTGCACAAGCCAGGATGGTGACTCTGGAGAAGTTCTCCAGAAAAGAATCAGCATCTAGAGTCTCATGAGTTCCAGGCCCTTAGAAATTCAGACTCCAGAACCACTGCCAAAGTGACCCCCTCAGCCCAGCCCTTCGGTACCCAGCATCCACTGTCCTGAGCCCAGCCCTTCCATACCCAGCATCCACTGTCCTGAGCCCAGCCCTTCAGTACCCAGCATCCACTGTCCTGAGCCCAGCCCTTTGGTACCCAGCATCCACTGTCCTCATCCCAGCCCTTCCGTACCCAGCATCCACTGTCCTGAGCCCAGCCCTTCGGTATCCAGCATCCACTGTCCTGGTGGGAGTCCACTGTGCTGCTCCAAGAAGACAGACCCTCACCATTACCGGAGAGACTGACCCTCCTGTGTCCAGGTCCTGTGGCCCAGACTCAGCTCTGGAAGAGAAATCTGGATTTACAATGCTCAGTACTTCGCTCAAAATCTGCACTCGATGACGTCTGCAAGCTCTTGGTCCCAACCTGGACTGCGAAGCCTGAGGCTTGGGCAGATAATGCCTTCCTGCCATCATCTCTGCTCCCTCTTCAGTCGCTAAGCTCCCACAGCATTGATCTAACCAGACATGGGCCCAGGGAGAGAGCTGTCTTCCCCGCCTCCCAGCCCCAATCCCTCATTCCCTCGCCTGCCATGCCAAGACTGGTCAAGGGAAAGTCCAGGAAGAAAGCATGGTAAGGGGCACCGTGCTGCCTGCGCCCGCCTCGCTGTGCAGATGGCAGAGGCTCGGGATGCGGTGCGCAGAGACTCAGTCCCAACCGTCTTGTGGCTTCTTACCACGTATCTCCCAGGAAGGCACCATGAGGCTTAGTTCTTCCTTCCCGTGACTGGGGAAAAAGAGAGAACTGTCTCCTTGGACATCATCATCCATACGACTGGCCCGAACGTCATCTCTGACCGAAACACCAAATCCAGACGGGCAACCACGGCTGTGGGGTGTGGAGGGGGAATCTGAACACCAACCTGGAGGTCAGACTTGAAGGAGACGGCGACGCTGCCTTCGCCCCATTCACAATATACGACCTTCGATGGGCCACCTCCCCAGTGAGGCTTCATCAAGGGGGCTTGGTCAACTTCCTTTTTGTGTGAACCAAAACGTACATTTCCAGGCGGCTATTAAGGGCTTGAGTCTGTGTCAGAGACGAGCCACGCAAGTCAACGGACCTCACAGTCTAATGTGGAGGGCACACCTCTGACTATTCAAATGTCATATAGGCCGGGCACAGTGGCTCACACCTGTAATCCCAGCACTTTGGGAGGCTGAGGCAGGAGGATCACTTGAGGTCAGGAGTTCAAGACCAGCCTCACCAACATGGTGAAACCCCATCTCTACTAAAAATACAAAAAAAGTAGCCAGGCCTGGTGGTGCATGCCTACAATCCCAGCTACTCAAAAGGCTGAGGCAGGAGAATCGCTTGAACCGGGAGGCAGAGGTTGTGGTGAGCCGAGATTGCACCATTGCACTCCAGCCTGGGCGACAAAAGCAAAACTCCATCTTAAAAAAAAAAAAAAAGTCATATAAAGCACATTAACGGTAGATTTTAACAAATTAGCCTCGAAATATCTGCAGTTTGTCACAATGGAATGGTCACTACTCACTCGTGTTACACGTCCATATAGGGGCCCCCGGTTGGCAGTTGGAGCTCCTCCATCAGGTGACTCAGGTGCCCAGATTCTTCCACCTTTGGGATCCAACCTCCCCTAGAACCCTGGAGTGCTCTGTCACCAGTGAGGGGAAAGAGGAAGAGAGAATGGAAAGGGCTCATCCGTGCCTTTTAAATAAAAAATCTGAATGTCGCTTATCACTGCTGCTCACATTCCAAGGGTGGGAATTAGTCAGGAGTCCACAGCTGGGTACAAGAAGGATGAAGATAGGGTCCCTCATGGGGCAGCTGCCTCCAGGGACAACTCTACACCACGTAAGAGAGCTGTGAGTTTTGTTGCACTGAGAGCCATATCTGCTGATGTAGTAAGTGCTCCAGAGGAAAAAAAAAAATCCTATGACCTTGTGTGAAAAGGGGACTTGGGCCGGTCATGGTGGCTCACTCCTGTAATCCCAGCACTTTGGGAGGCCGAGGCGGGTGGATCACCTGAGGTCAGAAGTTTCAGACCATCCTGGGCAACATGGGAAACCCCGTCTCTACTAAAAATACAAAAATTAGCCAGGCGTGGTGGCAAGCGCCTGTAACCCCAGCTACTCAGGAGGCTGAGGCAGGAGAATCATTTGAACCCAGAAGACGGAGGTTGCAGTGAGCCGAGATGGCACCACTGCACTCCATCCTGGGTGACAGAGCGAGACTCTGTCAAGAAAGAAAGAAAGAAAAAGAAAGAAAGAGAGAAAGAGAGAGAAAGAGAGAAAGAGAGAGAAAGAGAGAAAGAGAGAGAAAGAAAGAAAGAAAGAAAGAGAAAGAGAGAGAAAGAGGAGAGAGAAAGAAAGAAAGAAAGAAAGAAAGAGAAGGAAGAGAGAGAGAAAGGGAGGAAGGGAGGAAGGAAGGAAAGGGAGAGAGAGAGAAAGAGAGAAGGAATGAAAGGAAAGGAAGGGAGAAAGAGAAGAGAGAGAGAGAAAGAAAGAAAGAGAAGGGAGCGGGGGAAGGAAGGAAGGAAGAGAGAAAGGAAGGAAGGAAGAAAGAGAAAGAGAGAGAGAAAGAAGCAAAGGAAGGGAGGGAGAGAGAGAGAAAGAAAGGAAGGAAGGAAGGAAAGAAGGAAGGAAGGAGGGAAACAAAAAGAAAAGAAAAGCAAGAGAACCTCAGAGCTGACCCCAGGGAAGCCACCTGCAGTGTGGAGTGGAATCGGGGCTGAGGACTGACGAGCTGGCGACAGGAAGAGCAGCTGGGGGGAGACGTGGACAGAGGAGACAGCTTCTGTGAAAGTCCCCATCAGGAGATAATTTGCCTGTTGTAAGTCGAGTGGACTCCAGATGGAAAAATAATGAAGAAGAATATGTGCATTGATTGAGCAGGAGTCTCTAAAAGGCCAAGTAGAGTTTTGGTATTTTACCCTCACGAGAGTGGGACAGGTTTTGAGCCTAAGCGTGGCATCATCATATTTTTGTCTAAAACATATCGGTAAGACCTTCCTGAAGTCAGAATTGCACAAGGCAATCAAAGGAAGAGATAACCTTTCTGAGCTCTCGCTCTATGCCAGACACTGCTCCGAGTATCCCTTATGGGTAGTTCCTTTAATTCTCACAACTTTGGGAAGATGTTTTCATCATTAGGCCAGTTTTACAGATGAGAACAGTGACGCTCAGGGAGTTAATTTGATTAGCATCTTGCATCAAGCTGTCCCGGAGGTAGGGCCGACGGCAGCTTACCTGGAATGCTGGCGTTATCGTCAGAAGCATACCACATGCCTTCATGAAAATCAGACTCTCCCTCCAAAATGCAGGTCTAATTTCATAAAATAAGGTACGCTGATAATAAAATGCAATTGGGTAGTAAAATAACAACACAATACAATAAAAACATTCGCCACTCTGTGCCACTCTTCTGATCAGAAACTTTCCAGGACTTCCCGCCTCAGTCATATTGACACGACTGCGTCTTCTGTCCCCCAACTTGGGTTAGTACTTTGATAGCATCTCCTCCGACTCTGCCTTTCACTGACTGTGATGCAGTCCCAGTGACCTCCTTGCTATTCCTAAAAAAACATCAAGCAAGCATCTGCCTCAGGGCTCATCCACATGCCATTCTCGACTGGAATGCTCTTCACCCAGACAGGCACAAGGCTCATCCCTCCCTCTCCTTCACTGTCAACCCCAGTATCTCCTTATCCTTCAGACCTTCTTGGACCATCCTGTCTGAAGTTGCAACACTCCCTCCAGATTTCGTATCACCTCTCGCTGCCTTTTTTCTTTCTTCAGCATATATCATTAATCTTCAGCATATGTGCACGTATTTTACTTATTAATATTGTAGACTATCTGCCTTCCCACCACAATGTATCCCCATGAAACCATAGATTTTTTTCCTGCAGTGTTTCCTGTAGTGTCCCTGCTCCTGGAACACTCCCTAGCACATAGTACATAATAAATATTTTTGAATGAATGATGAATGAATAGACATAGTATATAGGGAGTATGGGGAAAGTTATGAGTGCATAACTTGATTTATCTAGTACAATTCCAGAGGCCAGATCTCTAGATTTTAATTTTGGTCGTGCCAGTTATAAGCTCTCTCACTTTAAACTAAGTTTATTTACCTCTCTATTTCTTTGCCTCTTCCTCTGTAAAATAAAAAAGCAATGGTGCCTAACTCATGGAACTGTTGTGATTATTCAGTGAGTAATTATGTTAATGGTACTCAGACTGAAATTACTTAATAACTGGCTATCGAGTAATTTAGTAATAAGAGATTTGTAGGAAAATATTAATCAAGATGTTTGTAGCAATTAATATTAGGTCAAGGGAGTTTAAATGGTTCTTCATTTTTTGAGGTGTTTTTATTTGGATTTTTAAATTGAGTATGTGTTAGCCTTATAACTGAAAAAAATTAAATTATTTATACCTGAGGGAAAAAATAAAATGAAATAAAAGTGCCCCCTTTAAGGAGCTGAGGGTATTGGCTTAGAAAGAACAGGCAAGGTATCAAGATCTCTTTCCTATGACTGTTACCTCCTCATTTTTCCCTCTTGAGTTTCAGTCATGCAAGATGAGGAAGGCCTACAGTCTCCTGTGCGGCTTAGTGTGTGCAGGGAACAAGACTGCCTTGTACCCTTACAAATTTGCTAAGATAGATCTTATGTTATGTGCACTTGTCATCATAAATTGATAGGTGATAATATCAATATTATCAAATAATAACAAATAGGCTGGGCGCAGTGGCTCGTGCCTGTAATGCCAGCATTTTTGGAGGCCGAGGTGGGCGTATCACCTGAGGTCAGGAGTTCGAGACCAGCCTGGCCAACATGGTGAAACCCCGTCTCTACTAAAAATACAAAAATTAGCCAGGCATGACGGTGCGCACCTGTAATACCAGCTACTCAGGAGGCTGAAGCAGGAGAATCGCTTGAACCCAGGAGGCAGAAGTTGCAGTGAGCCAAGATTGCACCATTGCACTCCAGCCTAAATGACAGAGCAGTCTCCGTCTCAAAAAAAAAAAAAAAAAAAAAGTTCCATCCCAATAACACTTCAAAAACACTTTTGAGTTCTGACTTTATTTCTTCTTATTTTCAATGGAATTCATTCTACTGTTTTCACATTTACCATTCAGGGATATTTGGACAGAATTACACGGCCACAGGTCAACCACAATGACCATGATTCCCTTTCTAAGAATGAGGAACGGGGGCCGGGTGTGGTGGCTTACGCTTGTAATCCCAGCATTTTGGGAGGCCGAGGCGGGCAGATCACCTGAGGTCAGGAGTTCGAGACCAGCCTGGCCAACGTGGAGAAACCCTGTCTCTACTAAAAATACAAAAAATTAGCCAGGTGTGGTGGTGTACACCTGCAATCCCAGCTACTCAGGAGGCTGAGGCAGGAGAATTGCTTGAACACGGGAGATGGAGGTTGCAGTGAGCCAAGATTGCACCATTGTACTCCACCCTGGACGACAGAGCAAGACTCTGTCTCAAAAAAAAAAAAAAAAGAAAGAAAGAAAAGAAAAGAAAATGACTTAATGGGTACAATGCACATTATTTGGGGAATGGATAACCTGGAAGTCCTGATTTCATCACTGGGCAATCTTTACATGCAACAAAATTACACTTGTACCCCATAAATGTTTACAAAGTTTTTTAAAAATATAGAAAAATGAAAGGCAAAAGTAAGCATGCTTTCTTAAAAATAAAAAGTAGTCCTAATGCTAGATGACGAGTTAGTGGGTGCAGTGCACCAGCATGGCACATGTATACATATGTAACTAACCTGCACAATGTGCACATGTACCCTAAAACTTAAAGTATAATAATAAATAAAAAAAAAGTAGTCAGACTGAGCCTGACATTACTAAGGGTTCTAATATTGATTATTATTATTTACTTATTTATTTTTTGACATGGAGTTTCACTCTTGTCACCCAGGCTGGAGTGCAGTGGCACAATCTTGGCTCACTGCAACCTCTGCCTCCCAGGTTCAAGTGATTCTCCTGCCTCAGCCTCCTGAGTAGCTGGGCTTCTAGGCCTCTGCCACCATGCCCAGCTATTTTTGTATTTTTAGTAGAGACGTGGATTCACCATGCTGGCCAGGCTGGTCTCGAACTCCTGACCTCAGGTGATCCGCCCGCCTCGGCCTCCCAAAGTACTGGGATTACAGGTGTGAGCCACCGCGCCTGGCCTAATATTGATTATTAATGATTGTTATCATAATTGTTATTTTCATTATTGGTGTGTTGTTATATTTATATGTACAAAACAGCAACAATGGAGAACCCACATTCTTTTCAGGAACATATGAAAAATCTACAAAAATTGACCACTTCTTAATCCACCAAGAAGGTCTCAAAATATTCCAAAGATTTAATATAATGAAACCATATTTCGTGACTGCAAAAATTACATAAAAGACCAAAAATTAAACGTTTAAAAAACACACATTTTTAAAACAACAACAAAAATCTGCATAACTTTTGAGTGACTGTTAAAAAAAAAAACACAGAAGTTGTGACATATTTAGAAATGAACAATGTTATTCATATCGAAACTTAGATGCAATAAAAATCACACTTAAAGTGAAATGTGGATTGTTTTAAGCACACTTTTTTTTTTTTTTTTTTTTTTTTTTTTAGAAATTATGAAGTTTGGGGCTGGGCATGGTGGCTCACGCCTGTAATCCCAGCACTTTGAGAGGATGAGGTGGGTGGATCACGAGGTCAGGAGATCGAGCCCATCCTAGCTAACACGGTGAAACCCCAAACCCCGTCTCTACTAAAAAAATTAGCCGGGCGTGGTGGCGGGCGCCTGTAGTCCCAGCTACTTGGGAGACTGAGGCAGGAGAATCGCTTGAACCCGGGAGGTGGAGGTTGCAGTGAACCGAGATCGCGCCACCGTACTCCAGCCTGGGTGACAGAGACTCCATCTCAAAAAAAAAAAAAAGAAATTATGAAGTTTGGAGAATTAATCACTGAACATGCAACTTGAGGAGCTGGAATGAAAAAAAAGAAGTAAAGGGCAGAGAGGAGGAAGCCAGCCAGCAGTGACGCTAGGGAGAGAGAAAAAATGCCTCCCTAAGGGCTCACCGCACTCACCAAGCTGCATTATCTCAAAGGAAAAAGAAAATAAAGAAGACCTCAAAGGTGGGAGAAAAAACACAATGGTGTACTAAGTTTCTATTATCATAATTACATCAGACTTCTCATCAGTCAGTCTGGAATTTAGAAGACCAGGGAGAAATATATTTGAAAATGCCCCATGGGCCAGGCTCCTGACTGTAATCCCAGCACTTTGGAAGGCAGATGCGGGCAGATCACCTGAGGCCAGGAGTTCGAGACCAGCCTGGCCAACATGGTAAAACCCTGTTTCTACTAAAAATACAAAAAAATTAGCTGGACCTGGTGGCTGGCGCCCATCATTTCAGCTCGGGAGGCTGAGTAGGAGAATTGCTTCAACCTGGGAGGTGGAGATTGCAGTGAGCTGAGATCGCACCACTGCACTCCAGCATGGGCAACAGAGTGAGACTTGTCTCAAAAAAAGAAAATAAAAAGAAAATCGCCTATGTACTTTATGGAGAGATCCCAGAGTGTATTCTTAGGGATTAAATCTGTATTGTGCCAAGAATTGGGGGAATCAGAATATACATTCATATTGTCTCATATTCACCCAGAAACAAACACTGGAAGGATTAATATGAGAAAGTTAAAATTGTGGCTCTCCCACGTTTTCTTCCCCGTCCACCACCTGGACAAGCTGCAGTCCTAGAAATCGCCTCAACTGCTCCTCTTTCTCACCCTCTCCCCTTGTTCTACCTTCAGAATCTGTCCTCATGCAGACACTGCTTGCCAGCACCACGGCGCCAGGTTCACCCTCTCTCCCCTCGTCCAGGGAACATCCCCTAGCTGGTCTCTCCACGCTCATTTCGTGCTACTCAGCTGCCCCTCCCCATATTGTAGCCAGAATAATCTTTCTTTTTTTTTTTTTTTTTTTTTTGAGACGGAGTCTCACTCTGTCGCCCAGGCTGCAGTGCAGTGGCGTGATCTTGGCTCACTGCACCCTCCACCTCCCGGGTTCAAGCGATTCTCCTGCCTCAGCCTCCCGAGTAGCTGGGATTAGAGGCACCCACCACCACGCCTGGCTAATTTATTTGTATTTTTAGTAGAGACGGGGTTTCACCATGTTGCCCAGGATGGTCTCGATCTCTTGACCTCATGATCCGCCCGCCTCAGTCTCCCAAAGTGCTGGGATTACAGGCATGAGCCCCTGCACCCGGCCCCAGAGTGATCCTTTAAAAGCATAAATCAGATTATGTTTTGTTACCATTGAAATCTCCAGTGACTTCATAGTACACATGGCCCAAAACCCAAACTCTGTGACCTACGGGACACTTACTCATCTTTCCAATTTCACGTTGGTCCCTGTGCCCCTCACTCCCTGCCCTCAGGCCACATGACATTCCTGCTGTTCCTTGAAGACACCAGGTCCCTCCCTGCCTCGGGGCTCCGCGTCTCTGCCTGGGTGCACCGACCTCCTGCTTTGCACCACAGCCTCCAGGTCTCTGCTCAGCATCATCTCAGCAAGAAGAGCCTTCCTAGACCACTGTGTTGAAAGAAGTCCACTAGCCCGACACCCATTCCTTCGCTAAGAAGATTCGTCTTCATTTCCTCTTGACGTTCATCCTCCTTTCTAATTATCCACTCATTGACTTGTACGCTGTCCCTCTCCCGCCGTTAGAATGGAGACTTCACTTGGCCAGGGAAGTCTTGGCTCTTCTGTCTTGATCATCACTTTATCACTGGTACTTAGGGCCTGGCACATAATAGATGCTCAGCAAACACTTGTAGAATGAAGAGCAGTGAATTAGAAACATATTGCCCATCACTTAATGGACACTTAAATATTAAATAAACAATGCCCTGCCCCCCACCTGCCCAGTGCAATGGAATACTGTGTGGTCATTAAAAATGATGGTGCTGTTTAACTTTCATTGACATGGAAGATACCGAGGATTTTGTTGAGTGAGCAAAACAGGAAAAAAAACACGTATATAGAGGCCACATGTAAGTTAAATTACATATGCATGTTTATACACATGTTTATGGAAGGAGAGATTTGTAGGAAAATATTAATCACGATGTTTGTAGCAGTTAATATTAGGTCAAGGGAGTTTAAATGGCTCTTCATTTTTTGAGGAGTTTTTATTTGGATTTTTAAATTGAGTATGTGTTAGCCTTATAACTGAAAAAAATTAAATTATTTATACCTGAGGGAAAAAAAATAAAATGAAATAAAAGTGCCCCCTTTAAGGAGCTGAGAGTATTGGCTTAGAAAGAACAGGCAAGGTATCAAGATCTCTTTCCTATGACTGATAACTCCTCATTTTTCCCTCTTGAGTTTCAGTCATGCAAGATGAGGAAGGCCTAGAGTCTCCTGTGCGGCTTAGTGTGTGCAGGGAATAAGACTGCCTTGTACCCTTACAAATTTGCTAAGATAGATCTTATGTTAAGTGCACTTGTCATCATAAATTGATAGGTGATAATATAAATATTATCAAATAATAACAAATAGGCTGGGCGCAGTGGCTCGTGCCTGTAAGGCCAGTATTTTGGGAAGCTGAGGTGGGCTTTATCACCTGAGGTCAGGAGTTCGAGACCAGCCTGGCCAACATGATGAAACCCCGTCTCTACTAAAAATACAAAAATTAGCCAGGCATGATGGTGCGCGCCTATAATATCAGCTACTCAGGAGGCTGAAGCAGGAGAATCGCTTGAACCCAGGAGGCAGAGGTTTCAGTGAGCCGAGATCGCACCATGCACTCCAGCCTCGGCGACACAGCGAGTCTCCGTCTAAAAAAAAAAAAAAAAAAAAAAAAAAAAACCCCATCCCAATAACACTTCAAAAACACTTTTGAGTTCTGACTTTATTTCTTCTTGTTTTCTTATTTTCAATGGAATTCATTCTACTGTTTTCACATTTACCATTCATGGATATTTGGACAGAATTACACGGCCACAGGTCAACCACTATGACCGTGATTCCCTTTCTGAGAATGAGGAAGGATGTGGTCAGTGAGGTTTTTTCATCTTATTTTACTGCTTTGCAAGATGACACTTTTTATTCATTTTATTTCTTACATTTATTATGTCAGATGCTATTGTGAATGTATAAACTTTCTCCATTTATGTATGCATGCATGTATGTATTTATCTATTAATTTTGGGATGGAGTCTGGCTCTAAGCTGGAGCTAAGTTTTTTGTTTTGTTTTGTTTTGTTTTGTTTTGTTTTGTTTAGTATAGATCAGGTTTCCCCATGTTTGCCAGGCTAGTCTAGAACTCCTGACCTCAGGTAATCCACCTGCCTTAGCCTCCCAAAGTGCTGAGATTACAGGCATGAGCCACCGCACTCGGCCTCTCCATTTATTTACATCTTTAATTTCTCCTCAGCATCTTTTGTAATTTTTAGTATCCACGTCTTTCACTTCTTTTATTACATTTCTTCCCATTCATTTTATTATTTTGGAGGCTTTGTAAATGAAATTGCTCTCCTCATTTCATTTTTAAATTATTGTTCGTTCGTATACAGACACATGATTGATTTTGGTGAATATATCTCCTATCCTGCTAGGAATGTGTGGTACTTTTCAACTCCAGAGCTTCATTTAGTTTTATGGGTTTTGTTTTTGTTTTTTTTGAGACGGAGTCTCGCTCTGTCTCCCAGGCTGGAGTGCAGTGGTGCAATCTCGGCTCACTGCAAGCTCCGCCTCCCGGGTTCACGCCATTCTCCTGCCTCAGCCTCCCGAGTAGCTGGGACTACAGGCGCCCGCCACCACGCCCGGCTAATTTTTTTGTATTTTTAGTAGAGACGGGGTTTCACCTTGTTAGCCAGGATGGTCTCGATCTCCTGACCTCGTGATCCACCCGCCTCGGCCTCCCAAAGTGCTGGGATTACAGGCGTGAGCCACCGCGCCCGGCCTTAGTTTTATGTTTTAATAATTTCACAGGATAGCACTGTGCTCACTGGTCGTTTCATGTAATTAATATTTCTGTTAGCCGGGAGCGATGGCACATGCCTGTAATCCCAGCTACTCAGAAAGCTGAGATGGGAGAAATGCTTGAACCCGGGACGCGGCAGTTGCGGTGAGCCGAGATTGCACCATTGTAAGCCAGCCTGGGCAACAAGAGCGAAATTCCGTCACCAAAAAAAAAAAAAAAAAAAAAAATTCTAACTTCGTGGATTTATTGGGGTCTAGATTGCCATCCTTCAGATTTCTTGCTCTAGCGTAATGACTCTGTTGCTGTTGTTCATTGCAAGTTTCATTTTTTATTTTATTTACTTTTTAGCAGCTTTATTTAGCTACAATTGTTCCACTAAAAAACCCTCTCACTTAATATACACAATTAGATGAATTTGGACGTATGCAATAACCCCTTAGAAGACATTCACGTGCATGTGTTGTTAGCGTTTTGCTTCTCACAAGAACGTATTTCAGGCACTTCCATCTCCACGCTACACATGGGGAAATAGAGGCTCACAGAGGAGAAAGGACGTGGTCCCGGTCACACCTGTCCCTGGTCCTCCAGGCTGAGGAGCAGAGACCACCCACCTTGGGGCTGCGAGGGTTTGACGCGTATCTCGGGTGCCCTCTTGTGGTCTCAGTGGAGAAACTCCCTGTTTAGTTCTGTTCTTTTCCATCTGCCATTCATTCTTCTCATTCAGTATTTGTTGGTCCTCTCCTGTGCTCTCGCGGTCCATCAATATACAAAACAAACATCCTTGCCATCGAGGAGCTTTTTTTTTTTTTGAGACGGAGTCTCGCTCTGTCGCCCAGGCTGGAGTGCAGTGGCCCGATCTTGGCTCACTGCAAGTCCCACCTCCCCAGTTCACGCCATTCTCCTGCCTCAGCCGCCCGAGTAAGCTCCATCTTGGCGCGCGCCACTACGCCCAGCTAATTATTGTATTTTTAGTAGAGATGAGGTTTCACCATGTTGGCCAAGGTGGTCTTGAACTCCTGACCTCGTGATCCGCCCGCCTCGGCCTCCCAAAGTGCTGGGATTACAGGCTTGAGACACCGCGCCCGGCAGTTAAAAAAAAAAAAAAATCATACTTGGCCTGCTTTTGAGACCACAAGAAAGGGACGATGCATCTCCCACTCCAGGCTTCTGGGACACACCTCTCTCTTCCTCCCTCTTGGCTTTCCCAGGCTGCTGCCAGGGTATCATCCAGAGTTCCTTTCCCTTTTATCTCTCCATCGTTGCTGTTCTTGGCCGCTTTCTCTCAGGCCTCTGCCCTTCCCGCTGTTCCATCCAGAACCAGCCACATAATTGGTGGGGTCTATTGCAAATGAGAACTCGACGTCCCTTCTTCAAAACGTAAGGAATTTCAAATTGGTGACAGCTGAGCGTTAACAGAAGCGTGGTGGCCAGGCACAGTGGCTCATTCCTGTGATCCCAGCACTTTGGGAGGCCAAGGCCGGCCGATCACCTGAGGTTAGGAGTTTGAGACCAGCCTGGCCAATATGGTGAAACCCCGTCTACTAAAAATACAAAAATTAGCCGGGCGTGGTGGCACATGCCTATAATCTCAGCTAATCAGGAGGCTGAGGCAGGAGAATGGCTTCAACCCGGAAGGTGGAGAATGCAGTGAGCTGAGATCGCACCATTGCACTCCAGCCTGGATGACAGAGTAAGTCTGCATCTCAAAAAAACAAACAAACAAAATTCCATCCCAATAACCCTTAAAAAAAACTTTTGCGTTCTGACTTTATTTCTTCTTGTTTTCTTATTTTCAATGGAATTCATTCTACTGTTTTCACATTTACCATTCAGGGATATTTGGACAGAATTACATGGCCACAGGTCAACCACTATGACCATAATTCCCTTTCTAAGAATGAGGAAGGATGTGGTCAGTGGGGTTTTTTCATATTATGTTACTGCTTTGCAAGATGACACTTTTTGTTAATTTTTATTTCTTATATTTATTATTTTGGATGCTATTGTGAATGTATGAACTGTTTCTCCATTTTCGTATGTATTTATTTATTTTGAGATGGAGTCTGGCTCTGCCATCCAGGCTGGAGTGCAGTGGCACGATCTCGGCTCACTGCAACCTGTGCCTCCCAGGTTCAAGCGATTCTCCTGCCTCAGCCTCCTGAGTAGCTGGGATTACAGGTGTGCACCACCATGCCTGGCTAATTTTTGTTTGTTTGTTTTTTAGTGGAGACCAGTTTCCCCATGTAGGCCAGGCTGGTCTCCAACTCCTGATCTCAAGTAACCTGCCTGCCTTGGCCTCCCAAAATGCTGAGATTACAGGCGTGAGCCACCACGCTCAGCCTCTCCGTTTATTTAGATCTTTAACTTCTCAGCATCTTTTGTAATTTTTAGTATACACGTCCTTTATTTCTTTTATTAAATTTCTTCCCACTCATTTTATTACTTTGGAGGCTTTGTAAATAAAATTCCTCTCCTCACTTCGTTTTTAAATTATTGTTCATTAGTATACAGACACATGATTGATTTTGCTGAATGTCTCCCATCCTGCTAGGAATGTATTGCACTTTTCAACCAGAGCTTCCATTTAGTTTTAGGTTTTAATAATTTCACAGGATAGCATTGTGCTCACTGGTTGCTTCATGTAATTAATATTTCTATTAGCCAGGCGTGATGGCACATGCCTGTAATCCCAGCTACTCGGAAGCCTGAGGTAGGAGAATTGCTTGAATCCAGTAGGCAGAGGTTGAGGTTATCCGAGATCGCGCCATCGCACTCCAGCCTGGGCAACAAGAGTGAAACTCCGTCTCAAAAAAAAAAAAAAATACATACACACACACACACACACACACACACACACACACACACACACACACCCCTTTGTGGATTTATTGGGGTCTGGATTGCCATCCTTCAGATTTCTTGCTCTAGCCTAACGGCTCTGTTGTTGTTCAATGCAAGTTTTATTTTTTATTTTATTTACATTTTAGCAGCTTTGTTTAGCTATAATTGTTCTACTAAAAAACCCTCTCACTTAATGTACACAATTAGATGAATTTGGACACGTGCAACCCCTTGGAAGACATTCACGTGCATGCGTTGTTGGGTTTTTGCTTCTCACAAGAACGTATTTCAGGCATTTCCATCTCCACGCTACACATGGGGAAATAGAGGCTCACAGAGGAGAAAGGACGTGGTCCAGGTCACCTGTCCCTGGTCCTCCAGGCTGAGGAGCAGAGAGACCACCCACCTTGGGGCTTCAAGGGTTTGACACGGATCTTGAGTGCCCTCTTGTGGTCCCAGTGGAGAAACTCCCTGTTTAGTTCTGTTCTTTTCCATCTGTCATTCACTTTTCTCATTCAGTATTTGTTGGTCCTGTCCTGTGTGCCAGACACTGTTTGAGGCTCTAGCGGTCCATCAATATGCAAAACATCCTTGCCATCGAGGAGCTTATATTCTTTTTTTTTTTTTTTTTTTGAGATGGAGTCTCGCTCGTCTCCCAGGCTGGAGTGCAGTGGCGCGATCTCGGCTCACTGCAACCTCCGCCTCCTGGGTTCAAGCGATTCTCCTGCCTCAGCCTCCCGAGTAGCTGGGATTACAGGCATGCATCACCACGCCCCGCTAATTTTTTGTATTTTTAGTAGAGATGGGGTTTCATCGCATTAGCCAGGATTGTCTCCATCTCCTGACCTCGTGATCTGCCCACCTCGGCCTCCCAAAGTGCTGGGGATGACAGGCCTGACCCAGAACGCCCAGCCGAGGAGCCTATATTCTTGCAGAAGGAGACAGACAGTAACCCTTGGGCATAATAAGCACATTCACAGCTTACTAGAAGGTGAAAATGATCTGGATAAATGAGAAAGTGCAGCAGTGGTCCAGTGGTCTGGAGTGTGCAAAGTTCAGCAGGGGGAACAGTGTGGTGGATGCAGACTGAGAGCCAGGGAAAGGGAAGAGGCCATGACTACCCTGAGTGAGCTGGAAGGAAACACGAATCACTCCAAGTAGAACACCCCTTCACTGAGGATTCTTCTTCCCAAACTTCCTCTAGAAAGCTGAGCTGCCACTCACCACAGGGAAGGCTCAGCCCATTAGACTTCAAACGTCCTCAGCAATTCCCTGCCCACCTCTTTCTAGGAGTCAAGATTCCTCCATCCTGATCTAGACCAGCATCTGGTGACCCCTAGAAACCTGTCCTGGAAGCCTCACAAGGCTCTTCACACTCAGTTTGTGATATGATGACCCCAGAGTTGTGCAGTGCACAACCTACGCAGCTGGACATGATGGGCCTGGCGCTCTTCCTCTGTGCTCCCACTGAGCTCTGTGCTGACTATGTCATTCCACTGGGTGGTGCCATGTCAACTTCCCTCCTCTCCTCTCAATATCCTGTAAGCTCTTTAAGGATAAGATAGGATCAAAGTTCCATCCATGTCCCTGCTACTCAGAAGAGGGGCTGAAACATTTAAAAGGGAAACGTTGGAACCCCCTCAATAGCACTAGACTTAAGAAAACAAATTGCCGGGTAGTGATGATTAGATTGCTATAAAAGTCTGAATAATTACAAAAAGATTCTAGGAACTGGTGTATAATTATGTAGGGGCACTGGCAGTATGTACTCACTGAAATCAGCTAAGGAATCATGGTGCAGTCTCAGGAACCAGCTGGGCACAGTGGCTCAGGTCTGTAATCCCAGGACTTTGAGAAGCTGAGACGCGTAGATTGCTTGAGTCTAGGAGTTCAAGACCAGCCTGGGCAACATGGCGAAACCCTATCTCTACACAGTTAGCTGGGCATGCTGGCACACACCTGTAGTCCCAGCTACTCAGAAGGATGAGGCAGGAGAATTGCTTGAACCCGGGAGGCAGAGGTTGCAGTGAGCTGAGATTGTGCCACTGCACTCCAGCCTGGGTGATACACTGAGACTCTGTCTCAGAAAAAAAAAAAAAAAAAAAAAGTTGGGAATGTATCCAGATGAACCAAAAAACCTAAAACCTTTCTTTGACCTTCCCTGTTCTTCCAGATACCTTATCTCTCTTTCCCTTCACAGAGGACACCCTGGGTTATCTGCTGACCCCTCCGCCTTTCCTGGCCTCCAATCTCTCTCTCTCTGGCCTTCTCCACTGCAATCTGACCTCTCCCTGCCCACCCCATTTGGGTCTGCTCTCACCCAGGCCCCCAGTGAACTCTGGATTCTTACTGAGTCCAGTGGACCTCACTCCCTCTTTTTTTTTTTTTTTTTAATCATACTTAGCCTGCTTTTGAGTCCACAAGGAAGGGACGGTGCATCTCCCACTCCAGGCTTCTGGGACACACCTCTCTCTTCCTCCCTCTTTGCTTTCCCAGGCTGCTGCCAGGGTATCATCCAGAGTTCCTTTCCCTTTTATCTCTCCATCGTTGCTCTTCTCGGCCACTTTCTCCCAGGCCTCTGCCCTTCCCGCTGTTCCATCCAGAACCAGCCACATAATTGGTGGGGTCTATTGCAAATGAGAACTCAGGATCCCTTCTTCAAAACGTAAGGAATTTCAAATTGGTGACAACTGAGCATTAAAAGAAGTGTGGTGGCCGGGCGCGGTGTCTCATTCCTGTGATCCCAGCACTTTGGGAGGCCAAGGCCGGCCGATCACCTGAGGTTAGGAGTTCGAGACCAGCCTGGCCAATATGGTGAAACCCCGTCTCTACTAAAAACACAAAAATTAGCCAGGTGTGGTGGCGCATGCCTGTAATTGCAGCAACTCAGGAGGCTGAGGCAGGAGAATCGCTTGAACCCGGGAGGTGGAGGTTTCAGTGAGCTGAGATCTCACCATTGGCACTCCAGCCTGAGCAACAGATAGAGACTCTGTCTAAAAAACAAACAAAAAGGCCAGGTGCAGTGGCTCACGCCGGTAATTCCAGCACTTTGGGAGACCGAGGCGGGCGGATCACCTGAGGTCAGGAGTTCAAGACCAGCCTGGCCAACATGGTGAAACCCCGTCTCTACTAAAAATACAAAAAGTAGCTGGGCGTGGTGGCGTGCGCCTGTAATCCCAGCTACTGGAGAGGCTGAGGCGGGAGAATTGCTGGAACCCGGGAGGCAGAGGTTGCAGTGAGCCAAGATCTTGCCTTTGACACTCCAGCCTGAGCAACAGAGTAAGGCTTTGTCTCAAAAACAAACAAAAAAAGAAAGGTGCAGGGCCCTCCGAGCATGGGTCACTGGGCAACCCATGAAGCTGGCCCTGCTTTGGCCCCGCCCCCTCCCAGGACCTGACCTCTGAGGGGCACTGTGGTAGCAGAATAGCCCCACCCACCCCCGCACATGCAAGATGTCCACGCACAAATCCCTGCGACCCGTGAATAGGTCTGCAGATGCACTTAAAATTGTGGATCTTACGTCAGGGAGATTATCCTGGCGTGATGGTTAGTTGTTGTTGTTGTTGTTTTGGTTTGTTTGTTTTTTGGGTCTCGCTCTATCGCCGAGGCTGGAGTGCAATGGCGAGATCTCAGCTCACTGCAAGCTCCGCCTCCCGGGTTCACGCCATTCTCCTGCCTCAGCCTCCCGAGTAGCTGGGACTACAGGCGCCCGCCACCATGCCCGGCTAATTTTTTGTATTTTTAGTAGAGACGAGGTTTCACCGTGTTAGCCAGGATGGTCTCGATCTCCTGACCTCGTGATCTGCCCGCCTCAGCCTCCCTAAGTGCTGGTGCTGGGATTACACACGTGACAAATAGATCTCTTATATACATATCTCTTTTTCTTTTTTTCGTCCTTTTTTTTTTTTTTTTTTTTTTTTTAGAGCGAGTCTTGCTCTGTTGTCCAGGCTGGAGTGCAGTGGCTCGATCTGGGCTCACTGCAACCTCCGCCTCCTGCGTTCAAGCGAGTATCCTGCCTCAGCCTCCCGAGTACCTGAGACTACACACCACTGCGCCCAGCTGATTTTTGTATTTTTTTAGTAGAGTCAGCGTTTCACCAAGTTGGCCAGGCTGGTCTTGAGCTTCTGACCTCAAGTGATCCACCCGCCTTGGCTTCCCAAAGTGCTGGGATTACAGGCGTGAGCCACTGCACTTGGCCTTTATATATATCTTAACGTATGTACATAATACATGTAATGAACCACTGGCACATGCTGCACACGGATGAACCTGCTTATGTGAAGGAAGTCAGATAGGTAAGGCTGTATGATGTGTGATTCCATTTATGCGAATGTCCAGAAGAGGTAATCCATGAATCAGAAAACAGGGGAGTGGTTTCCAGGGGCTGCAGAGAGCGGGGCATGGGAGTGACCGCTTAATAGGGTTTTCTTTAGGGGTGATGAAAATGTTTGGGAACTTGATAGAAAGGATGGCTACACAATTACCAGTGTACCAATTAGGTATGTTCCATTGGGAATGTACTAAATGTCACTGAACTGTACACCTTAAGATGGTTAATTCTGGCCCGATGCAGTGGCTCACACCTATAATCCCAGCACTTTGGAAGCCGAGGCAGGCGGATAACCTGAGGTCGGGAGTTCGAGACCAGCCTGACCAACGTGGAGAAACCCCGTCTCTACTAAAAATACAAAATTAGCTGGGCGTGGTGGCAGGCACCGGTAATCCCGGCTACTCAACAGGCTGAGGCAGGAGAATCGCTTGAACCTGGAAGGTGGAGGTTGCAGTGAGTGGAGATCGCGCCATTGCACTCCAGCCTGGGCAACAAGAACAAAACTCCGTCTCAATTAAAAAAAAAGAAAAAAAAAAGATGGTTAATTTTATGTTATGTGAATTTTACATCAATAAAAAATACTTAATAAAAGTCTGTAACATATATATATATATATATATAGTTTTTCTGATTACTGAGTTTCTGGTGACCACTGCCCCCTCCCCCCTTAAATTTTGCTGTGGGTGCTGAGTCCTGACCTGCTTCACTCCATCCCCTGCGGGGACCCCAGTGGGAACTTTCTAACACCTGGATCTTTCCCTGCCATTCCTCCGCGGTCCCCCCACGCCTGCAGGGCAAACTGAAGCTCCCAGTGGCTTTCAAGCTGGCTTCTCCAGGCAAATCAAACTCCACCTGGTGTCTGAGAACCCTCTGCCCCACCCAGCTTCCCCATTCTGCTCCGATATCCATCCTCCTCTCCTGGGCTCCATCAACTCTCACTCATCCTTAAGACCCAGCTCAAGGCTGCTTCCTGTTATCGCAAATTGACTGTCTTCTCTCCAGCACTACAACCCCAGCCCCAGCTAGGGGTAAAACCACTGACCTAGCCTCCCACCTGGGCCTCCCCTTTCTCTCACTGAGCTGCCTCCTACCTGGGCTTCCCTCTCCCTCTCCCTCTGACCCTGACCCAGGCTCCAACCTGCATCTCCACCTCCCTCCCGCTGACCCAGCCTCCCACCTGGGCCTCCACCTCCCTCCCACAGACCTAGACTCCCACCTGGGCTTCCCACCTTCTTCCCACTGAGCTGCATCCTGCCTTGGGACTCTGCTCTCCCCCTCCGCTCTCTCTCCCTGCCCGCACCGCCCTGAAGGAATTGCCCTAACACTCAAACCTCACTCTCTTGTCATCAATAGACACTGGTGCTTAGAATGAGATATGAGCTTTCTATGACGGAGTGGCTCCAGGCAGGGAGGTTCATCTAGGGGACGCCGCAGCAAAGCCAGAGCTGCCCCTCTCAGACACCCTCCATGCTCTTCATCCTCCTGCTGCTTTCACTGTCTGACCTGCCTCTCTTCTCTCTTTCTCTCTCTCTCTCTCCCTCTCTCTCTCTCCATACAGCTGCAATCTGGAAGAAATTACTCTTCTAAACAGCCAGACTTCCCCAGTTTCAGGAAATTCCAAGCTGTGCAGGGGAGGGGCCAGGCTGGGGGCGCGCCCTGTCCAGCCCCACCCCCTCTGCCAGTTCCCCCTGCACACTTAGTCCTGGCCTCCTCCCGCCCCCACACTCCGCCCAGAGGGGCCTCAGCTTTTCCACCACTGCTTTCTAGTCCTTTAACTCCTAGAGGCAAACTTTTGGGGGATAAGAAAGCCTGGGAGGGGCCTGTGCCAAAACCCTCTCTGCCTGGGGACTGGGCGGTGATTCCGCTTCTGCCTGGGCTCCTGCCATGGCCCCCGAGAGGGGCTGACACTTTAGCTCCCGGTGCAGGTAAAGGGGCCTTATGCCAGGGCTTGCCAGGGGTGGGGCCTGGACTCCTGGGTCTGAGGGAGGAGGGGCTGGGGGTCTGGACTCCTGGGTCTGAGGGAGGAGGGGCTGGGGGTCTGGACTCATGAGTCTGAGGGAGGAGGGGCTGGGGGGTCTTGACTCCTGGGTCTGAGGGAGGAGGGGCTGGGGGGTCTTGACTCCTGGGTCTGAGGGAGGAGGGGCTGGGGGGTCTTGACTCCTGGGTCTGAGGAAGAAGGGGCTGGGGGTCTGGACCCCTGAGTCTGAGGGAGGAGGGGCTGGGGGTCTGGACTCCTGGGTCTGAGGGAGGAGGGGATGGGGCCTGGATTCCTGGGTCTGAGGGAGGAGGGGCTGGGGGCCTGGACTCCTGGGTCTGAGGGAGGAGGGGATGGGGGCCTGGACTCCTGGGTCTGAGGGAGGAGGGGCTGGGGGTCTGGACTCCTGGGTCTGAGGGAGGAGGGGCTGGGGGCCTGGACTCCTGGGTCTGAGGGAGGAGGGGCTGGGGGGGTCTTGACTCCTGGGTCTGAGGGAGGAGGAAGGGCTGGAGGTCTGGACTCCTGGGTCTGAGGGAGGAGGGGCTGGGGGGTCTTGACTCCTGGGTCTGAGGGAGGAGGGGATGGGGCCTGGATTCCTGGGTCTGAGGGAGGAGGGGCTGGGGGTCTGGACTCCTGGGTCTGAGGGAGGAGGGGCTGGGGGTCTGGACTCATGAGTCTGAGGGAGGAGGGGCTGGGGGGTCTGGACTCCTGGGTCTGAGGGAGGAGGGGCTGGGGGCCTGGACTCCTGGGTCTGAGGGAGGAGGGGCTGGGGGTCTGGACTCCTGGGTCTGAGGGAGGAGGGGCTGGGGGTCTGGACTCATGAGTCTGAGGGAGGAGGGCCTGGGGGCCTGGACTCCTGGGTCTGAGGGAGGAGGGGCTGGGGGCCTGGACTCCTGGGTCTGAGGGAGGAGGGGCTGGGGTCTGGACTCCTGGGTCTGAGGGAGGAGGGCCTGGGGGCCTGGACTCCTGGGTCTGAGGGAGGAGGGGCTGGGGGTCTGGACTCCTGGGTCTGAGGGAGGAGGGGCTGGGGGGTCTTGACTCCTGGGTCTGAGGAAGAAGGGGCTGGGGGCCCCTGACTTTCGGGTCTGGGGTGGGATTAAGAAAGCGAAGATCTAGGACGCCTAGGACCTGAGGGCGAAGGAGGAGGTGGCTCTACGGACCCGGATGCCTGGCTCCTGAATCTCCCTCCGGGTTCCACATGACACTTTCCTTACCAGGTGAGAACCCGCCCGGAGGAAGAAGGAAGGCGCGGGCCGGGGATTAGGAGACGGAGGCGGACTCGGAGCCAGGGAACCAGGGGTCCGGGCTAGAGCTGGAGTCGTGAGCGCGCGCCCGCCCCGCTCTGGGAGGACCGCGAGGTAAGGCGCGGTGGGGACAGGGGTCCTGGGTCCCGGTCGGGAGGGAAAAGGGCCGCTGAATTCCCGGCCGCAGCCACGTGGCTGCAGGAAGCGCGCAGTGAAGCCCTCGCCGGGCCGGGGGTCTCCCCATCTGGGGTCCCCCGACCCGGCTGCACCGCAGCTCCCACGGGTCTGAGAACCAGTTGGGCCGGATCTAGAGTGGGTTGTTATTTCCGTCCTGGCGGGGCCGGGACTGAGAGAGGACAGAGGTGAACCAGCTGTGCCCGCCACCCTGCAGCTGGAGCCGTGGCCCTGCCCCAGCAGGAAAGAGAGGGGTGGGCGGAGGCGGGGGGAGAACCCGCGGCCCGGGCCTCCCCGGGCTCCACGGTCGCGCCCCGCTTTCTGCCTGTTCCACGTTGGTCACAAACAACAGCCCCTCTGTCCCGAGCCCTGGCAGCGTGAGGGACTTTTTCCGAGCATGACCTCATTGCTTTAAACACAATTCAACCAGAGGGAGGTCAGAGGCTTCTATTTAAGAGGACACGCAGGCTGGCAGAAGTGAAGCGACTTACCCAGGGTCTCAGAGCTAGGGCGCAGAGGTGGCATTCGAAAACGACTTCCAACTCGTTGTTCTGGTCTGGACTGGAGAGGAAAAAAGACAATCAAGGGTGTCAGAGGAAATCTCTCGCCTTCATATCAAATCAGAACATTATTATTTTTTTTCTCATGGGGTGGCATGCCCGTAGTCTCCTATGGGGAGCTAAGAGTTCGTCTGGATTCCAGATCTGGCGCGCAGCATTTGCTACTGTGTGACCCAGGGCAAGTGACTTAACTTCTCTGTGTCTCAGCCATCGCGCATCTGTAAAATGGAGTTGTCCTGAAGATTAAATAAATTAGTTCATTCATGGGGAGGCACTCAGGCTGGTGCCTGGCCCAGGATAAGCACTTGGAAAATAAAATTTCGGCACCCTCAGTGTAGTCTTTCTTTCTTCCCTTTCTTTCTTTCCTTCTTTTTTTCTTTCTTTTTCCTTCCTTCCTTCCTTCCTTCTTTCCTTTCTTTCTTTCTCCTTCCTTTCCTTTCTTTTTCTTTCTCTTTCTTTCTCTTTCCTTCCTTCCTTCCTTTTTTCCCTCCCTCTCCTCCCTCCTTTCCTTCTCTCTCTTTTTCTCTCTCTCTCTCCTTTTCTTTTCTTCTTGAGACAGGGTCTCTTTCTGTTGCCCAGGCTGAAGTGCGGTGGGACGATCATACCTCACTGCAGCCTCAAACTCCTGGGCTCAAGGGATCTTCCCTTTTCAGCCTCCCAGGTAGCTGGAACTGCAGGTGCATGACACAGCACCTGGCTAATTTTTTATTTTTATTTTTGTAGAGAGATCATCTCACTATGTTGCGCATTCTGGTCTCAAACTCCTGGGCTCAAGTGATCCTGCTGTCTCAGCCTCCCAAAGAGCTGGCATTGTAGGTGTGAGCCACGGCGCCCAGCCACAAACAAGAGTTCCAACCCCTGTTTTTTGAGGAGTAAACTGAGCTTTAGGTTGAGGAAGCCAGTTTGGGATCGCACAAGAAGGAAATGGCAAAATTTGAGCCCAGATGTGTGTGATGTCAGAAACCAAGACTTTATGTGTGTTGCCAGGTGCTGAAAAGTGGTGGCAACGGATAGGGCAATGGAAGGGGGATGCGAGGTGCATGCTGGGAGCTGGGTCTGACCAGAGGCAGGGGCTGAGAGCTGTCCACGAGTCAAGAGGCAGCAGAGAGTGGAGGCAGCCAGCTCTAGACACTGGAGTTCCCTAGAGCTGGCTTTGTGATCTTGGTCAGTCACGTCCTGTCTCGGATCACCCATTTCCTTCTCTGGAACACTGGGAGAATGATCCGAGGTGTGACTCCATTGAGCATATGTTAATTGAACATTCCCTGTGCGCTGGGCACTGTGCCAAGACTTGCAGGGACATATCCCTCCACCAATTCTTGCAAAAGGACTGGGAAGTATTAGATTAATATCATGCCATTTTCAAGATAAGGAAATGAGGTCAGAAAGGTCAAGTAAGTTGCTCAAAGCCACAGAGCGATCAGCACAGCCAGATTCAAACCTGTGCAATGGACTTTCTGAATTCCACTTTTTCACCTCTGACCCACAGCAGAGCAAGTGCTGAGATCATAGGCTCTGTTAGCAGCTAGAGAGGATTTTTTTTTTAAACTGTGGATCCAGAAGATACATTAATGAGCTGAGCTCAACATTTAAAAATAAAATAGATTACAATAGAAAATATCAGAGTAGGGGCCGGGTGTGGTGGCTCATGCCTGTAATCCCAGCACTTTGGGAGGCCGAGGTGGGCAGATCACGAGATCAGGAGTTCGAGACCAGCCTGGCCAACATGGTGAAACCCCATCTCTACTATAAAATACAAAAATTAGCCAAGCATGGTGGTGTGCACCTATAATCCCAGCTACTCGGGAGGCTGAGGCAGGAGAATCACTTGAACCTGGGAGGCGGAGGTTGCAGTGAGCCGAGATCGCGCCATTGCACTCTTGCCTGGGTGACAGAGCAAGACTCCATCAAAAAAGAAAAGAAAGAAAGAAGGAAGGAAGGAGAAAGAAAGAAAAGAAAGGAAGGAAGGAAGGAGGGAGGGAGGGAAGAAAAGAAAGAAAGAAGGAAGGAAGGAAGGAAGGAAGGAAGGAAGGAAGGAAGGAAGGAAGGAAGGAATCAGAGTATCTACCACGTTGTAAGACAAGTAAGTATTGGCCGGGCTTACTGGCACACACCTGTAATCTCAGCACTTTGGGAGGCCAAGGCGGGCAGATTGCTTGAGCTCAGGAGTTTGAGACCAGCCTGGGCAACATGGTGAAACCCCATCTCTACAAAAAAAAAAAAAATACAAAAATAACACTACATGGTAGCATGAGCCTGTAGTCCCAGCTACTCAGGAGTCTGAGGTGGGAGGATCGCTTGAGTCCGGGAGGCGGAGGTTGCAGTGAGCCAAGATCTCACCACCGCACTCCAGCTGGGTGACAGAGTGAGACCCTGTCTCAAAACAAGACAAATCTTGTTTCTTAAAATTTTTGTTTCCATTATGGGGAAGGAGAGAGTGGAGATTGTGTGCTAGGTAACGATAAAAATATATTTATTCATCTAGGTTGAGGTCAGAGAAATTTGATAAATGCTGCAGAGGTAGTAAATCAAAACTGGTTTCCCCATGGAAATCAATGTAAAGAGTGTGTGTGTGTGTGTGTGTGTGTGTAGGCCAGTCTTCAGAATCTAGCCATCTACAATTATTTTAAATCCCTTTGGCTTTCATTTTCCTCCATATTATCACCAATACTTCCCAGGGTGCCTGTTACGGTGAAAACAATGTCAGCGGCTTTGTCTTTCTCATAGTGTTCTATCCAACCTAATTTTTGTTCCACAATTATTGTTAGGGAAATATTTTCCCCCCAACGCTAGCATTACCCATTGGTTAGCACTATTACAAGTATAGTTTTCTTTGATCAGACTTTTCTATGTATCCTGAAAGGAAGGTAGTGTTATTTTATTTATCTTACAGATAGAAAAGTAAACAGGGAAATAAAGTAATTTATTGCAGTTCATACAGCTGGCAAAGGGTAGGGCTTCAACTGAAATAGGTTTTTATTATTGCGATAACAGTGACTGTTAAAACAAAAGTACAAGGTCATCAAAGTCCCTCCCAGAAGTTCCACACAAAACATGCAATGACCAGGATATGGGCAGACTCTGTGGCTGCGTTTCTATTTCATATTGAATTTAGGCCGGGCGTGGTGGCTCATGCCTGTATTCCCAACACTTTGGGAGGCCAAGGCAGGCGGATCACCTGAAGTCATGAGTTTGAGTCCAGCCTGGCCAACATAGTGAAACCTCATCTCTACTAAAAATACAAAAATTTGCAGGGCATGGCAGCGCACACCTGTAATTCCAGCCACTCAGGAGGCTGAGGCAGGAGAATCGCTTGAACCCCAGCCTGGGCAACAGAACAAGACTCCGTCTCAAAAAAAAAAAAAAAAAGAATTTGGTGCAGCTATGGGCAATAAAGCACCTAGTTTACAATGCAGATGCTGCCAGCTTCAAATTTATGCAATTCTTCCCATTTTTTTTAACATAGGGCTTTTTATTTTTTTTTTGAGACAGAGTCATACTCTGTCACCCAGGCTGGAATGCAATGGCGCGATCTCAGCTCACCACAACCTCTGCCTCCCAAGTTCAAGCGATTCTCCTGCCTCAGCCTCTCAAGTAGCTGGGATTACAGGCATGCACCACCACAACCAGCTAATTTTGTATTTTTTTTTTAGTAGAGATGGAGTTTCACCATGTTGGTCAGGCTGGTCTCAAAGTCCTGACCTCAGGTGATCCACCCGCTTCAGCCTCCAAAAGTGCTGGGATTACAGGTGTGAGCCACCATGCCTGGCTAGGGAATTTATATTATTATTTTAGAAAACATAAGACATCATATTGTTAGGTTGTAGTCTCAAGATCAGGTACAGTTGGCCAGGCGTGGTGGCTCATGCCTGTAATCCCAGCACTTCGGGAGGCCGAGGCGGGCAGATCACGAGGTCAGGAGTTCAAGACCAGCCTGACCAACATGGTGAAACCCTGTCTCTACTAAAAATACAAAAATTAGCGTCTCAAAAAAAAAAAAAAAGATCAGGTACAGTTGCCCCTTGGTAGCAGTGATGGGACTGGTTCTGGGACCCCTATGGATACCCAAATATGCAGATGTTTAAGTCTCTTATATAAATGCCCTAGTATTTGCATATAACCTATGTACATCCTCTCCTACACTTTAAATCATCTCTAGATTACTTATAATGCATAATACAATGTAAATGCTTTGCAAATAATTGTTATATTGTTTGAAACTTGTACTCATTTTTTATTACTGTATTTTTTCCCCAGTATTTTTTATCAGCAGTTGATTGAATCTGCTGATGCGGAACCCACAGATACCAAGGACTGTAATTCAAATCATAAAATGCACCCTAGGCAAAGCCCACCTGGGCCTCTTCCTCGTGTGCGTGGTGGGCTCTAGGCAGGATCTGCTTTGCTTAATGGACAGAGTCAGCCCTGTCTTCAGAACAGGAGCCTGGGAATTTCCATTTTTGACAAGCTGGAGTTTTCTTTTTCTTTTTATTGAGACAGGGTTTCACTCCTGTTGCCCAGGCTGGAGTGCAGTGGCCAATACAGTGACACGATCTCGGCTCCCTGCAACCTCCGCCTCCGGGGTTCAAGCGATTCTCCTACTTTAGCTGGGATTACAGGCATGCGCCACCATGCCCCGCTAATTTTTGCATTTTTTATAGAGATGGGGTTTCACCATGTTGCTCAGGCTGGTCTCGAACTCCTGGCCTCAAGCGATCCGCCCGCCTCGGCCTCCCAAGGTGCTGGGATTACAGGAGTGAGCCACCGCACCCGGGCCAACAAGCTGGAGTTTTCTATCAGTCAAGTCTGGGAAGCACTCTGAAGGGTTTGTGAAATATTTGTTACTTGACCTCTAGGAAGGCTCAAGTATTCGCTCTCAGGAGGATCGGCATAGCATGGTGTTCATAGGCATTCTGGAGTCAGGTTAGATCCAAATGTGAGCTCAGCAGCTGTGCCCATGGGACCTCCTGGAGTCTCATCTTACCCCATCTGTGAAACGGGAGGCCGGGCGCGGTGGCTCACGCCTGTTATCCCAGCATTTTGGGAGACTGAGGCGGGTTGATCACCTGAGGTCAGGAGTTCAAGACCAGCCTGGCCAACATTGTGAAACCCCGTCTCTACAAAAATACAAAAATTGGCTGGGTATGGTGGCGGGTGCCTGTAATCCCAGCTACTCGGGAGACTGAGGAGGAAGAATCGCCTGAACCCGGGAGGCGGAGGTTGCGGTGAGCCGGGATGGCGCCATTGAACTCCAGCATGGGCGAGACTCCGTCTCAAAAACAAAAATCAAAAAACAAAAAACGGGAACCGTCCCCCATCGTCCTTTGAGCAGTCGCGTGGCTGCGAGCCCCGGGCTGGGGCCGCGCTGACCCTCCCGTGCCCCTCGCAGATGCCCGTGCTGAAGCAGCTGGGCCCCGCGCAGCCCAAGAAGCGGCCTGATCGCGGCGCCCTGTCCATCTCCGCGCCGCTCGGCGACTTCCGGCACACGCTGCACGTGGGGCGCGGCGGCGACGCCTTCGGGGACACCTCGTTCCTGAGCCGCCACGGCGGCGGGCCGCCCCCCGAGCCCCGGGCGCCCCCCGCGGGGGCCCCGCGCTCCCCGCCGCCGCCCGCCGTCCCGCAGTCCGCAGCGCCCTCGCCTGCCGACCCGCTGCTGTCCTTCCACCTGGATCTGGGGCCCTCCATGCTGGACGCGGTGCTGGGCGTCATGGACGCGGCGCGCCCGGAGGCGGCTGCCGCCAAGCCCGACGCGGAACCCCGCCCCGGGACGCAGCCCCCCCAGGCCCGCTGCCGCCCCAACGCGGACCTCGAGCTGAACGACGTCATCGGCCTCTAGGTTCCCTCATTCCCCGCGCCCTTCCCGCCCGGCACCCCACTTCTGTATACATAAACGGCCAAGGTGTGTGCCCGGGCTCTGACTTTTCACTTTGCACGTGGAAAGGGATGAATGATAGGGTCCTGGCGCCTCTGAGAGCCGGATGTGTCACCCGGAGGCCTGGTCCGGGTCCGATGATTGCCCTGGGGTGGGGGTGCGGCTCCTTTAAGAGAGCCCGAGGGCGTGGCCAGGCGGTGCCCCTTGCAGAGGCGGCGGCTCCCGCAGTCCCATTCGTCAAATACTGTGCGCCACCGCCGGCCGGACGTGGTCCTGGGGCCGGGCCAGACTCAGCCACCGCGGGGCCAGCCGAGGCGGGGCTGCAGAGTGCTGCAGCCCCAGGAGTCCTTCTGGCCCTGAACGCCTCAGGTGGACTCCGACCCGGCGGAGCCGCCGTTTACTCTGGGAGCGGCTGCAGAGGGAAGTGTCTGAGAACACTTTTAGAGCAGTAGGGGCCTGGTCTCCGTGGGGGAAGGGTCCGCAGGCATCTTGGTTCTTTAAGGCCCCCGAGGGATGGGGCCGAACATGCAAATGATTTGGACTGAGGGGCCAGGTTCTCGTAAGTTTCCCAGAGGGGCGGGGCCGCAAATGTAAATCACTTGGACTGAGGGCGGGTCCAGGTTCTTTAAAGACGTCCCCTCATGGGCGGGGCACACAGGTATCACCGGGAAAGGGGCGGGGCACCACATGTAAATCACCGGGAAAGGGATGGGACACAGGTAAATCACCCGGAAAGGGGCGGGGCACCACATGTAAATCACCTTAAAACGGACAGGGCACACATGTAAATCACTTGGGGAGAGGCACACACGTAAATCACCCGGAAAGAGGCAGCACAAAAGTATCACTGGGAAAGGGCCAGGGCACGCATGTAAATCACCCGGAACGGGGCGGGACACATGTAAATCACTTGAGAAGGGGAGAGGCACTCGTAAATCACCCGGAAAGGGGCGGGGCATTACATGTAAATTACCCTGAAAGGAGCGGGGAACATATGTAAATCACTTGGGAAGGGGAGAGGCACACATAAAAAAAAAAAAAATCACCTAAAAGGGGTGGGGCACTCGTAAATCACCAGGAAAGGGGCGGGGCACCACATGTAAATCACCGGGAACGGGGCGGGGCACTACATGTAAATCACCTAAAGGTCGAGGCACACGTAATCATCCCGAAAGGGGCGGGGCATTACATGTAAATCACCCAGAAAGAGGCAGCACACATCAATCACCGGGAAAGGGGCGGGGCCAGGCTCCCAAGAGCTCCGGGAGACCGAGACTGCCGCAGCCTTTACGCAGCTTGCTTTCCTGGCGCTGGGGGAGGGCGCAGCCGGGAAGTCCCAGAGCAGCGGTGTCAGGCTCTCCACCAAGGAGGGACTGGGCCAGAGTCCTCGCGAGGGCACGCGGCGTGGTCCCCAGAGCTAGGCCGGAGCGCGGGCCGCTGACGCCACTGTCGGGTGAGGCTCGGTGCATCCAAGGGGAGCCGCCCTCCGTGCGGGGCGACCTCGTCTGCGCGGCGGGCGTGCCAGTTCCCCGCACCCATGGCAGCGGCCAGAGAGCCGGAGTTGCCGCAGGAAGCCCCCGCCACGGAACCCGCGCCCCCGCCGGCCTGCCGCTTCTTCCTGGAAGGCCGCTGCCGCTTCGGCGCCCGCTGCCGCCAGCCCCACCCTGGGGCGCCGGCGCCGCCTGGCCGCGAGGCGCAGCCGGAGGCCGGGGCCAAGAAGCCGCCGCTGCGCACAGCCGCGGACGTCATCCAGCGCATCCGCTGGGACCCGCGCCTCGACCCCGCCGACTTCTCGGTGGGCTACGTCGACCGCTTTCTGGGTGTGCGCGAGGAGCCCTTCAGCGCCTTTTGCTGGGACCAGCCGCTGGCGGCGCTCGGGCCGGGCGTGCTGGCAGTGCCCCAGCACCGCGTGCGCTTCTTCCGCTTCCGTGGCCGCCTTGTGTGGGACCGCGCCTCGCGCACCGACCTCGTCTTTGGCTCTGGCTCGGCGGCGGGACGCGGGCCCACCATCCTGGACGCACCGAACACCGAGGGCGCCCACGGGGCAGAGGGTGCCGAGTGGACACTGGCGGGGACAGGTCAGGAGGCCCAGGCTGCCCCCAAGCGAGGGAGCACAAGGCCGCTCTGCACAGGGCACCAGGAACCAGGCGTGGAGGAACCCGGAGAGCTGGAGGCGGCCCAGGAGAGGGCGCTGGGCACAGCTGCTGATTTGGGAACACTGGCCCCAAGAGGACGCCTCGCCGGAGTGACTGAGGCACTGAAGCCAACAGCAGCCACCAGGACCACATTGCTGGGGGGCAAGGAAGCACAGGCCCTGGGAGTCCCGGGGGGCTCCGCTGAGACGACAGAAGCCGAGTGGGGTCCTGCGGCCTGGCCCGAGGACAAAAGGGCCCGCCTTAGTGTTGCAGCCCCTTGCCAACCGCGCCCCACACATTTTGTGGCCCTCATGGTGACCGAGCCTGGGCTACAAGCAGAAGTGACCAAGGCCCAGGAATACCTGGTCCACGTGGCCCCACACTGCGCCAACTTCCTAGTGCCCTCTCAGAACCTACACCTGACCCTGGCCCTGCTGCGACTGGCAGGCGCTGGGGAGGAGGCCGCTGCCATTGGAGCTCTGAGACGGGCCCTCTTGGCCCCGGGGCTAAATGCACCCCCTCGGCTGAGCTTTAGAAAGCTGGTCCTCCTGGGCCCGCATGTGCTGTGTGCCCCACCCTCTCCCACACTGGAAAGCATGGCACAAGTGCTGAGCCAGAGGCTGGAAGCCGAGGGGCTGAGTACACTACAGTCTCCAGGGCAGCTGCACCCCCACCTCACCGTGGCCAAGGTGCCCCATGGTTCCCAGGTCCACCTCCCCAAGCTGGAGTTCACCCTCAGCCAGGAAGTGGGGTGCCAGCCCCTGCAGACACTCTGGCTGTGCCGTATAGGGAGGACAGGGGGGCCTTTCCAGCCCCTGGCTGAGATCCCCCTGGAGTGACACCCCCAGACCTCTGGAGGAGACAATGGATGCAAACAGCCCACACAGGAAAGACAAAGCAGGAGCGTGCACGCTCTCTCTTTCTCTCTTTAATTTTGGTTTCTCTCAAGCTTCCAAATGGTGCTCAGTGCTCCAAGGAAAGGAAGGAAGGAAGGAAAAGGAGGGGAGAGGAGGGGAAGGGGAGGCAGAGGAGGAACATCTGGAAAAAAAGCAGCCTGACAGTCCAGCTGTTTGCAAACTCATAGCACATCCTCCAGTTACATGGCAGAAGAGGGAGGGAGGGAGGGCCAAAAAGAAAAGGGAGAGGAGGAAGAAAAATAACTTAAATAAACACACACACAAAGAAAAGAGAAGGCAACATGACGTGAGCTGGTGATCCATGAAGGCAGGGAGGGAGGGGAACCGTTTTACCTGTGCTGAACCAAGGGAAGAATGCGGAGAGGGAGGGAGGGAAAGGGGAAAAAAAAATCAGAAGAAACACTGGGGGCAGAGGGAGGAGGGGACACGGAGACAACTTTATACAACTTGAGACGAGGCGGCCCGGCCGGCGTGTCCTCAGTGCGGTGTGGCGGCGGAGGATCTGGTGCTGGTGGTGCTGGCACTTCAGGGTGGGGGGCCGAGGACGGGCACAGTCTCTAAGCAGCTCCCCCACCCCAAACACGGAGGCCCCAAGGGGCTGGGAACAAGAGTCTGTGGCGAAGCAGGTGAGGCAGCGGGCGGTGGGCGGGCTTGCTGGGTGCCCCCGCCGCAGGCGGGCACGGGCTGGACGGCCTGTCTTCTTTCCACTGGCCCCCCGGCATGGGATGGGCCAGGGCGCCGGGTCGGGTACCGGAGTGCAAGCTCGAAAGAGAGAGAGAGAAAACACTGAGACAGCATTAGTGGAGTGAAAGGCGGACACAGATGAGCCTGCAGACCATGCCCCCAACCCTCCGCTGCCCATCCCCTCCTCCCCAATCCCATCCCTCTGAGGCAAAAAATAAAAACGTAGAAAAATCTCTGTACAGACTCCCCGGTGGGAAAACGGGGGCAGGGATGGTGGCTCTTCCTGGAGCGCACTCCCCACAAATAAATTTACAACCCAAGTCCACGGCTCAAAAACAGAATCCGCAAAGGCAGCGCTGGGGGCTGCAGCCCCTGCCCCCGCCCCTCCTCGCTGGGTGCTCAGAAGGCTGACAGCTGCGCCAGGCTGAGGCGGCAGTCGATGCTGGAGTTGTCCGGGCCCGTGTAGGCCAGGCCCAGGGGCTCTAGGAAGGCCCGGCAGGCGGCCTCGCCCTCGAAGGCCAGCTCGGCCTGCAGGTAGGAGACTGGCAGCGCAGGGCGGAAGCTATGGAGACAAGAGGAGAAGGTGATGAGGCGGGCGGGCGGGAGGGCAGGGGAGGGCCCCACGAGCGGGGAGGCCCCCCCATTCGGGTGCCCACAGGATTTCCTCAGCACAGTGCCTGCTGGCTCCCCACCCGCCTCCCAGCCTCCCCACCTCAGGGGCTCGGGGGGGGCCCGGGGGGGGTTAGTGACCCCAGTCCCCTGTGCCCCCCTCACCCTCACTTACCTGTGCGGGGGCCAGGGAGGAGCGGGGACGGGCAGGGAAGGGCCCAGCGGGCTCCTCCGCTGGCTGAGGGGCAGGGACCAGATGGAGGGAGCAGCACGTGGCAGGGGATGGGGATGGCGGGGCTGCCAGGGCCACCGTGGGGACCCAGCCCTCGCTGCCTCCCCTGCCCTGCGTTACAGTGTCTGGGAAGCCAGGCGCAGGGGTGCCAGCTAGCACTCACCACTACACACTGAAAGCAGTCACTTCCGGCTGCTGCTAAAACACACTACTGACTGAGCATCTAGCACGAGCCAGGTCCTCAGAGCTCCCTGAACCCTCTTCCACAGGGTGCAGCCCTACCCTTTCCACACACACAGGAACCCAGGCACCGAGTGAGGGGCACTAAGTCCTAGAACCCGCTTCTGCTCCAAAGCCAGAGCTTTCCTGGAAGCCCTGGGATCAGAGCCCACTCCGTCTCCCAGTCTCAGCTGGCAGGGCAGGGTCAGCCTCCTTGGGGGGAAGGTGCTGACACAATGAGGTCAATGACAGACTGGCGCCCCACCCACGAGGGGCACTCATGGCTATGTTCCCAACCAAGGCCAATTAGGTATCAATTAACAAGGACACTCGCCCAACCACACACCCCTGTGTAGCACAGAAGCTTGAGAGCCACCATTCATGGGGCCCATCATGGCAGCAGACTAAGCAGCCTCCTGCCTCCCCTTCCTTCTAACTTCCCAAGCTGGTCATGGAGCTCTGTGCACGGCACCCCACATCCTCGTCTGCTCCTGTGACTCCTACCCTGGCTCAGCCTCTCCCTGAAGTTGGCTTGACCCACACTAGATTCCAGAATGAGTCTCCAAACCTCCAGGCTGACAGTCCCTCCCTAGCTCCAAACTATGCTGTGACCATGACCTCACACGGAGGGCCACCTGGCCAGGCTCTCAAGGCCTCCATGCTGTGACCATGACCTCACGTGGAGGGCCACCTGGCCAGGCTCTCAAGGCCCCCATGCTGTGACCACAACCTCACGTGGAGGGCCACCTGGCCAGGCTCTCAAGGCCTCCATGCTGTGACCATGACCTCACGTGGAGGGCCACCTGGCCAGGCACTCAAGGCCCCCATGCTGTGACCATGACCTCACGTGGAGGGCCACCTGGCCAGGCTCTCAAGGCCTCCATGCTGTGACTATGACCTCACGTGGACAGCCACCTGGCCAGGCTCTCAAGGCCTCTTCAGTCTACCGGTCAACCTCTTCGACCAGAATTTCTCCACCTTGGCAAGACTGAGCTCTGAGGCCCAATGGCAGTGGCAGGGCAGCATCCCTGGCCTCCACTCACTAGATGCCAAGAGCATCCCCTTGCTGTGACAAGCGAAAACCTCTCTTGACATTGCCCAGCGTCGCCTGGGCACCTCAATCACCAGACAGAACCATGCGTCTAAACATGAGTCAAGCAACTCATCCCCACCCACAGCAAGCCAGGCGCAATGTCTAGTGAACGAAGGACACTGCAGGGGCATGGCCTGACCAGGGGCCTCTGGCACCGCGCCCAGTGTGGCCTCAACACAGGTGTCTCCCTAAGCGTTTCTGGTGCTCTCAAAGGAGCTGAGTGGGACTGGGCCTTGTCCTGGTAGACCAGAGGCTGTCTAGATGGTCTCTATGGTGGGAGCACAGCGACAAGCTGAGAAAGCAGAGACCTCAGGGTTCTGAGGAAGCCCAGGGCAAGGAGTGAACTAGGGGGTCCAGGCAGGAGAGAACAGGAGGAAGAGACACACAGATGGGGTGGAGAAGAGGCCCCAGAGGCAGTGAGCTGGGAACAGTGGGGAGAGGGAGAGGAGTGACCCGGAACACAGAGGTGACCAACAAGGAGAGCAAGAGGAACTGGAGAGGGGAGGGCTGAATGGAGAAAGATGATGGGGAAGCAAGGACCAGGACAAGGGTTGGGGGCTGGGGGAGGCCTGCGGCCAGGAGCTGGTCTGAGGGGCGGTGCGAGGCGGAAGGATGGGAAGAGCAAAGGCAGAAGGGAGCTTGGCACCACATACGTTTTGATCATGGCCTTGAGGGCGACCTTGCGCTCCCGATCTGCAAACTTGTCCACGAGGTAGCCAGACATGCAGGGTGCATGGCAGTAGAGCCGGAAAAAGCGGTGGTAGTTGCCCAGGGCCCAGGCTGTCCTTAATGCCAAGGCGTGGGCCACGCAAGGATCTGCCTTCAGTTCTCGTGTGAGGTATGCCAGCTCCGTGGTGATGTCTAGCACCAAGACAAAGAGGGTGAAGTCAGCAGGGCTCAACCCTGGGTACCATGGCCTCTGTCCTGGGGACTGGGCCTCACCTCCCGAGTTCTTGGTGAAGATGTAGTAGAGGATTCGGTAGGCAGTAAACTCGCCCACATTGCCAGGCAAGTTCTCGGCGTACAGCGACTTGAGCTGCGTCTGGCACTGGTTAAACTCTTCATGGTCACCCTGGAAGGCAGAGGCACCGAGGGAGGAGAGCAGAGTGAGGGTGCTGAGGGCAGAACGGCAGCAGGAAAGGGGCTGGGGAGGCCCGCAGAGGCCAGCTCACCTTCTCCAAGGCGATCCGGGCATGGGTCTCGTACACCTCCACCGTGAACTCGGTGCGGATGCCCTGCACCTGGGGCAGCGGGGCGAGAACAAGAGTCACAAGGAGCAGGAGGCAGGACTGGCTGAGGCCAGGCCCCTCCCAGCGCGAGTCTCACCGTCAGATCCTGCCGGATCGACTTCATCTGCTCGCAGGCAAACGCGTAGTCCTGCTTCTCTTTCCAGTGGCACTTGACCATGCACAGCGACTTTTTCAAAACCTGAAAAAGGGAACTGAATTCACACTCGGAGTACAACTCAGGTAGCGTGGCCAACGGCTTCCACTTATTTGGTGGGAGAGTTGCAACATTAAAAAAAGAAAAAAAAGGCCAGGCGCAGTGGCTCACGCCTGTAATCCCAGCACTTTGGGAGGCCGAGGTGTGTGGATCATCTGAGGTCAGGAGTTTGAGACCAACCTGGCCAACATGGTGAAACCCCGTCTCTACTAAAAATACAAAAATCAGCCAGGCGTAGTGGCAGACGCCTGTAATCCCAGCCACTAGGGAGGCTGAGGCAGGAGAATCGCTTGAAGCCGGGGAGCGGAGGCTGCGGTGAGCCAAGATCACGCCATTGCACTCCAGCTTGGGCGACAGAGCCAGACTCTCTCCCAAAAAAAGAGAAAACAAACCCACAAGACATGGGTTAAGAGTGGCCACCTCCACACCCATTTCCCTATAAGCACATGGCTGTTCACAGGTTCTGCAGCAGAACAGTGACTACGCCAAACACTGGAAACACAGCCCCCCACGCCCCACAGCCCACGGGCCTGGGAGAAGGCTTTATGCTCCGTGTCACCTAAGCCAGGAACCACGGCCCAGAGGTCAAGCGATTCGCCGGCCAAGCTGCACACCCGCCACGCGGGGCTCCAGGGCAGCAGAGCGCCTTTGCGCTCCTCTCAGAACGCCGACCAGCCGAGGCGTCTCTGGCCGAGCTTCCCCTGCCATACCAGAGCCCCCGTGTGGCCTCTGCCACCCTCCCTGGGTTGGCTCCCCAAGTCCTGAGCCAGCACGGCCTCACAGAGCAGAACTGCCCTGCTGGGCACTTACTGCCACAGGGCGCACGGTGGACGGGTCGGGGGCACAGGTGAGGCGCAGGTAGTGCTTGGTGATGTCAGGGCAGGTGCCCACGATCTGCAGCTCCTGCCAGTCAGGGTCAGCCCCACTGCTCTCCAGGCTGCTCATCTGCAGCACCAGGGGCTCGAGGCGCAGGCGGCGGGAGTGTCCGTGCTGGAAGCGGGCTGCCCGCTTCTGCTTCTTCAGCTCTCGCTCCGGGTCCTCACACTCCAGCGCCGCCATCTTCTTTCGACTGCGCTTGGTGGGCGCCAGATCGTGCCTAGGAAGGGATGAGGGGCAGTGAGCGCGACAGGCGTCTCCAGCCCCCCTTCAGCCTCGCCCCTTTGGCAGCTGGCTGTCCACCTGTCCGGCCCTCCTCCTCCTTCTCCCATGGGTCCCCAGTACCCTCCTCCACCCTGGCCCGTGTGTCGAGCCCTCACACAGTCTCACCTCTTCCCACGCTGCGCCCTGCCTCGGCCCCGATCCATATGGGCCCCTCGACCGCCCCGGCCCTTAGGGGGCGGGTTCCTGCGGCCCACAGGGTGACACTCATTCCCTGAGTAGGAGCTGTCGGAGTCTGAGTGGGAGTCACTGCAGGAAGAAGCAGGAGGGTCAGGCCTGAAACGCCTCCCCCTCCCTCACACACAGCCCCAGCCGGGAGCCTCAGTACCTTCTGCGGAAGTGGCGCGTCGGGGACCTGGAGGAGGAGCGGGAGCGGGAGTCTGTGCTGGAAGAAGAGCTGTTGTCCTTCATGAAGACGTTGCGGTTGCCAAACTTGGTGAAGCTGTTGCCCCGGGCTCGACCGGCACCCCCAGCCCCGGGCGTCCCTCGCTGGGACGGGGCACCCCCGCCCCTTGTCGCCGAGCCTGCCCCTCTAGGAGGGTGAAGGCTGCTAGCGGCCTCCCACCGCTTCTTCTTAGGGCTCTCAGCCACAGGCTCCCGGGTCAGCCTGAGAATACAGCAGGGCAGGGCGTCACCAACCCCGCCAGACACTGGCAGGACAGCCGCCACCACCTCCCTCAAGGTACCGACCCGCCTCCGAAAGGAAAGGCACTTACCCCAGGCGGCTCAGCTACTACAGTGCAGAAATGAGACGCGAACCCAGGTTTTCCGTCTCCAGAGGGTGCGCTTAACCACTGAGCAATGCACGCCTCTCCAGCACCCATGGTCCCCACCCCACCCCACCGGCCTCCCTCCAACCAGGACTTCATCCCCCCAGGATCCAACTTTCCAGTTCATTTCTCTTTGGAGCTCCTGGTACCTGGGACCCGCAACTCTCCTACCTCCATACCCAGCCCATGCCTCTCACAGCACCACCCTCCCACCTATGTCCCCCACCCAGACTAACCCCGGCAAGGGCTCCCGGCTCCAGTCAATGGTATAGGCCGAGCCGTCCTGCAGCCGCGCCTGCAGCACCTCCTTGAGCAGCTTTTCCGTGCGGTCCTTGTCCTCCTCCGACTCACAGGCGGTGAAGCAGCGCTCCACATACTCTTTCATGTCCTGGGGCCAGTCATCCGGCTTCCCAGACAGGTTCCCCCGGGCAGAGGACCCGCTGCGGGAGGACAGATGAGGGGCTCAGCTGGAGACGATTCCAAACTCAAAAGACCATCCCCACCGCCACTCTGAGCTGACACAGCGGGACGCAGTCCCCAAGTTTTCCTTCTGTCTCCTTCAGTGCTCACAGCAACCCCCAAGAGAGGGTCCTTCTGCCCTTTTCAGAGGCGCACACTGAGGCTCAGGGTGGGCAGCTGGCCAGTGGGACTGGACCATAGACGCTGAGTGCAGAGTGTGGGGCTGCGACGGGGCAAGGGGGCAGACGTCACCTGTGGTTCTGAACTTTCTCAGGGTTGGGCTGGGGGCCAAAACCACTGTGCTGGCCCTCTGCGTTGGAGCCAAAGCTCTGGGTGGTAACAGCAAAGGGTCGCTTCTGGATGTTGAACTTGAGACCTCCAGTCCCAGGGGCGGCTGTGAGGGCAGCGAAAGCTATGGTTAGGCCCTTCCCCGGCACATCCAGGGGTCCCCAGGGGACGGGAGGAAGTGGAAATGCAGGGAGGAGCGCTCAGGTTCTAGAGGAGGGCTCCAGCACACATGTGCCTGGTCCAGAGCAGCCCCACCCCCAGCCTGGCGATCACAACACCCAGAAACAAGGAGCAGCACACACCACGGGCCTCACACCCAGGAGCTCTTGTGAGGGCCCAACCGCTCGGACCTCCACGTAGCTCTGCCAACTTACGTTTCATGCGGTTCCACAGCTGTTGGCCCTTCTTGGGCTTGGCAGGTTCGGTGTAGGTGTGTGGCCCATAGGCCTGGCCCGTGGCGGGCCCCGCCTGGCTGTGCTGTGTGGCTGGAGCTGTCCCAGGCTGAGGGCCACTGTTCAGCGTGTGAGCCCCATGTGGGGGATTTGAGGGCTGAGGGGGCTGAGCCGACGGCAGCTGCTGAGGGGGAGCCTGGTAGGACATGCTCTCATCCATGCCGGGGACTGGGGGCTGCAGAAGGAAGCAGGCGCTGAGCACGGGAGGCAGATTCTGGGGCTGGCGAGTGGCACTCAGCCCTCGCTGTGAGGACGCAGTGGTCACAGCACTCAGCACTCAACCCTCCCGTGACCTTCCCAAATGTGAGTTCATTCGAGTCCTCAGTAACTCTGTGAGGTTAACATTTGTTAACAGCCCTTTTCACAGCTGACAAGGCTCCAGCTCAGAGACTAAGCGACTTCCCAGGGCCCTAAGCTATGAAGCGGCAGCTGGCAGCGTTTCAATGCTGGAGTAACAGCCACCGACAACACACCCACTCCAGCGCTACCATCTGAGCACAAGACACCCATGAGCACACACACTCATGGAGCCCAAGGATGAGGCTACCATCCTTCCCGCTTTCGAGAGCTGACCGAGATGCGTAATTACACCAGGGGTGGGACAGCTGGGATTCAAACCCAGGTCTACCTGCCTCCTGTGCACTAGCCCGGCCATTCCTCCAAGCTGCACATTCAATGCAAAACCCAGCCGGTGTGTGCACGCCTGTGGGTGACCATGCTAGGGAAAAAGATGAGATGTCTTTCAACATCTCAGCCCTGGCCTTGGCTCAGCCTTAAACCCACCCCAGGTTCAAACACTATGCTCTGTCCTCCTCATTTTCAGATCAGGAGTTGCTTGGAAGGAAAAAAGCAGCTTAAGGAGTACAAGCCATTCCTCATTGACAGCTCATTCAAAAATCTACACTTCCTCTGCTTGAGCAGGGTATGGGAGCTGGGCTAGGATGTTACCTGGTTCAGAGTCCCTTGGTGTTGGGGTGCGGATGGCTGCTGGGGTGTGGCTGAGCCATAGGAGCCGGCCATCCCATACTGGGAAGGGGAGCCATAGCTCTGGTACATGCTCTGCAAAGGCGCAGGGAGGGAGGGTTTAGTGGGAGGCCTACCCTTTCCGCTTCCCCAGCCTGCTCAGGAACTACACCAGCCATGACCCTCTACCAATCCCTCACCCCTTTCTCTCTTCACTATATTAATGCACCACATCCTCTCATATATTAGGAAAAGAAAAACCTCTATCAATCCCACATCTCACTTAGCTAGTTCTCGGAAGAATATAATCAACGATACTGAGTGCCAACTCTTCTAAGCACTACGACAGAACAAAAGGAAAACCCATGCTGTAATGAAGCTTGTGCTGGAATTACATGTCCGGCTGGAGACATCAACATGTAATACATCCAGCAATAAGGATCATGAAACAATAAGATGGCAAAGAAAGGGAGAGGGACAGGCTGCGAGGCAGGAATGCTACTTTCAATCAGTGTGTCAGGTAGAGGCTCTCTGAAGGCGGCATCTGAGCAGAGACCTCCAAGAGGCGGCAACACAGGGAGCACTGCAGCCAGGGCAAAGCGAGAGCGGGCCTGGCGGGTGCGGGCATCAAGGAGGTCTCTGCTTCGATGGCCATGGCAGAATGAGCATGAGGAGAGAAGGGACCAGAACCGGGTATGTAGGACCTTGTGGCTCATGGCGGGGACCTAGGAATTTACCTCCTGGGCAAGTTAGAGGGTTTCTGAGCAGTTATCACTGCGATCTCCAGTCCATCCACCACCCAGCCCCATCCCGGCAGACTCCACTTCACCTCGCCCCGACCCAGCAGACTCCACCTCGCCCTGCCCCGCCCCACTGGCTGGGCACTCACCATGGGATAGTAGTAGCTGTAGGGGTAGGCATAGTTGTACTGCTGGTACCACTGGTAGTACTGCTGCTGCTGCAAAGCTGAGGCTTCTGCCTGGGACACGTACTGTGGAAGCAGAGAGGCACATGTGCCGTCAGCAGCCCAAATCCACAGGCACACGGCCCCCAAAGGGCAAGCCTGTTTACTGGTGGCCAATTGCCAAGGGATGAAACTGGGTCCATGTATCTGCAAAGTGAGCCACTGTCTCTACCATGAGACTCACGCACGTTAGAGACCAGGGGCATGGGCATGGCCTCCCTCTTCAGAACCACATCACGCCCTAATTTCCTCAAGGAAACAGAACTTTTTCCCGTTCAGATTTAGATACCCTGGAACGTCTTTTCATGTTTCCCCTCAGAGCACCCCGTCTGAATGATACAACAGGACGCCAGACTGTGTCCCTCCCACAACCTCTGGCTCAGGGTACCCCAGCCCCATGAGGCCTTCTCACCTGTGCACTGGCCACAGGCCCATTGCTGCTGGACTTGGCAGAGCCGCCGGCAGCTCCTGACTTGCTGATGCTGGCCAGGGCCTGACGGGCCTTCTCCCACTCCGGGTTCTCGTGCATCGGCGTCTCCATGCCATTCTCTCGGCCTGCCCCAGCCACCATGCTGTACTGAGAAGACCTGCAGAGAGAGAGGACATCAAGTCACACCTGTTCTCCCCACTGTACACAGGTGGGCAAGTTGGGAGGCAAATTCCAGCCCCTGGATCCCATATCTAACTGTTACTACCAGTCTAAGCCTAAGTTTTCTAATCTGTACTATGCTGATAAAGGGTTTCTGCTTCAGAGTCTGCTGGGAGGGATAAATGAGATCACCTACTTAAGGTACTTATCCCAGAGCCTGGCACACAGCAGTTGTTAAAACCAAACAAACAAAACAATTAACAGAACCCACAGAACTGAACACAGGCCCTGGCACCTCCTAGGGCTATGTCTTTCATGAATCAATGAATTCTGTCTGACATCACCCCAGTCGGCAGGTTATCACACTATTTTGAGAAAAAATAAGGAATCAGCAGAAAAACAAATAAATGACTGTGTATTGAGTGTTGGGAAGCTGCCTCCTAATTACACTTGCTTGAATGAATCATCACAATTCTGCAAAGCAAGCGCTGTACTGTGAAAAACGAAAGCTCAGAGAGGTGAAAGCTTGCCCCTCTCCACACCACAACCAAATGCTTCCCTCTGTGTTTGCCTCACCACCACCCCCACCCACAGGGATTGTGGCATCACCTCCCCTAAGGCCACGGGAGGTCCCACCCCAGAGGACAGCACTGGGTCTTGCTTCCTCTTTCCCTCCCGACTGGCCTCCATCCCTCTCGCCTCACTAACCAATCTGTGCTACGTTGATCACCCACGTTGGCCGCCATCTGGACCTTGGGGTATAAGGGGTGGACCTCGGGAGCCAGACTGCTTTTTCACTGTCTATGAGAAAAAGAATGAGTTAGGGAGACTTAAGGGGGAGCTAAAAACACGTCACAAAGTGGGGAAGAAAAGTAGATGGACTCAAGAGAAGCCGGGCAGAAAAGGGGAGGCTGACTGAAAAGCCACTGGGGTCAAGGATCTGAAGAGTTCTGGGTGTGGACTAGAAAGGCTGGAGTGAGGGGAAGCCCCTGGCCCCTTTGTAGAGCTCCAGGTGGAAAACGAAGGATTTGGAAACAGGGAAGCCAGAGCAGACTTCCCAAAGGGAAGGAGAAGGGTCTGAAACCCATGTGAGCAAAGAGAGGCTGTGATGAAAGGTCCAGAGGGTAGGGGTGCCTCCATCAAGGGGAAAAGGTCTACAAAAAATTCTAGGGGCCAGGCGCGGTGGCTCACGCCTGTAATCCCAGCACTTTGAGAGGCCAAGGCGGGCAGGTCACCTGAGGTCGGGAGTTCGAGACCAGCCTAACCAACATGGAGTAACCACGTCTCTACTAAAAATACCAAATTAGCTGGGCATGGTGGCATATGCCTGTAATCCCAGCTACTAGGGAGGCCGAGGCAGGAGAATCGCTTGAACACGGGAGGCGGAGGGCGGTAAGCTGAGACTGCGCCATTGCTCTCCAGCCTGGGCAACAAGAGCGAAACTCTGTCTCAAAAAAAAAAAAAAAAAAAAAGCTAGGGAGTACGGGTTGTGAAAGGAACCTGAACGAAGAGGATGGATGCTATAATGAGAAGAGTCTGAGGGAACCCTTAAGGCTGAGAGGGTGGAAAGGTTTCCGAGAACTCTGTGAAAAGGGAGGCCTTTCAGGGAGCATCGAGGGGGCTGGAAGAATATTGGAGAAGAGAAGAAAATTTTGAGAGGAAAAGGGGATTTTCCGGAAGTTAACCCTGGAAGCAAGTGGTCGTTGAGCGTTCCTGAGAATGCCAACGTGAACCCCAACGTGAAGAAATGGGTTCTTAGCACTGACAGACTGATTTCAAAAAGGTCTCCGAAGGGCAGTAAAGAGACCTACGTGGGAGTCCTCAGTGGGACTACCCCTGCCTGCTTCCACGGGAGGTTCCCGGAAGCAGGGGTAGGGCTGGGAGAGAAAAGGGATCACCGTGGTTGGGTGTCTGGACATAAAGCTTTGGGAATGCCAAAGAAGACCCAAAACATGTTCAACGAATTAAGAGTGGGGTACAGAGAGAATTGGAAGAAAAGTGGAGTGTCTCCGGAGCAAGGATTCAGGAGCCTAAACTCCCGAGAGGGAGTAACTGATAAGTAGGATAATTAATCCCGCAGGAGAACCGGAATTCCCACGAGTTGACGGGATAGGAACGGGAGTCTGGAGCTGGGGAAAAGCCCTAGAAACGCAAAGGCTTAACTTAAACAGGACACAGGGCGTGGGTGGAGACGAGGGATCGTGGCGGGGACACAGGAAGAGGAGCCCCAGGGCAGAAGGGAGATTAGAGGTAAGGTCAGGAGTTGGGGGCTGGACAGAGGACTCCCGGACGGGTCTCAAGAACAGAGACAGGCATCAGACGCGAGGCCTGAGGTCCCGGGAGCACCTGGCCGTCCCGCAGGCTGGGCGAAGGCAAAGGAGGACGCCGGGTGGAGGAGGCCGCTCGGATCCCCACGACTAGCCACGGAGCCACTGCCCAGGCCGCGCCTGCGCACCACGCCCCAGAAAGACGCGCAGGAGCCGCCCGTCGCCCGGGGCAACACCCGGTCAACGGCGAGTGAGGGGCGCCCCGGGGCCCCGAGAACTCCAAGGGAGAGGAACGGAAATTAGAAGACGACGGCGCACGCGCGCTAGTGCCCGAACGCGCGGCCCCAGGCCCGGTGCGCAGGCGCAGTGGCTGCCCCTGCGCCGCCACACCCTGTCGACGCTCGCGCGCGGCGTCTGCTGCTGCGACGGCCGAGAAGGCCTCGGGGCTCGCGGGGCGCAAGACCAAAAGGAGATGCTATCCCCGCCCGCCTGCTCGCCTGCCGCTCCCCTTACCAACCAGGATCCTTCGCTGCAGGGACACGCCAACAACCACCCAGGCGATCAGCAACACGGCCACGACACCGCTGTGCCACCCGGCTGGCTCTGGTCTTCTTTGGCTTCGACGTCCTGACCGCGGCGTCCTGACGTCACGCGGCGGCCTTGCACCGCCTCCCTCGGCCCTGCACAGCCAATGAACGCCACGAGCTGCGCTTGAGCCCGCCTTCCTGCCCACGCACTTACGCATGAACATTTTAAGGCAGACCGGAAGTCTGGGTGGGGACGGTGGCCCCGAGGAGACAAGCGTGGCCGCATTAGCTCTTTCTGCCTCCCACGCAGCCTTATTTTTTTTATTGTTGTTTTCTTGTTGCTGTTGTTGTTGTTCTCGGAGACGGAGTCTTGCTCTTGCTCTGTCGTCGCCCACGATAGAGTACAGTGGCGTGATCTCTGCTCACTGCAACCTCCGCCTCCTGGGTTCAAACAATTCTGCCTCAGCCTCCGGAGTAGCTGGGATTACAGGCGCGCGCCACTATGCCCGGCTAATTTTTGTGTTTTTAGTAAAGACGGGGTTTCACCATGTCGGCCAGGCTGTTCTCGAACTCCTGACCTCGTGATCCCTCCGTCTCGGCTTCCCAAAGTGCTGGGATTACGGGCGTGAGCCACCGTGCCCGGCCGCAGCCTTGTTTTGACTGAGTCAGTGGGAGCCATTACTGTTCCTAAATGTAAACTGGCGTGACAGGAGTTCCGGGATTGTCCACAGCACGGTGATGTGGAAGCCCTGGGGAGAGAATGATAAAGAAAGGGGATGAGGAACAGCTCCACCCGGAAGAGCGGGCTTCCCTAGCAAATGAATCTGGAAGGGCGCAGGGGAGGGGGCACGGCGAGTTCAGATGGACCGAGGCTGGAAGCTGACGCGGTTGGAGGGGGATGGGTGTAGCTGTTGGCAGTGGCGCTGGGGTGGAAGTGTGTGGGGTCACAGATGTGTAAGGGTGGGCGCGGAGCAGACCCCCGAAGGTCCCTGAGGTCAGGCTGAGGCATTGGACCAAATCCGTACATAGGCATTTCTCTGAACTGCGCGCCACCTTTTGAGTGCCATCTGTTTCCGTCCAGGACTCTGATACAACTATCCAGTCCGCTGCAGGGACCGGTCACTGTGTCACAGTAAGTGGTGGGATTTAAGAGGCAGTTTTCCTCCTCATGTTCTACCATTATGAACGTCTAGCTTGAAAAATACATACCATTTTCATAACTACGTATTATTTTGTTAGTGCTAGCATAGTAGATCTTTTTCCGTTATTTTACTCTGTGGGGGGGGGGGGGGTTTGTTTTGTTTTTGTTTTTGTTTTCTTTTTGGTACTAAGCTTTTTGTTCTGGAATAATTTTGGATTTATTCAAAACGTTGCAAAGACCGGGCGCGCTGGCTCACGCCTGTAATCCCAACACTTTGGGAGGCCGAGATGGGTGGATCACCTGGGGTCAGGAGTTCAAGATCAGCCTGGCCAACATGGTGAAGTCCCGTCTCTACTAAAAATACAGAAATTAGCTGGGCGTGGTGGCGCGTGCACCTGTAATCCCGGCTACTCGGGAGGCTGAGGCAGGAGAATCGCTTGAACCCAGGAGGCCAAGGTTGCAGTGAGCCGAGGTTACACCATTGCACTCCAGCCTGGGCAACAAGAGTGAAATTCTTGTCTCAAAAAAAAAAAAAAGAAAAGTTGCAAAGATCATAAGCAGTCCACCATGTTTTATGCCCACTTTCTTCTGATGCTGTCATCACAAGCACCAACAAAAGTGGTTTGTTGTAGATACTGACATGATGCATTACTGTAACTAAAACCCAGACTTTACTGGGATTTCACCACCTTTTCCTCCAATGTTTTCTTTACATGCCAGGGTACAAGCCAGGACCCACGTTCCATTTAGCTTCCTTTTACCTGTTGTATTTAGGGTGGGTTTCTTGTAGATAGCATGTAGTTGGATCTTGCTTTTTTTTGCCCAAGCGAACAGTCTCTGCCTTTTAAAAGAGGTGTTTATAACTGTACTTTTATTTTTTATGTCTTATTCTTTAGCATTCTGTACACAGACACAGCGATAAAATGAAATGACTGGAACTTAAATGTGAAAACTCTTTACAAGTAAGCCCACAATTAGATACATTTATCTTACATGTCAGGGAAAAAAATTATGTAAACAGGACAAATTATATCACAAAAGAATCCCAAAGTAGAAAAAATACCTAAGAAATGTGTCTAACCATGAAAAGTACTGTTCTCTTGGTGTCTTCACATCGTGTCTTCTGTGTACTTAAGTACAAAACATTGTTGCCTCTGATTAATGCACCCTGTACTTATTTTTCTGTTGTCCAGTTACATATTTGGTTGGTTCCAGGGCTATGTTCATGTAGCCATCCAGGCAAACCAGCACCCCTCCCTTAATCCACTTCAGAATTTTACCCCAACTGTCTGATGATGTGCTCTAAGAAGTCACTAGGGGATTGCTTTTCTTAAAAAATCTATTATTATTATTATTTTTTGAGACGGCTCTGTCACCCAGGCTGGAGTGCAGTAGCACGATCTCAGCTCACTGCAACCTTTGCCTCCCAGGTTCAAGCAATTCTCTTTACAGGCGTGCACCACCACACCCAGCTAATTTTTGTATTTTTAGTGAAGACAGGGTTTCACAGTATCTGGAATTCCGGACCTCAGGTGACCCGCCCGCCTCTGCCTCCCAAAGTGCCGGGATTACAGGCATGAGCCACTGCGCCTGGCCAGTAGGGGGTTGCTTCTGAAAACTTATTTTAATAATCTTGGGTAGGCCAGGCGCGGTGGCTCATGCGTGTGATCCTAGCACTTTGGGAGGCCGAGGCGTGTGGATCACCTGAGGTCAGGAGTTCAAGACCAGCCTGGCCAACATGGCGAAACCCCGTCTCTACTAAAAATACAGAAAAATTAGCCGGGCATGGTGGCGCATGCCTGTAATCCCAGTTACTCATGAGGCTGAGGCAGGAGAATCGCTAGAACCCTGGGGGTGGAGGTTGCAGTGAGCCCAGATCATGCCATTGCACTCCAGCCTGGGAGACAGAGCGAAACTCTGTTTCAAAAAATAATAATCTTGGGGGGCAGGAAACCTAAGTCATAATCCCGGCTCTTTTACTTAACCAGCCGTATGACTTGGAAAACTCGTTTCCCTTCTCTCGGCTCCAGATTCCTCATCTTGCACCTGGGATCCAGAGCTCTCACTCCAGGAGCCCAGTCACAGCAAAAACCAAAACTGTACTTTTTTTTTTTTTTTTGAGACAGGGTTTCTCATTCTGTCACCCAGGCTGGAGTGCAATGATGTGATCTCTGTCTCAGCCCACAGCAGCTTCAACCTCCCAGGCTCAAGTGATCCTCCTGCCTCAGCTACGCAGTGTATGGTATTTTGTTACAACAACCAGAATGTAGTAAGACATTTATTGAAGGATATCTTGGTTCCTTCCAAGTTTTTGGCAGTGATAAAGAAAGCTGCCATAAACGTGCACGTGCAGATTTCTTTGTGGGCAGAAGTTTTCAACCCATCTGTGTAAATACTGGGGAGCAGTGTTGCTGGTTCATATTCTAAGAGTATGTTTAGGATTATGAGAGACCACCACACTGTCCTCCAAAGTAGCTGTACCATTCTGCATTGCCAGCACCAATGAAGAAGGGTTTCTGTTGCTCCACATTTCTGCCAGCATTTGGTGGTGCCAGCATTTTGGATTTGGCATTCTAATAGGTATGTAGTGGTGTCTTGTTTTTTTTTTGTTTTTTTGAGACAGAGTCTCACTCTGTCTTCCAGGCTAGAGTGCAGTGGCATGGTCTCGGCTCACTGCAACCTCCGCCTCCTGGGTTCAAGCGATTCTCCTGCCTCAGCCTCCCGAGTAGCTGGGACTACAGGCGTGCGCCACCACGCCCAGCTAATTTTTGTATTTTTAGTAGAAACGGGGTTTCACCATGTTGGCCAGGATGATCTCGATCTCTTGACCTCGTGATCCACCTGCCTTGGCCTTCCAAAGTGCTGGGATTACAGGTGTGAGCCCCCGCGCCCGGCCAGTGGTGTCTTGTTTTAACGGACGTTTCCCTAATGACATACGGTGAACATCTTTTCCTGTGTTTATTTGCCATCTGTATTAGGGTTCTCCAGAGGGCCAGAACTAACAGGATATATGTATATATTGAAAGGGAGTATATTAGGGAGAACTGGCTGACAGGATCATCAGGCAAAGTCCCACTATAGGCCATCTGCAAGCTGAGGAAGGAAGAAGCCAGTCACGTCTCAAAGTCCAAAAGCCTCAAAAGTAGGGAAGCCAACGGCGCAGCCTTCAGTCTGTGGCGGAAGGCCTAAGAGTCCCCGACAAACCACTGGTGGAAGTTCAAGAGTCCAAAGGCCAAAGAACCTGGAGTCTAATCTCCAAAGACAGGAAGTATCCAGCACAGGAGAAAGATGAAAGCCAGAAGACTCAGCAAGCCAGCCCCTCCCACCTTCTGCGCTGACTGGATGGTGCCCACCCACACTGAGAGTGGGTCTCCCTCTCCCCGTCCACTCACTCAAGTGTCAGCCTCCCTGGCAACACCCTCACAGACACACCCAGAAACAATCCTTTTTTTTTTTTTTTTTTTTTTTTTTTGAGACCGAGTCTCACTCTGTCACCCAGGTTGGAGTGCAGTGGCACCATCTCGGCTCACTCCAACCTCCGCCTCCCGGGTTCAAGCAATTCTTCTGCCTCAGCCTCCCGAGTAGCTGGGACTACAGGCACGTGCCATCATGCTGGCTAATTTTTGTATTTTTAGTACAGACAGGGTTTCACCATATTGGCCAGGCTGGTCTCAAATTCCTGCCCGTCTTGGCCTCCCAAAGTGCTGGGATTACAGGTGTAAGCCACCATGCCTGGCCCCTTTTCCTATTTTTTAATCAGATTGTTTTCCTGTTAACTGAGTTTTAAGAGCCCTTTGTAAATCTTGGATAGCAGTCCTTCATGAGATAGGTCTCTTGCAAATAGTTTCTCCCAGGCTGCAGCTTTTCTCATTATATTAAAAATGTTTTTCAAAGAGCAGAGGGTTTTGTTTTGTTTTGTTTTTTGAGATGGAGTCTCGCTCTGTCGCCCAGTCTGGAGTGCAGTGGCGTGATCTTGGCTCACTGCAAGCTCCGCCTCCCGGGTTCACGCCATTCTCCTGCCTCAGCCTCCTGAGTAGCTGGGACTACAGGCACCTGCCACCACACCTGGCTAATTTTTTGTATTTTTAGTAGAGATGGGGCTTCACCGTGTTAGCCAGGATGGTCTCGATCTCCTGACCTCGTGATCCGCCCGCTTCGGCCTCCCAAAGAGCTGGGATTACAGGCGTGAGCCACCACGCCTGGCCTAGCAGAGGGGTTTTTTTATTATTATTTTAATAAAGTCAAGCTTGTAAGTTTCTTTCATGGATCATGCCTTTGATGTTGTATCAAAAAAATTATCACGGCTGGGCGCGGTGGCTCACAGCTGTCATCCCAGTATTTTGGGAAGCCGAGGTGAGTGGATCACTTGAGGCCAGGAGTTTGAGACCAGCCTGGCCAACGTGGCAAAACCCCATCTCTACTAAAAATACAAAAATTAGCCGGGCGTGGTGGCGCACACCTGTAATTCCAGCTACTCAGGAGGCTGAGGCATGAGAATCACTTGAACCCAGGAGGCAGAGGTTGCAGTGAGCCAAGATTCTGCCAGTGCACTCCAGCCTGGGCGACAGAGTGAGACTCTTGTCTCAAAAAAAAAAATTCACAAAACCCAGTCATGTAGATTTTCTCCTATGTTATCTTCTAGGAGTTTTATAGATTTGCATTTAACATTCAGCTCTATGATCCATTTTGAGTTAATTTTTGTGAAGAGACTAAGGTCTGTGTATAGATTTGATTTGATTTATTTATTTTTGGCATGTTGATGTCCAGTTGTTCTAGCACCATTTGTGGAGAGAAGTTTGGAAGTTTGAGCATTTTTTATGATACCTTTTTTTTTTTTTTAGACGGAGTCTCACTGTCATGCAGGCTGGAGTGCAGTGGCACAGTCTCGACTCACTGCAGCCTACACCTCCCAGGTTCAAGCAGTTCTACTGCCTCAGCCTCCCAAGTAGCTGGGATTACAGGCGTGCACCACCACACCCAGCTCCTTTTTGCATTTTTAGTAGAGACAGGGTTTCACTATATTGGCTAGGCTGGTCTCAAACTCCTGACCTCGGGATCTGCCTGCCTTGGCCTCCCAAAGTGCTGGGATTACACGTGTGAGCCACCACGCCCAGCCTTATGATACTGTTCTATCTCTGCTCTGTGCCCACCACCACACCCAGCTAATTTTTGTATTTTTTGGTAGAGACGGGGTTTCACCATGTTGGCCAGGCTGGTCTCGAACTCCTGACCTCAGGTGATACGCCTGCCTCAGCCTCCCAAAATGCTGGGATTACAGGTGTGAGCCACTGCGCCTGGCCTTGTCTTCACTTTTGTTTTTTTGGTTTTTTTTTTGAGAGGGAGTCTTGCTCTGTCGCCCAGTCTGGAGTGCAGTGGCGCGATCTCGGCTCACTGCAAGCTCCGCCTCCCGGGTTCATGCCATTCTCCTGCCTCAGCCTCCCGAGTAGCTGGGAATACAGGCATCCACCACCACGCCCGGCTAATTTTTTGTATTTTTAGTAGAGATGGGGTTTCACTGTGTTAGCCAGGATGGTCTCGATCTCCTGACCTTGTGATCCGCCCGCCTCTGCCTCCCAAAGTGCTGGGATTACAGGTGTGAGCCACCGTGCCCGGCCCACTTTTGAAAAACAGTTTCAGTGAGTATCGAATTCTAGGTTGACTACTTTTTTCTTTTGCTACTTTAAGAATTTTCTTACACTGCTTTCTCACATTGTTTCCAGTGAGAAATCTGGTGTCATCCTAATTTTTGTTCCTCTGTTTATAAAATCTTTTTGTTTTTCATCTGGCTGTTGTCAAGATTTTCTCTTTGTTACTGGTCTTAAGAAATTTGATTATGATGTATCTTGGTTTATCTTTGTGTTTCTTCTGCTTGGGGTGTGTTGAGTTTCTTGTATCTTTGGTTTTATAGTTTGTATCAAATTTGGGAAATTTGGGGTTATTATTTCTTTAAACACTCTCTCTGTTCCTTTCTTTCTCTCTCCTTATGGGCCTCCAGTTACACATATATTAAAATGTCCCACAGCTCACCAGTGTTCTTTTCATTAAAAAAAAATATATTCATTCCTTCTGGGGCAGGGCATGGTGGCTCATGCCTGTAATCCCAGCACTTTGGGAGGCCAAGGCAGTAGGATTACTTGAGCCCAGGAGTTTGAGACCACCCTGGGCAACATGGTGAGACCTCATCTCTACAGAAAATTTTTAAAGATTAGCCAAACATGGTGGTGTGCGCCTGTAGTCCCAGCTACTCGAGAGGCTAAAGTGGGAGGATCGCTTGAGCTGGAGAGGTTGAGGCTGCAGTGAGTCATGATCACGCCAGTGCACTCCAGCCTAGGTGACAGAGTGAGACCCTGTCTAAAAAGTAAAAAAAAAAAAATCATTTTTTTAAATGTTTCATTTGGACAGTTTCTAATGTTGTCTTCCAGATTTTTTTTTTTTCCTGCAATGTCTAATCTGCTGTTCTAGGGCTGGGTGCAGTGGCTCGCACCTGTAATCCCAGCACTTTGGGAGGCCGAGGCTGGCAGATCATTTGAGGTCAGGAGTTTGAGACCAGCCTGGCCAACATGGTGAAAGCCCATCTCTACTAAAAATACAAAAATTAGCTGGATGTGGTGGCAGGTGCCTGTAGTCTCAGCTACTTGGGAGGCTGAGGCATGAGAATTGCTTGAACCTGGGAGGTGGAAGTTGCAGTGAGCCTAGATCATGCCACTGCACTACAGCCTGGGCAACAGAGCAAGACTCTCCCCCAAAAAACAAAAATCTGCTGTTCCAGCCAGTACATTATTTATTTCAGACCTTGTAATTTCTATCTGTTGATATCCAATTTGAGTTTTTTTATATCTTCCGTATCTGTAAAGAACTTTTGGAACGTATGGAGTACAGTATAATAGTTGTTCTAATGTTCTTACCTACTAATTCTAACTCCTGGGTCCGTTTCAGTTGAATGATTTTTATCCTCATGATGTGCCCTATTTTCCTGCTTTTTGCATATTTGGTGACTTTGTTGTTGGATACTAGACAATATCAGTATTACCTTGTCGAGCACTCGTTACTTTTGTATGCCTATAAATATTCTTGAGCTTTGTTTGAGAATGCAGTCACCTTACTTGGAAGCAGCTTGATCCTTTCAGGTTTTGCTTTTAAGATTCCTCAGGCAGGACCAGAACAGTGTTTAACAGGTTAGGGCTGCTTATTCCCCACGGCTGATGTAAGACCCTCTCCGTGTTCTACCCAGTGTTCCTTCAGTTATGAGGTTCTTCTGGCAGGAACAGCGCCTTGTCAAGGCCTGTGTGAGTCCCCAGAACTCAGGCGCTATTTGCTTCAGTCCCTCCAGGTGGTTCTTTCCCTGGCATTCTAGTCTGCAGTAACAGAGGACCATGGACTGGTGGCTCAAAAACAACAAACACTTATTTCTCACAGTTCTGGAGGCTGGAAGTCCAAGATAATTTATTTTTATTTTTATTTATTTATTTTTTGAGATGGAGTCTCGCTCTGCTGCCCAGGCTGGAGTGCAATGGCGCGATCTTGGCTCACTGCAACCTTCGCCTCCCAGGTTCAAGAGATTCCCCTGCCTCAGGCTCCCGAGTAGCTGGGACTACAGGCACCCACCACTACACCCGGCGAATTTGTATATATTTAGTAGAGACAGGGTTTCACCATGTTGGCAAAGCTGGTCTCGAACACCTGAGTTCAGGTGATCTACCCACCTCGGTCTCCCAAAGTGCTGGGATTACAGGCGTGAGCCATCGCACCCGGCCCATAACTTCATTCTCAAAACAAAGCTCAAGAACAAAGCTCAGACTCCCTGCTTTGTCTCCTCTGCTCACGGAGTCCTCCCAGCTCCGCCTCAGTCTTCCCTCCCTGTCCCGTGGTCTAGAAACTTGCAACAGGACCCAGCGGCAATTTTAGGGCTTGCCTTGATGTTTCCTGTTCCTCAGGGATCACTTTCTTGGTAGAGTCTTGACCACTGTTGTTTTCTTGTATTTACTCTATTTTTGGGGGGTCAAGTCCAGTCTCTGTGACTCCATCCTGGTCGCAGTGGAAGCCCCCATAGGTAACATTCTAAAAATAACACTGGATTTTCCTTTTGTAAAGTTTGGGTAAAATGCCTTTTTTTTTTTTTTTTTTGAGACGGAGTCTTGCTCTGTCGCCCAGGCTGGAGTGCAGTGGCGCGATCTCGGCTCACTGCAAGCTCCACATCCCGGGTTCAGGTGATTCTCCTGCCTCAGCCTCCTGAGTAGCTGGGATTGCAGGCGCCCGCCACCATGCCCGGCTAATTTTTGTGTTTAGTAGAGATGGGGTTTCACCGTGTTGGCCAGGCTGGTCTCAAACTCCTGACCTCAGGTGATCGCCTGCCCCAGCCTCCCACAGTGCTGGGATTACAGGCGTGAGCCAGGGCGCCCGGCCAACTTCTTGTTGAGAGATCACCCCCAGGCTCATTGGCATGGGAGATCAAGCAGCTGAGTCTCAAGGTACTTTGCAGCCGCCCAACAGCCAGCGGATGCCTGTGCTTGGGAAATGGGCTCAGGGGCACTAGAGGGCAGTGTTTGAGAGGAAAGAAGTCAGCATAGCAGCAGGGCCGGGCCTGGGGCAGACAGCCCACATGGTTAGGAAAAAGTGAGTGAACGCATGTGGCCCCCAGAACCCCTCCCTGAAATTGCAGTTGATTTTTATTCCCACCGTCAGGCCCACATATCTAAAGCTTCCTCTGAACGCTCCTTGCAGTACACAAAATAGAAATGATTGACAGGCACAGAGCAGCAGCAGGCCCCACGCTGTACACCAGCATCTGGCACTGTGGGTCACCAAGCACCAACTCGATCCCCTCGGAGCCAGGTGTGTGTTGAGATTCAGGATTTTTCAGTTGCAAAGGCAATATGATCTCTACTCCACAGGGCACACGGCACCCTCAGTGCTCAGCACAGCAGTGTGCAGCAGCCTGGTTAACTTTTCTGCAGGGAAGTATGTGAACGTTCACACCAAGCGTGTCAGTCATGTCTGTAAGTCATCTCCCACCAACACAGGTCAGGTTTTCCTGCCCAATGAGCTTGGGGATGGCTTGACTTTGGAGCTCTTTGGATCTGTGGATTTTGGAATTTTGGATTTCTGATACCCGTTTGATCAAAGAGGCAACCGAGGTCTAACGGGTCAAGTGACTTTCCCATATCCGTGAAGGTCATGAAAAGCAGGACCAGGATGGTGGCCTGGGGTGCCTTGAATGATAAGCTGGGCCCTTCACTGTGCAGGCCCCTCTCCTTCAGTCCACTCTGCCACTGCTGTCTGCCACACCCTGCTCTGATAGCTCCTCTCTGCCAGGCTTTTCCCTCACATCCTCAACTCAGCCAAGAGCTGGTTTCTTCCAGAGAGCCCTGCTGTGCAGTCAGTTATTGGACTTCTCTTTTTGTGCATGTTTGTTTTCAGGGTTTAGCTGATCAAAGTGGTATCGTAACAGGCAGCTCTAAATAGAAGTCTTCAGAAGCCTGTGTGTCTTTTTCTGTAAATCAATTCCCAAAAGCAGGATTGTTGGGGCATGGGGTGTATGCAGTTTTGATCTGATCACATACAAGCGCATTTTTTTTTTTTTCAAGGGATGGTGGCAGTTCACAGCCTCAGGAGAAGTGTTTTGAGTGCCTGTTCCTCTAGGTCCTCGCCCGCCCAGGACATCACCACTCTTGTTAATTTCATTGTGTCTAGGTAGTGAAAAAGTGTAGTTTCTCATTCTTTCAAATTGCATTTCCCAATTATTAGAGTTTGAATCTTTTTGTCTGTTTACTGATGTTGGAATTTTTATTGAGTATTCAACTCAATTGATTACTTTTAAATGGGTTGTCTTTTTCTTAGTTTATGAAAGCTTTTGTAGATTATATCTTTTAAGAATAACATTTCTGCATCATAACTGTTAACATACACACACACACACACACACACACACACACGCACGCACACACTCACTGTTCCCCAGTCTGTCAATTTGCCATTTGACTTTACGGTATGTTTTTCAATCTATAATTTGCCAACTAAGCTATCTTTTCCTTTCTGGTTTTATGATCTCCTGCTTAAACTCCTCCCTCCCCATTTTCCCTACCCAGATACATGACATGCAGACAATATACAAATATTCTCCTAATTTCTCTGGTTTGTTTTGTTTTGTTTTGTTTTTTTCTGAGATGGAGTCTCACTTGATCTCCCAGGCTGGAGTACAGTGGTGCAACCTCCACCTCCCGGGTTCAAGCAATTCTCCTGCCTCAGCCTCCCGAGTAGCTGGGCTTACAGACCTGTGCCACCATGCCCAGCTAATTTTTTTTTTCTTTCTTTTTAAGTAGAGACGGGGTTTCACCATGTTGGCCACTCTGCTCTCAAACTCCTGGCCTCAAGGGATCCACCCACCTTGGCCTCTCAAAATGCTGGGATTACAGTCATGAGCCACCGCAGCCAGCCTCTCTCTGTTTTTTGTCTTTTTTTTTTTTTTTTTTTAAGAGGCAGGGTCTTGGCCGGGCGCGGTGGCTCACGCCTGTAATCCCAGCACTTTGGGAGGCCGAGACGGGCGGATCACGAGGTCAGGAGATCGAGACCATCTTGGCTAACACGGTGAAACCCCGTTTCTACTAAAAATACAAAAAATTAGCCGGACGTGTTGGCGGGCGCCTGTAGTCCCAGCTACTTGGGAGGCTGAGGCAGGAGAATGGCATGAACCTGGGAGGCGGAGCTTGCAGTGAGCCGAGATCGCGCCACTGCACTCCAACCTGGGTGACAGAGCGAGACTCCGTCTCAAAAACAAAAAAAAAAAAAAAAAAAAGAGGCAGGGTCTTGCTCTGTTGCCCAGGCTGGAGTGCAGTGGCACGATCACAGCTCACTGCTACCTCGAAACGGGCTCAAGCAAGGAGTCTCAGCCTCCCGAGTAGCTGGAACCACAGGCATGCACCACCATGCCCACCCTCCTAATTTCTCTAGAAATTCTTCTGTGCCTTTACTTGCATATATCTAGATCTTCCACCCATCTTATCTATAGAAGTTTTTGGCCAGATGGAGAGCCGATATGTCACTACTGCTGCTAAACCAACCGTCCTTTCCACACTGACTTGAAATCTGTCTTCTGTCATGTGTGTATATATATATATACACACACACACACACACACACACACACAGTTAGATCTATTTCTAGGCCATCTATTCTGTGCCAGAGATGCCTGTGTCTTCCTGTGTCAGGACACGCGCATTACTTTTAGAATCAGAAGAAAGCGTTTTGTTTTTTGATTTTTTTTTTTTTTTTTTTAAAGAACAATGTCTTTGGACCCCTTGCTGAGCCTGGACAGGCGCAGAAATTCCTGGCAGCTGGGAGGCCGGGGGAGAGAGGACAGCAGGGAGGATGTCCCAGCCCTGGCCAGGAGGCCGAATCAAGGGAGAGGAGAAATAAGGAGGACCCAGCTGCTTGTAAAATAGTCTTCCCTTTTATTTTAAATCAACCCTTTTCCAAGTTAGTGCCACGAGTTGAGATCAGGGGGTCAGAGCCCACTGGGATGTGGCAGGGGCAGCAGGGGGACTCATGTCCCCCACCCCCAGCTTAGTCCCTCCAAGGATGGGACCGGCAGCCAGGGATGAAGGGTGCGAGGCGAGGCTGTCTGCCCCCTCCCCTGCCAGCCCTACTCCCTAGTCTGCCCCCTCAGCTACTCCCAAGGCCAAGGACAGAAATGGGAGCACAGTGGCCAAGAGCAGGGAGGCGGTCCTGTGCAGGCTGTCCATGGCCAAGAGTGTTAGTGGTCAGAGCCCAGGCAGGCTGGGTTAGTGGGGTCTCCTCCGGCAGCCAGGGAAGGAACTGCGGAGAGAGGGAGAGACAGGGCAGTGATGCAGGCTGGAGGGCCTGCCCGGTGCGATCCACCCAGCAGGAGGCACGCAGCCCATGCCTGGAGCAGCTCGGAGGGCGGGAGGGGGGCAGAGGCCCGGCTGCAGGAGCTGGGGTGGCCCTTGGAAGCTCACCGAAGAGGGGAGCCAGGCTCCAGTCCAGCCGGGAGGAGGGGCTCAGATAGACGACTGCCACTGCACAAAGCGCTTGGATTCCTGCTAGGAGATTCGGGGTAGCGGGGGAGAGGAGGGAATGGAGTGGGAATTGGCTTTGTACTGTGGGACCCCAGCCCCTCCTCCCTCAGACCCAGGAGTCCGGGCCCCAGCCCCTCCTCCCTCAGACCCAGGCGGCCAGGCCCTCAGCTCCTCCTCCCTCAGACCCAGGAGTTCAGGACCCCCCGCCCCTCCTCCCTCAGACCCAGGCATCCAGTACCTGAGGGTTGAAAGGGTCGTCATCGTCTGTGTCATCGTAGTCGTCACTGGGGTTTGATGCGGGGCATGGCAGAGAGGCGGGATGGGGACCCATCAGGAGGCTGCACCCCCCACCCCCACTGCCACCGTGGTCCCCAGGTGCTGCCCCTCCTCTTCCCTCCCCAGGACCCTACCCTCCCCCGCTCCTGACCTGGGTGGGAAGAGGGCCCAGGCTCGGGGCAGGCTGCAGAGGGCAGTGGCCAGCGCTCCTGCAGACAGCAGGGAGAAGAGCAGCAGGAAGAGCAGGCCTTCCAGGGCGTCTTCGCACAGGCCCCGCAGGGCTGCACCATAGTCCTGAGGGGAGGGCGTCATCAGGCCATGCGTCCCCACCCCCTCCCCCATCGGCACACACTGTGCACATCAGTCTGACCGTCCTCCCGGCTGTGGTACTGCACACGTCAACTGACCACTCTGTGCCTCAGTTTCCCCTGTCAAAGGGCAGTTCTGAGAATACAGTGGGTACAGTGGGGTCTTTGGTGTGATAGGCCTGGCACTCAGGAATTAATTGCCCAGCCTCCAGACTTGGCTTCTCCTGAGCTGCACCCGCCCTTGTCATTGCAGGCCCCTATCTCCCTTTCACATGGGTCCTCCCCAGTCAGCACCCCACATCTAGAACCAGTCCAGCATCTCCCACCAGCCCTGGGCCCTCTCCTCCATCTTCATCTACCCAGGAACGTGAGAACTGCTACTTCCGTTTCCCTTCTCCCTCCCGGCAGCGGCACCTCCTGCAAGAGCATCCTCCCCTGCACCAAGCGCCCACAGGCCAGCCACCGCCAGCTCCGCCTTGGTCCAGGGGCGAGGGCTTCATAACCTGGGCCCTGCTGACATTTTGAGCCAGATCATTCTCTGTGGTGACGGCGCTGCCCTGTGTGTTGTGGGGTGCTGAGCAGCCCCACTCAGCTCCACCCACCAGATGCCAGGAGCACCCCCTCCTGCAGTGTGACAACCAACAGCAACTCGGCACCCGGCCAGGTGTCCCTGGGGGCAGAACTCCTCACCCAGCCAGGTGTCCCTGGGGGCAGAATCACTGGCCTAGAGCACGTGGAACAGCACGTCGAAAAACCAACCAGTGGCTCAAGATGACACCGCGCACACAATACACACTCAACATGCCAACAAATGCTGGCTCTGATGACTGTCGTCCCAAGAAATCAGCAGAAACGGCCTTCACCGAGTGCTAAGCACCTGCACAGCGTATGTATTCAGTGGGGGTTGACAGAGCCTGCTCTGCCCCAGGCGCTGCCCCCAGTACCAGGAAACTTCGGTAAACAGGACCGAGAAGGTCATCTCAGAGGCTGGTGTGCAACGAGGTAGGAGGGCGGGGGTCAGTGCAGGGCAGGGGTAGGTCGGGTAACCCCACTAGCAGGGATGGGTCCTCCAGGAAGGAGCCAGGCAGAGGGCTGTGCAGAGGAAGCTGGGAGGGGCTGAGGCCAGAGGCAGACAGATCCAGGACTGACCACCCAGGCCCTTGTAGGTCAGGGCGAGGAACAGGGATTTTAATCCATGTCTGAGGGGAATCACTGAGCGTTTTAAGCAGAGGAAGAACTTGATCGGATTGTGTTTTAAAAGGATCACCTGGCTGGCTGGCTGCTGCATGGAGGACAGACGGGGGTAGGCGAGGGGGGACAGGGAAGAGGCCCCTGTGGTCATGGTGGCTAGGATGCGGGGACCAGGGCACAGCAATGGTGGTAGGAACAGCGGTGGGAGTCCATATAGGTTTCAGAGGAAGGGCCAACAGAACTTGTTCTGAGAATGGTTGTGGGAGCTAAGAGCCTGAGTTTCTGGCAGGAGCACCTGGTTGAGGTGGGGTGTCTGTTACTAAGCCAGTGAGGGTTGGGGTACGGACCTGTCGGGGCAATGGAGGCTCTGTTTTGAGAGTATTGGTACATGCACACTGTCCTTCATCCTCACAACAGCCCTGCCAGGCAGACACTGACCCTCTCACGCTGCCGCCTCTTGCAATGGTGGAAAGAAGTTGCAGCCCAGAGAAGGCAAGCTACTTGCCCAGAGTCACACTGTCTGGAAGGGGCAGAAGCGATATTGGAGCTGATTCTCTTAGGCTCCAGTGCCCTCCCTCCTTCATCCTCATCCCTGATGTCCCTTATTGTTGATTTTTTTTTTTTTAATAGAGATGGGGTTTCACCATGTTGGCCAGGCTGGTCTTGAACTCCTGAGCTCAAGGAGTTCTGATCTGCCCCACTGGGCCTCCCAAAGTGCTGGGTTGATAGGCACGAGGCACCCATCCCTAGCCCCCTCCTATTTTTTTTTTTTTTTTTTGAGACGGATTCTCGCTCTGTCACCCCGGCTGGAGTGCAGTGGCTCGATCTCAGCTCACTGCAACCTCCACTGCCCAGGTTCAAGCAATTCTCGTGCCTCAGCCTCCTGAGTAGCTAGGAATACAGGGGTGCGCCACCACGCCCGGCTAGTTTTTTTGTATTTTTAGTAGAGATGGGATTTCGCCATGCTGGCCAGGCTGGTCTCAAACTCCTGACCTCTGGTGATCCGCCCACCTTGGTTTCCCAAAGTGCTGGGATTACAGGCGTGAGCCACAGTGCCCGGCCCCGCCGCTTATTCTTGATTTTAATCTGTGAGGACCCTGGCACACTGACAGGGGAGATGGAGACCCAGGGTCTCATGGTGCAGTGGTAGGGAAGGGTAGAGTGATCTGTCCTCTTCCTTCCCTTCCCTCCCTCCACAAAGGAGTCTGGGGGCCTGTATTCCAGCCCAGTTTCTGCCTAGGCCACAGAAAAGCGCCTGAACCCCAGTTTATCCTTATGCAAAAGATCAGGGCAGCCCTGGGCTGGGTGGGGGCCCAGCCTTTCTCAGCTCAATAGTCAGCAATTCTGAGCATGGCTTCAGTGCTTACTCCCCACTCCCTTTTTGGAATGCCAGTTCCAGAAGGGTGGGAGGCAGTGGGAGCCACAGAAGGGGTCTGTCTGAGCCAGACCAGGGAAAGCTCAGATCCACGCGATGGCGTAGACAAATCCCTCTTGGGTAGGGTTGCCAGATCAAATTCAGGACTTCCAGTTACATTTGAGTATCGGATGCCCAATACATAATTTTCTAGTATAAGTATCTCCCCAGCATTGCACCGGGCGTACTTATAGCAGAGTGGTTTGCTGTTTGCTGAATCTGGCAGCCCTATTCTAGGGTCCATGGGGGGACGGATGGGGAGGGGGCCATGCTTCCTTCTGCAGGGGAGAGAACGAGGCCTCAGCTGCAGCAGGGGCATTGCGCATTGAGAGTAGATGGATGAAGACATTCCAGAAGCAGAAAGGACAAAACTGGGCAACTGCCTGGCTGTGGGGGGCAGAGGGCGGGGCCCTCCGGAAGGTCCCTCTCTCCTCAGTGTGCACGGGCTGGCTGGCCGTGTGACCTTGGGAAGGTCCCTCAACTCTGCTCCTCATCTTCTAACCTGTTAGGTGGGATAATCATAGTTCCTTCTTCATAGCATTGTTATGAGGCATCGATGAGTTACCACCTGTGAAATGCAACAGGGTCAGGTACTTGGTGAAGCTATGCACATGTGAGGTCTTTGATGGGAAGACTGGCCGGGGAAAGGCATCCTCGGGTGTGTGTTTTAGAACAGCTCTTACTGGTTTTGTTTGTTTGTTTGTGACAGAGTTTCGCTCTTGTTGCCCAGGCTGGAGTGCAGTGGCACAATCTTGGCTCACTGCAACCTCTGCCTCGTGGATTCAAGCGATTCTCCTGCCTCAGCCTCCCGAGTAGTTGGGATTATAGGCGCCCACCACCATGCCCGGCTAACTTTTTCTATTTTTAGTAGAGACGGGGTATCACCATGTTGGCCAGACTGGTCTTGAACTCCTGACCTCAGGTGATCCACCCGCCTGGGCCTCCCAAAGTGCTGGGATTACAGGTGTGAGCCTCCGCGCCCGGCCAGCTCCTACTGTTTTATAAGGGGATTTTTTTTTTCAATCCTCACAGCCATCCAGTGAAAAAAAAACAAACAAAAAAAACTCGTCCTTCCTCACGGTACGGGTGGGAAGCAGAGTCAGCCACGCTCACCTGCCTATGGCCGTGCAGCCTGCGGCAGAGCCCAAACTGGAGCCTGCAGGACACCAGATATCTTTCCTCCTGGGCACCCTGCCCACCCCTGCCTGTCCAGTGTATGAACAGCACAAGCCGCAGGGGAGCTGGACAGGTGCCCACTCTTGCAATCCCAGGTTTATAAGTGAGGGAACTAACTGAGGTACAGAGAAGTTAGGTGACTTGCCCTTGGTCAGGAGGTAGGACTGGAACCCAGGCAGTCTTGCTCCAGAACTCACTAAGCGGCAGCCTCTAGGAGGGAGGGAGAGGCAGGAGGACGGAGAGAGGAGAGAAGACAAGGAAGGAAAAGGTGGCAGGAATGGACGGGGAGGGTGGGATGGGGACCCAGCGGGGAGTGCGGGAGTTGGGGGGAAAGGGAGGGAGGAGGGAAGGAATATGGATAATGCTTGATAGGTAGGTAGACGACAGGTTATAAATAGGTAGAGAATAGATATAGGACAGATAAATCATATAAACAGAGGATACAGAGATATCCTCAGGCGCAATGGCAGGGGTCCAAGGAGAAGGAGGAGGTAGTTCTGTGGGTCCAGACAGAGGCCCCCCGTGGGAGAAGAAATTGGGAGGGGAGGGGCTTCACCTTGTGCAGGCTGCGGCAGTGTAGCAGTGCCACCAACTGGTGGAAATTTCCTTCTGTCACATTCAGAGTCTCCTCCAAGGACAGCAGAGGCTTCTGCGGGGCGAGGAGGGGTCGTTTTCCCACGAACTCTTCAGGCCCGCCCATCGCCCTGGCCCCGCCCTGCGTCCCCGCCCACAACCCAAGGCCCCGCCTAGCTCTGCAGCCCCGCCTACGCCCCACAGCTCCATCCCGCCCCGTCCGCCTTCCCCGTGGGGTCCGCGTGTCTGGGGAGCGCCCACCCACCGACCTGCGCTGAAGGGAACTGAGGCACAGCTTCTCGCTCCAGGCCCAGCAGCTGGGAGTGGATGTTGGCCAGAGCTCGCTGGGACAGAGTCAGCCTCTGCAGAAAGAGAAAGGGAGGGAGGAGGACCCAGGAGTATACGCCCCCGGCCCTCTCTCCTCTCCTCCGGACACAGCACTCGGGCCCCTGGCCTGCATCCTCCCCGGAACCCAGGAGTCCAGGCCCCAGCCCCAGCCCCGCCCCCTCCCTTCAGAGTCCAGATTTCTGGCTCCCTCAACACCCGTTTCCCCTGCCCGCAGCCCTAACCTGTTGGAAGGGGTTGGAGACGGCCCGGTTGCAGAGGAGATAATAGCTCAGGATGTCTGAAGTGGGAGGAGGAGAGGGGAGGAGGCCATGAGCCTGGGCCCCCAGGGATCTCCCGGGGGAAGGCCGGGCACTGGGGGGTTAGCAGGGTTAGGGGCCTCAGCCCAGCCCTGGAGCCCGATGGCCTTACCTTCAGAGACCCGCCAGCCCCGCGTCCCTTCTGCTCCTGCCACAGCCAGAGCAGGCGCTGGTGGGCAACCCTATACTCCCTGGGAACCCCTGACTAAATGGTGCTCCCCAGTTTTCTCCAGGGGGCCAAACTCCCCATTCCTGACGCCCAGGAGCACCCTCTCCTGACCCTCCTCTCTCTTCCTGGCACCATTATCTTTATCCTGCCCTCTTTTCCAGCCCACCAGGAGAGGCGCTGCCAGCTGGAGCAGAAGGGATGAGGGTCTGGCGGGTGGCGGGGCTCCAGGAGGGCTCCGAGCTGGGGAGTGGCCAGGAGCCCTGCTTCCCTTCCAGAGGGCTGGGTCTCGCCTGGCAGGCTGCACCCCCACCCCACCCTGGGCAGGACCGGGCACAGAGGAGGCCTGAGGAAGCCAGGGCCTGCACTGCCCAACCCGGCGGACCCACCGGGCCCTTGGAAATCACCTGAGCTGAGCCCTGTCTCCTCCTGGGTCAGGTTCAGAACATAAGGGTCTGGATTGGAGCAGAAGTCACTGAGGCCCTGCGTGAGGCAGCAGAAAAGGGGCTCAAACCCAAAACTGCCCCGATTCCACACTCCCACAGCACCCAGTGCCTGGCTCCCCAGCTCCCCTCCCCACCCAGGGGTCCAGGTCCCAGCCCCTCTTCCCTCAGACTCAGGAGTCCAGGCCCCAGGCCCCTCGTCCCTCAGACTCAGGGGTTCAGACTCTCCAGCCCTTTCTCCCTCAGACTCAGGAGTCCAGGCCCCCAGCTTCTCCTCCCTCACACCCAGGAGTCCAGACCCCCAGCCCCTCCTCCCTCAGACCTAGGAATCCAGGTTTCCAGCCCCTCCTCCATTACAGCTCAAACGTCCAGGACACCAATCTGTACCCACTCAGGCCCCAGGAAACAAGCCCTAAACCTCAGAGCTGTGATCGTGCCCCCCAATTCCTTTCTCTACTAAGCCATGCCATCCCGAGATCCAGAAGTTGAAGTCTCCAGGCCCCCTGAGTCCCAGAGCCCAATGGCCCGGCCCTGGCACTCACCACGGCCGTGGCTGCCTCCAGGCCCATGGAGCCCCAGCTCAGGACGAGAACCAGGAGACTCATGACTGTCATCCTAGAGTGGGGGAAGGAGGATCAGCCCGGGGTTCTTAATCTCCTAGCCTAGCCTCTTTCCACACCCCAAATCCCATCACAGCCGCCCCCCACCTCCACCCACCTCTGGAGCCTGGAGGATCAGAATTAGGGAAACACAAGTTCAGTGGTTGGGGGTAGGCCAGTGGCTGCTGATGTCCAGCTGGACATCTGGCTCCTGCCCAGATGAGCAGGGTGTGGGGTATGAGCAGGGCCCTGGGCTGGGTGGTCGCAGCTTGGATCCCAGCTCCAGGACCCTGGGACGGTGACTGCTCACCTCTGGGCTCACTTCCCCCGAAGGCTCCCCCAAGTCCACCCACAGCCTGATCAGCCTCTGGCTCTGCCCTGTCTCCTCTGAGAATGGGAGACAGTGCCAGGGCTGAAATCTGAAAGTCTCTGGACTTTCCGGGTGGGGAGGGGTGCAGGGGGCGTGTCAGCATTGGTAGGGTGACCAGTAAGCAAGAAGGGCACCCAGGGGTCCCCAAACTGAAGGCCTGGCTTCCAGTCCCAGACCTGCCCTGTGTTGGCTAGGTTTATGGGTCTGCAAGCCTTACGCGGGGTCTCTCCCACTCTCTCAGGGGCAATGGAGGTACAGGTTCAACTCCGCCTCACCCCACTAGGGCCAGAGAGAATGCAGGGACTCCTCCAATGAGAATGGCCTGTCTGGTTCAAATCCCAGCTCTAGCACTTCTAGCTGTGTGGCCCTGAGCAAGTGGTCCAACCTCTCTGATCTTCAGTCTCTCCCTCTGTTAAACAGGGAGAAGGGCCAGGCATGGTAGCTCATGCCTGTAAACCCAGTACTTTGGAAGGCTGAGGCAGGCTGATCACTTGAGGCCAGGAGTTCGAGACCAGCCTGGGCAACATAGCAAGACTCCATCTCTACAAAAATATACAAAACTTAGGCCAGGCACGGTGGCTCATGCCTGTAATCCAGGCACTTTGGGAGGCTGAGGCGGGCGGATCACCTTAGGTCAGGAGTTTGAGACCATCCTGACCAACATGGAGAAACCCCATCTCTACTAAAAATACAAAATTAGACAGGTTTGGTGGCATACGCCTGTAATCCCAGCTACTTGGGAGGCTGAAGCAGGAGAATTGCCTGAACCCAGGAGGCAGAGGTTGCAGTGAGCCAAGATCGCGCCGCTGAACTCCAGCCTGGACAACAAGAGCCAAATTGCAGCTCAAAAAAAAAAAAAAAAAAAAAAAAAAAACTTAGCCGGGAGTGGTGGCATAAGCCCATGGTCCCAGCTACTCTGGAGGCTGAGGTGGGGGGATCACTTGAGCCTCAGGGGACAGAGGCTGTAGTGAGCCGTGATCATGCCACTGCACTCCAGTCTGGGCAACAAAGCAAGACCTTCTCAAAATAAAAAACAGAAATAAAAAACAGGCAGAAGGAAGCACCTTCCTCACAGGGGGCATGAGGTGCTCCAGGGAGTGCAGAGAAGAGTGTCGGGCGCGTAGAGCGAGCTGTGAAATCAGTGTGGTCCTGCGGCTTTGCCACGACACTTAAGGACGGCTCAGTCTCGGACTTGGCCACCCTCTGCGCTCTTAGTCAGGTCCCTGACCGGCCACATGGAGCCTTATGGTAGCTCCTTCATGGGGTGGAGGCAACTGAAGGACTCAGCGTGCATGACCCTCAATAGATCATCATCCTCATCTGTTTTTTTTTTTTGTTGTTGTTGTTGTTGTTTTTGAAATGGAGTCTCACTGTGTCGCCCAGGCTGGAGTGCAGTGGTGCAATCTCAGCTCACTGCAAGCTCCGCCTCCCGGGTTCAAGCGATTCTCCTGCCTCAGCCTCCCGAGTAGCTGGGACTATAGGCGCCCGCCACCACGCCCGGCTAATTTTTGTATTTTTAGTAGAGATGGGGTTTCACCGTGTTAGCCAGGATGGTCTCGATCTCCTGACCTCGTGATCCGCCCTCCTCGGCCTCCCAAAGTGCTGGGATTACAGGCGTGAGCCACCACGCCCAGCCTTTTTTTTTTTTTTTTTTTTTTTTTGAGATGGAGTGTCACTCTGTCGCCCAGGCTGGAGTGCAATGGTGTGATCTTGGCTCACCACAACCTCCACCTCCTGAGTTCAAGCGATTCTCCTGCCTCAGCCTCCTGAGTAGCTGGGACTACAGGCGCATGCCACCACACCCAGCTAATTTTTGTATTTTTAATAGAGACAGGGTTTCTCCATGTTGGTCAGGCTGGTCTCAAACTCCTGACCTCATGATCCACCCACCTCGGCCTCCTAAAGTGCTGGGATTACAGGTGTGAGCCACCGCGCCTGGCCTCATCCTCATCTTTATTGCCAACACAATGATTATTTCTGCCATGATTCCAGCATACTTCATACTGTTAGGGCTGCCTGTTTTCAGGTCTGTCCCCGCCTCCCTCCTGGGCTGCTCTGACTCTCTTTTCTTCGTGTGTACCCGGCCGTGAAGGACCACGGTCCTCCGTGTAGGAGAGTTGTAAGACTGAGGTCCTGCCTGCCAGGAGAGTGCCAGGCAAGCACTGGGTCCCCCTACTGCCTGCACTTACACGATCACCAGCCACTTGCTCTGCTTCGCCAGGCCCAGGAGGGTGAAGAGGCAGACCAGCAGCTCCAGGAGCAGCAGGAGGACATAGGCCAGCCACCTGGGAGGGGAGAGGGTAGGGCTGAAACCACAAACCTGCCTCCAGGCACCCCGGCGGAACAGCAACCCTCCACCAGCATTCACCCTGCCCCCCAGCTCAGCCTCACATTCACCACCCTCCAAGCTCAGCCTCCTGCTGTTTACTGTGTCTGGGCCACAGCCCAGGTCCTCTGTGAAATAGTGTTATCATGAGACAGGACACTGGAGCGGTTTAGAATACAGGTCCTGAGCACCTGGGACTATCCCCTGGCCGGGCCACACACATGTGCCCTGTGACCAGGGACACGTGATGTGTTCTCTCCGAGCTCCCCATCCCCAACCCCACCCTGCAGAGTGGAGATACTCGTTCTCAAGACTGCACCAAAGATCCCATCGCATCCCCGGAGGGCATGACGTCTGGAGGCAGAGGCTGCCTGGTCTCAACCCCAGCCCCTCCGCTTAACTGGCCGGGTAACTCTTGTCTCGGTAACCTTAGCCTCTCGTTCCTCAGTTTCCCTACATGTAACGTGGGGAGCACAACAACACTGGCTTGAGAATATTGCCTCGAGTGGGCTGCATGACTAGAAGTGCTTAGGAGAGTGCCAAGCACGTGGACACACTTAGAGGTTAGCCTGAGCGTGAACGAGGGAACTGAGATGTTAGTTAATAGTTAATACTTGGCCGGGCGAGGTGGCTCACGCCTGTAATCCGCGCATTTTGGGAGGCTGAGGCAGGCGGATCACTTGAGGTCAGGAGTTTGAGACCAGCCTGGCCAACATGGTGAAACCCCGTCTTTACTAAAAATACAACAATTAGCCGGGCGTGGTGGTGCACGCCTGTAGTCCCAGCTACTTGGGAGGCTGAGGCAGGAGAATCATTTGAACCCATGAGGTGGAGGTTGCAGTGAGCCAAGATTGCACCACTGCACTCCAGCCTGGGCGACAAGAGTGAGACTTAGTCTCAAAAATGAAAAAAAAAAAAGTTAATCCTTAAATATCAGTGAAGGGCCCACCACCATGATTCAGGAGGTGCAAGCATGCAAGCCACAGTGAGAGACAGGACTAGCTGGATGTCCGAGGCCGACTAATAATCCCTAAGCCTAGCTGGGAAGGTGACCGCATCCACCTTTAAACACGGGGCATGCAATTTAGCTCACACCCAACCAATCAGGTAGTAAAGAGAGCTCACTAAAGTGCTAGTTAGGCAAAAATAGGAAGTAAAGAAATAGCCAATCATCTATCACCTGAGAGCACAGGGGAAGGGACAATGATCTGGATAGAAACCCAGGCATTCCAGCCAGCAACGGCTACCCACTTTGGGTCCCCTCCCGTTGTATGGGAACTCTGTTTTCACTCTATTAAAACTTGAAACTGCACACTCTTCTGGTCCGTGTCTGTTACGGCTTGAGCTGAGCTTTCGCTCGCCGTCCACCACTGCTGTTTGCCGCCGTCGCAGACCCGCCGCTGACTTCCACCCTCCGGATCCGGCAGGGTGTCCACTGTGCTCGTGATCCAGGGAGACACCCATTGCCGCTCCCAATCGGGCTAGAGGCTCGCCATTGTTCCTGCACAGCTAACTGCCTGGGTTCATCCTGATCGAGCTGAACACTGGTCGCTGGGTTCCACGGTTCTCTTCCGTGACCCACGGCTTCTAATAGAGCTAAAACACTCACCGCAGGGCCCAGGATTCCATTCCTTGGAATCCGTGAGGCCAAGAACCCCAGGTCAGAGAACACGAGGCTTGCTGCCCTCTTGGAAGTGGCCACCACGATCTTGGGAGCTCCGGGAGCAAGGACCCGCCGTAACAACAGCACAGTGCCCGGCACGTAGTAAGTGCTCAGTTAATCCTCCTGCCATTCTCTGCAGGCCCCACAAGCTTGGGCTTCACTCCTTACCCTGGTCTCTGGCTGCTTCCGCCCAGCCTCGCAAGTGCTCCCCTCCAGCAAGACTCCCTTGGAGGCCCCTGATTTGTCTGTCGAGGGACTCCCAAGTGTGGGGTGCTTTCGCAGTGGTGCACCCGGAAGATATTTTCTAGCGATGGTGGGTCTGCCTCACCCTGGCATCACCCTTATGGCTCCCACCACTTCCCTGCCCTCGCCCAGGAGAAGGAGCTGAGGCCCGGCTTGTGCAGCCCCTGGGCCTGACCACAATGCAGAACCTGGACTTCTTCAAACCCAGGCCTGTCTGTCTCTTGCACCTGCTGCCCTGCGGGTGTGTCCTGACCTCCAGCTTTTTCAGCCCCAGTCGGCCTTCCCCGCTGGAGCGCAGCATCCCGGAAGGCCTCCCAAATCTCAGCGCATGCCCCGCGGGCAGGGCCTCCAGCTGACGTCGGATAAATGAATGAATGAATGAATGATTACTAATGGTCAAAGCAATGAGGACACCGTCATGGTGGCCGCTGGGAAGGGTGGCTGCCTGGACACTGCACAGCTCACTGCCTCCTCTCCTCCAAATGCCACCTTCTCAGTCCCCCTGATGAACTGCCAGACTCTGTCCCACCTCATCTCCCTCTATAATTTTCTTTTTTTTTTTTTAAGACGGATTCTCGCTCCGTCACCCAGGCTGGAGTGCAGTGGCACGATCTCTGCTCACTGCAAGCTCCACTTCCTGGGTTCAAGCGATTCTCCTGTCTCAGCCTCCCAAGTAGCTGGGACTACAGGCGCCCACCACCACGCCCGGCTAATTTTTGTATTTTTAGTAGCGACGGGATTTCACCGTGTTAGCCAGGATGGTCTCGATCTCTTGACCTCGTGATCCGCCTGCCTCGGCTTCCCAAAGTGCTGGGATTACAGGCGTGAACCACCGTGCCTGGTCCCCTCTGTAATTTTCTCCAAAGTTCTCATGGCCCAACACCTTACAATGTTTTTCTCTGCGTTTGTCCCTTGCTGGTTCCCCCCGGAGGACGCAGCCACGTGGCAGGGATTTCTGCCACTTGCTCACTGCCCGGCCCGCCACCGGGGTGACTACACTTCATATCTCTGCGGTGCTCTCCCTGTGCTAATCGTCCTTCTCAGCACTCAGATGCCAACTCAACAACTCGAACCAATTCAACAAGGGGGACGCTGCCCCGATTCCCATTTCACAGATGGGGAAACCAAGGCAGAGGTCTGCAAAGTAACTTGATTGCAGCCGCGTGGTTAGGGTGGGGCTGGCTGGCTTTCGAGCTCAGGTTCCTGATCTGTAGGTACGCTGCCTCTTTCACCAGAGGGTGCTAAATAAATAGTGCTGAACAACACTTTGAGAGGCCAAGGCGGGCAGATCACAAGGTCAGGAGTTTGAGACCAGCCTGGCTAACATGGTGAAACCCCGTTTCTACTAAAAATACAAAAATTAGACGGGCGTGGTGGCGCCTGCCTGTAATGCCAGCTACTTGGGAGGCTGCGGCAGGAGAATCGCTTGAATCCAGGAGGCGGAGGTTGCAGTGAGTCGAGATCGCACCGCTGCACTCTAGCCTGGGCGACAGAGTGAGACTCCATCTCAAAAAAAAAAAAAAAAATAGTGCTGAACAAATACACATGTCACACGGATGAACGACTGAGTGAGTGGCCTGCTGGGTTAGTCCAAGAGTAACTGAGTCCAAGAGTGACTTGCTGAATGAGTGAGTCAAGGAATGAACGCATGTGTGAATAAGTGAGTGGAGTGACGTGGAGGGGGTGAGTGAGTGAATGGGTGAGGACATGGGTGTCAGGATGGCCATGGGGTCTGGTGATCTGTCCCTCCACAGTAGGTTTCTCAACCTCATCTTTTTTTTTTTTTTTTTTTTTTTTGAGATGGAGTCTCACTCTATCGCCCAGGCTGGAGTGCAATGGTGAAATCTCGGCTCACTGCAACCTCCATTTCCCGGGTTCAAGGGATTCTCCTGCCTCAGCCTCCTGAGTAGCTGGCATTACAGACATCTGCCGCCACGCCCAGCTAATTTTTGTATTTTTGGTAGAGACGGGGTTTCTCCACGTTGGCCAGGCTGGTCTCAAACTCCTGACCTCAGGTGATCCACCCACCTTGGCCTCCTAAAAGTGCTGGGATTACAGGCCTGAGCCACCGCGCCTGGCCAGCCTCGTCATAATTGTCATGGTGGCTGGATCATTCCCTGCCAATGGGTGGGGAGGGGGTTCTTGTGCATTGCAGGGTGTTGAACAGTTCCTGGGCTCTACCCATTGGATGCCAGCAGTGCGCACACACTCCCCAGCTGTCACAACCAAAACTGCCTCCAGGCATTGCCAACTGTCCCCCCGGGGACTCCGCCTGAGAGCTGCCGGCACAGAGAGCAAGAAGAGCAGCGTCTCACCTGTACTCCTCCACAAAGGACACATTTTCAGCCACCTGCAGGGGGCTCAGGGGCACTCCCTGCCAGAAGGCCAGCCCCTGCAGCTGCTGGGCCGCAGCCTCCGCCTGCCGTCGAGCCCCTCGGGCGGCAGCCACCAGCTCCGTGCGCGGCTCGAGCACCTCCTCCAGGGTGGTCAGCTCTGTCCTCACCGCCTCGCCCAGCCTCTCCACCGTCTCCAACACCTGGGGATAGGACAGGGGCTGAGGTCTGGAAGGACATCCTGGGGGGAGCCCGCGGTCGAGGCATGGGGTTTTAGAAGTGAAGGAGGGGTGCATAGTAGCGGGTGTCTGAGATCTGGAGTCTGGGACATCTGAGGATTGAGTAAGGGAAGGGATTGGGGAGGGGCTTCAAGATCAAGTTCATGGAGTTCTGTGGCCTCTATCCAGAGCTCTGGATGGTTGGTAGCTTGAGCCCAGGGTAGTAAGTCCAGCCCCAGGACTGAGATTAAGTGTGGAGCTTTAGGTCTGAAGTTTTCATCTGCCTTCCAGAATCTGGGGTCTCAAGTCTGGGTCCCATGGTCTAGAGTCTGCAGCTGGACATGGAATCTAAGGCATGAAGTGGGGCCAGGCCTCAGCCCCAGGGCCCAGAATCCTGGAGCTGATGTCGGAGCTGAAGCCTCAAGTCGGGGACCTGGGCCTCAGGGCGGGGGTCCCTGAGCTTGCTTACGGGCCAAGAATCAGGTCTGGGGCCCTGGATCTGGCCCGTGGACAGGGGCTGGTGTCGCTGGTGCTTGGTTTCTGTGTGGCTTGGGGGTTCCAGGTAAGGTCCAGGGCTGGGCCTGTGTGTGAGGTCCTCAATTTGCAGCCAGGGTCGGGGGTTGGGTGGATAGTCTGAGGTCTGTGGGTCTCAGGATGAAGTTCTGAATCTGGGTTCCTAAGCTTCAAGCCTGGGGTCTTAGCTCTGAGTTTGGATCCCTTTGTCCTTGGGTGTGGGGAGCCCGTCCAGGTGTGGGTCTGGGGTCCCACTGGTTGCTGGCCCCTCACCAGGTGGTCAATGGTGCTGAGTGTGTGGTTGGCGTGCAGCAGCGCAGAGCTGAGCTGGGACACCCCATCACTGGTCTCACTGTTGCCATAGAAACCGATGCCAATGCCAGTGCTGAGCGGAGGAGGAGGGAGAGGAATCTCAGCGGGTCCCAGGACCCCGGGGGCCACCGTCCCCTCCCACCCCATCCCCTCCACCTCGCCTTCTTATCCACCCCTCCCATCTCAGCCCCACCTCATTGGGCCAGCCCGTGGGAAAAGGGCGACTTCAGCCTGGCCCCCGTCGGTTGCCAAGGGAACGGGAAGGCCTCACTCCCCCAGCGGAGGGACGTCATTGTGATGTTAATGGTGGGTGGAGTGGTGGGGGGGAGGGAGCCCCCGATTTAACTCGCACCTCCCTGGAGCAGAACCCCAGTCACACCCAGCTCCGGGATGGGCCGTCTTCCCCTCCCTAGGACTGCCTGCCCCACACCCTTCCCCCGCATCCTTTGCCAGGCAGGCAGCCCTCCTGGCACCTGTCCTAGGGTGCCCTAGGGTCCTTGGGGCCTGCAGTGCCAACCCTTCAGTGCTGAGACGTTCTCCGCCCCCACCTCCTGGGGGTTCCTAAGGGTACAAGGGGGGCAGCTGCCACCATCTCCTGGGGGGACGCTGAGCCTGGAGCTCTCGGCCTTCCCCCACCCGGGACCCAAGCGTCGGGCCAGCTGGGAGGGAAGTAAGGGAATGTGGGAGGGAGGCTGGAGGATGGGCGAGAAGCCGTGCCCCCGCCCCCACCCTGCCGACACACAGAGCTCCATTGTGGGACCTGAATGTGGGGCCCCAGACCCCTCCCGTCCCCGCCCCCGGCCGGTGTCCCGCAGTGGAGGGGGCGGGAGCCTGACACCCTCCCGGTTCCCAGCCCCGGCTGGGCCTCCACCCCCATCCCTCGGGTCGGACGCCCAGTGTCCCCGCCCCATTGTTCAGAGTCCTACAAAGCTCCTCTTGTTCCCAGGCTGCGGGGGCTGGGGCCGTGTCTCTCCCCCACTGGGCCTTTGTCCACCTCCCCTGTCTCCCCCCACGCCAGAGAGCCGGAGGAGGAAGCGTCCTGAATACAGGCCACCCCTACAGGTCCCTCCCCTTGCCCGCTGTGGGTCCGGGGCAGGCGTCTGGCCCTCTGGGACCCCCCGTCTGTGGAAGAGGATTGCTGTCTGCAACCTGTGGGTGCTGCCCTGCCGGGGAGGGGGCTGTGCTCAGAGCTCGTTCTTGGTAGCTGGTGTGTTCACATTGGAAGCCCCCTAAGCTCGCTTTGAGGGGTGTGAGGGGGTCCTACTAACCTGGGTCTGAATCTCTGTGCTGCCTCTTAAGCCACGTGGCCTTGAAAGGTGACCTCCCCTCTGTCCCTGAGCCTTCCTCTTTGGAAACTGGGCCTGACACCCCTGAATCCAGCAGCATTATTGTGAGAAGGAATTAGACCAGCTCAGGTCTGGGCACAGATGAGGTGCTCTTGGAGGGTGATTATATCTATTTATCGTCCGTCTCCCTGATTAGAACATAAGCTGCACGAGGGGCTCCTTGCCTGGCTTGGTCAGTATCTGGCACATAGTAAATACTCAATAAACAGTTGTCGAATGAATGAGCTGGTGAATGACGGAATGACAGACATCACCAGTTAATGTTGGCTGAGAGTAGCTGCAAGTCAGACACTGTGCTTTCTCTCCATCTTACCCCCGCAGGAGGTGGGCGAGATGATAATGCCCAGTTTACAGATGTGGAAATTGAGGCCCAGGGAGACTATCACTCCCTTAGGTCACACAGCTATTCAATGGGAGAGCCACCAAAACCAGGCCATCTGACTGCCCCTGCGCCTTCTCACCAGATGGCTGCCCTTGATTCACTTCCTCTCCAGAGCCTCACTTTCTCCATCCATCAAATGGGACAGTCCTTCCTGCTGTGCGCTGAAGTGGGCTTGCAAATGGCAGGGACAGGGACGAGGGAGTTTCCTCCTTCCTGTCTGCTTCCTCCATGTCCCCGGAGGACACCCCCAGGAAGGCCAGCAAAGAGCTTGGGGAGCCCTGTCCCCACCGCCCACCCACCCTGGGGCCCCATTACCAGCCGGCGAGAAGGGCGACAATGCAGCTCCAGGTGACGCAGCCTCCCCCGGGCGAGGGGATCTTGGACCCGGGGGGCTCGGGGGGCCGGCAGCAGCAGAAGCGGATGAGGTAGACAGCGATGAAAATGAGGCTCAGGCCCAAGCCCAGGCCCGCCAAGGCCGCCACCAGCAACAAGGCCTGGGGAAGGGGGTGACATCAGACCTCCGAGGGCACCCGTGTGTTCCACACTCAGATCCCCCTTCCTGCGTGGCTGGGGGGTCGGGGTCTGGGATGTCAGAGTGAAGGTGGGAGACATCCCTGGCCTAATCTTGGGGGAGATTGGGTCCCAGCCCCTCCCAGGCTGGCAGCTGGGGCTCCAGGTGTCAGGGCCGGCTTGCTGGAGGGAGCTTCCAACTGGGGGCCCCAAGCCTTGGGTCCCAATTCTGCTCTGCCCTCCATTGGCTGTGCAATCTTTAGCAGGAACCGCCCCTTCTCCGAGCCTGGGTTTCCTTCTCTCTGCAGCCAGCAGTTGGAATGGAGGTTTTCCCAAGGACCTGCCAAGGCCCCTCCACAATCGTGTGGGATCAGGGGGCGGGTGGGGGTGTGGGGGCACCTGTTCCTGGTGCCTCGGGCCAGGCTGGGGGAGGCGTGCTTCCTCCCCCTCTCCTCCCTGCTCACTGTCTCCCCTGCTGCTGAGCGCTACACCCCACAGCGCCTGAGCTTGTCACCCAGGGACGGGACGAGGGGCTGTGTGGCAACGTGTGTGTGTGTGTGTATGCAAGACTCAGAAATGGAAACTGGAAGAGTGAAGACAGAACAGAAAGAGAGAGAGAGAGAGATGGAGGGAGGCACAGGCAGAAAGACACAACCAAAAAAAGAGACAAAGATAAGACAAGGTTCGGGCATGAGTCAGAAAAAGGCAGAGAGCAAAAGGGATCAAATCAGAGAGGAAGAGCAGAGTAAGGGAGAGAGAGCGTGAGAACACTATGGAGACGGGAGAGACACACAAGGACAGAGAGGCGGAGAGAGCCAAGGCCCGGAAGACAGGCAGGCCGCGGAAACGTTCTGCGGTGGGCAGAGCCTTGCAGAATAACAGGGCTCTCCACGTGGCGGGGATTTCACAGCTGACCTGTGCGGTCCCAGAGGCCCACAGTGGCCCAGGGGGTTTGCACTGAGCCCCGGAGCATGGAGGGACAACATTGGGATCAGAGTCACACCTCTGGACTTGCCAAGGCTGTTTCCCCTAAACCACGGTGTTTCTGCCTTTGTCCACACACATACACACACACAGTGGCACAGTGTGTGTGTGTGTGTGTGTCCCAAGTGTGTGCAGTGTTTGTGTTTCTGGTTGAGACTGGATGTTTTTATCTTTGGGCTGTCTCCATGAGATGAGGGGGCACCTGAGTGTGTCTCCTGGGTGCACTGCTGTCTGCAAATGAGAACATCTGTGGGCATTTGTGTGTTCTGGGCACAGTTCCTTGGGCCTGTGAGTGGGTCCGGTTGTGTGTGTGTAACAGTGTGGATGAGTGTGTGTGTGGATGCGTGACTGCATGTGAGTGTGTGTGTGCACATGAATGCTATAGTCAATATGTGTGTGCATGTGTGTGTAGATGTGAATGGAATGTACGTGTGTGTGTGTGTATGGGAGTATAAACGTGTATGTGACGGTGCATGCATGAGTGTGTAAGCATATATATAAGTGCAGTGTGTGCTTGTATATGGGAGTAAATGCTTATACATGTGTATGTGTGTGTTGTGAGTCACTGTGCGCAATGTGCGTGTGCATATGTGTGATTGTGTATGTGTAAGTGGGTATATCCATGTGAGTGTATGCATGTGTCTATATGCGTGTGTTGTATGTGGGTGTGAGTGCATAGCGGGAGTAGTAAATGGGTATGTGTGTGTGCATATGTGAGTGTGTAATGAGAGTAGGTGGGCGTGTGTGTGTACCTGTGCATATGTGTGTGTGCATGTGTGTAATGAAAGTAAGTGGGCGTGTCTGAGTGTGTGCATGTGAGTGTGCATGTGAGTGTGTAATGGGAGTAAGTGGGTGTGTCTGAGTGTGCCTGTGCATATGTGTGTGCATGTGAGTGTGTTGGAATAAGTGGGCGTGTCTGGGTGTGCCTGTGCATATGTGTGTGCATGTGAGTGTGTAATGGGAGTAAGTGGACGTGTGTGTGTGCTGTGCATATGCCAGTGAGTGTGTGCGTGTGGCTGTGTGCCTCCCCCGGGCCAGTGTCCCTGAGGCCCTGGCTGTGTCTGCAGCTGTACCCACGGTGGTCGCGTCCCTGCAGGGGTCCCCCTTGCCCTCCTCGGCTGTGGGGCTCTGCCCGCGCATCCCTGCCACCCTGACCCTGACCCCCGACCGTGGGGGCGGAGTGAGGCTCCCCCAAACCCGTGCCTCTGGCGGTGACTGGGGCCGCGGATCCCCGCGTGCGGCTTCGGGAGGTCTCCGGGCCAGAGCGGGCGTGAGTCTGGGCCGAGGCCGGAGCCGGTGGAGCGGCGTTGTTGGAGGTGGCCGTTGTGTAACCGCGAGGCTGTGGGCGAGGGGACGGCGGTCCCCGTGTGTGGGGAGAGGGGGCGGCGAGGAGCAGGCGGGGAAGAGCTGCTCAGGGCTGTGCCAGCCGTGACCCAAATAGCTCAGAACACAGCACTCATCCCCTCCGCGCTTTTCTGGGACCCCCTCCACGCCCCCTGAGCTCTCCAATCCCAGCCCCCTTCTCCCAGGAGCAACCCAAGACGGAGCCCAGGGGCTCAGGCCCCATCAGCAGGGCCAGGACCCGTCCTGGGGCCACATCGGGACTCCCAGCACCCCCACCCGTCCCCAGCTCAGCCAAGCCTTTCTCCTCATTAATCTCGAAGTCAAGGACTTGAATTAAACTGGGTCAGGGGACAGCTCTTTCGCCCATTGGAGCTGCCCCGAGCCGGGCCCCTTCCCCAGGGACACCGGCTTCTGTGAGGTTCCCACACCGGCCCCACCCTCGGGACCCGGGTCTGTCATCCCGAGGCTCCCCAAACCCAGCCTCATCTCGGCCCTCACCCCTGCAGCGCCCTGACCACCCCTTCTTTCTTGGGACGGGCAAGAAGCTTCCTCTCCCAGAGCCCCTTCATTTTCCAGCCCTGGTCCTCAGCCCCTGAAGCCCCCTTCCCCATTTCAGACTCTCAATCCCATCCCAGCACCGCAGCAGCCAGCGTTTTCCCCGCCACCGTTATCAGGTCCGCTGTCTCCTGGGTCCCACCTTATCTGGGACATATTCACCTGCTCTGATCCTGTGGGGCAGGGTCATCTTTTAGGGCAGGAAGAGTAGACCTACCCTCCCGATGACCCTGGAGGCCGGCTTCCCAGGCAGGTATCAGACACCCGGGAATCCGGGCCCCCCTCCCCTCCTCTCCATGAACTCAGGGGTGCAGGTCCCCAGCCTTCCCTTATTTAGAGAGCTCGAGGTCTGGACCCCCAGCGCGCGTCCCAGGAGAACCTCCAGGCATGGGCGCCCCCAGGCTCCTCCTCCCTCCGAAACCCCAAAGTCCGGGCCGGCCCCCAGCCTCCGGCGGAGCTCAGGAAATCTGTGACCCAGCCCCCTTCTCCCTCGGGACCCAGGAGCTCCGGCCCCCAGCCCTGGCCCCCAGGCCCTGGCGCCCGGTCCCACCTGCTGGTATTCCTGCTCTTGGGGCGCGAAAACGCTGGGCACCGGGCGGAGCTGGAAGTCGGCGCGGGGCAGCTGGTGGAGGAGATGCACCCAAGCTGAGGGCCGGTAGCCCGGGGGCGCCCCCATGGCCCCCGGGGGAGGGGGCAGCGGGGCGGACGCCGGGGCTGCGGGAGCCTCCGGAGTCGAGCGGGGCGCGGGCGGCGCGGGGTCTGGCTGGGCTCAGGGGAGCGGGAGCGGGGGGGAGGCAGGGGGTGGGGGGCGGAGATTGGGGGGAGGGAGGCGCGGGCCGGGCGGGGACGGTGCTGCCCCTGGTGGTCGCGGCGGGGACTGCGGGAGTCGGGAGGCCCCCAGCGCTCCGCGCCCCACCCCGGTCGCGGCTCCCACCTGCTGCCCGCGCAGGTACCGCGCTGCTGGCGTCGGCGGCATCCGGACAGCTGGCTTGCATCGCGATTGAAATCAGCCCTCCTTGTCCATACGAGGCCACTCATACTGTTATTTCACCTAAAACATAATGATCCCTTTATCCTTATGGAGAAACTTCATGTCTGTGTAAAGGTTGCTAGTAAGTACAGAGCGTTTTACAAAGAACGGCCAATTCCATGGATAAGAAGTCCTCTGTGTACGAAAGTGCTCCCACCTGTAAAAGATGCCCGTATTTGTGTAAAATCTCCGTCCCACTTTTATTCCTAGCCTGCATAAGGACACAGCTTCTAAGCACAAACACTCCTATGTGTAGAGGCTACTCCAGAATGTATGGAAAAATCCACACGCCTGTGTAGCAAGCCTTCATGCTGCATAAGGACCCCTTCTACCTGCATAAGGACCCTGGTCATCTATATAGGGGCCCTTCCCATCCTGTAAACTGACTCGGGATTACTTCGGTGTATACAAGGACCCCTGCCCCTTGGCATTCGCCATACAGTTACAGAGTATTTTTCCAGCCACTCCCCATGTTACATCTCACTGGAATCCTCCGATGCCACACCGATAGATGGGGAAGTGCCAACCCTGGGAGGGGACCTGGCCACCCTGACATCATCACCCAGACTGTCACTATTGCAGCCAAAACTAGGTGCTCAGGAATCTGGCCCCAGGGGTCCCCTCTTGCTGTAGGGCAGGGTGAGACTTTGCCATCTGGAAACCACACACGTGGCCTCTCTTGTGGGAATTGGGATGAGTGGAAGAAAGGGAGATTAGTTCTCCACTTAACCCATTTCCATATTTTGCTCCAGATTGGCAAGAAAGGGCTAGGGAAAAGAGGAATGCTGGTGGTAGCGGAGGTGGTGGTGATGACGATGATGGTGGTGATTATGTTGGTGATATGATGTCATGATGATGGTGATGGTGGTGATGGTGATGATGATGGTGGTGGTGGTGTTGACGATGGTGATGGTGATGATGGTGATGGTGATGATGATGATGATGATGGTGAAGACATGATTATGTTGACATGTCATGATGATAATTATGATGATGATGATGGTGGTGGTGATGGTGGTGACGGTGGTGATGATGATGGTGATGAGGACGATGATGATGACGGTGAGGAGGAGGATAGTGATATTGGTGAAGGTATTGATGATGAAATGGGAGAGTGAGAATAGGCGCCTTATCTCTGTCTCTCTCTCTCTCTCTCACACACACACACACACACACACACACACACACACACACACCCTCTCTCATCACTACCCTAGGTCTTCTTCAGCTTTCTCTGGTTCTGGCTAGAGTCATGTTCTCCACCATTCCCAACCAGGTGGCCTACATGGGGCTTGGGGATGAAGAAGATCCCGAGATGAGCGGTTAGAGGTGTATTAAGTGACTCTAGGCAAGTAGTTTTTCATCTTAGAGTCCCTCTTTTTCTGTCTGTAAAATGAAGGCTTAACCCTTTAGGGCTAAGATTAGTATATTCTAAAACTCTTGTTCTGACAATCTCTTGCATCATGTCCACAGCCAGTGTTTGTTGTAGCAGCAGGATTTGCTAATGGGAAGAATTCCAAACGTCATGATGTGCACAGTTGGGCATGTGTACATCAGAGTGCAGGACAGTGAGGTGCTGGTGGTGACTGTGCAACCCAATAGAGCTCAGTGGCTCCACGTTGCCCATAGAATCAAGTCACACCCTCAGCCCTGAGTTTATACCCTCCATCATTTGGCCCTGCATCAGCCCTCTCCATATGGATAATATTCTAGATGAGTGGTTTCCAACTGATAGGGCCACAACCCACAGTGAGAAATACATTTTACATTATGATCTAGTATACACACACACACAAAAAAAAAAAAAAAAAAAAAAAAGTAAAAAGTTTCTGACCACTATGTGCAATGCTCTTGGATAATTTCTATCCTCTGTTACTTCTATTTTGTAATTCAAATCTGGTCACAACCTTCTAAATTGTTTTGTGGCTGGCTAATGGATCTTGGATTGCCACCTGAGAAACATGAATCCTGAATTGCAGAGAACAATCTGGGTTGGTGTTAGAAAAGGGGTAACTGGGGGCCAGGCGCAGTGGCTCGAGCCTGTAATCCCAGCACTTGGGGAGGTGGAGGTGGGCAGATCACTTGAGGTCAGGAGTTCGAGACCAGCTTGGCCAACATGGTAAAACCCTGTCTCGGCCAGGCCCAGTGGCTCACGCCTGTAATTCCAGCACTTTGGGAGGCCGAGGCCAGTGGATCACCTGAGGTCAGGAATTCGAGACCAGTCTGGCCAACATGGCGAAACCTTGTCTCTACTAAAAATACAAAAAAATTAGCCTGGCATGGTGGTGTGTGCCTGTAATCCCAGCTACTTGGGAGGCTGAGGCAAGAGAATTGCTTGAATCCAGGAGGCGGAGGTTGCAGTGAACTGAGATTGTGCCACTGCTCTCCAGCCTGGACAACAGAGCACGACTCCAACTCAAAAAAATAAACAAACAGGCCAGGCATGGTGGCTCATGCCTGTAATCCCAGCACTTTGGGAGGCCAAGGCGGGCGGATCACGAGGTCAGGAGTTCGAGACCAGCCTGGCCAACATGGTGAAGCCCCATCTCTAGTAAAAATACAAAAATTAGCTGGATGTGATGGCACACTCCCATAGTCACAGCTACTCGGGAGGCTGAGACAGGAGAATTGCTTGAACCTGGGAGGCAGAGGTTGCAGTGAGCCGAGATTGTGTCATTGCACTCCGGCCTGGGTGACAGAGCAAGACTCTGTCTCAAAAAAAAAAAAAAAATACCCTGTCTCTACTAAAAATACAAAAAAATTATCTGGACATGGCAATGTGTGCCTGTAATCCCAGGTACTCAGGAGGCCAAGGCATGAGAATAGCTTGAACCTGGGAGGCAGAGGTTGCGGTGAGCTGAGATTGTGCCACTGTACTCCAGCCTGGACGACAGAGTGAGACTCTGTCTTAAAAAAGAAAAGGGGTAAATGTTACTAAGTAGAAGTAAGTTATATTGGCTTCCAGGGGGAGCTCATTGCTTTGTTCTTGCTGCTGTGTCCTCAGCATGCTGCTTTCTTACATGAAATACACACACACACACACACACACACACACACACACACACACACCCCATAGTCACCACATATGCCATTCCCCTTCATTCCCCTAGAAAAAGACTTTAAATTGATGGACTCTCTCTCTCTCTCTCTCACTCTCTCTCTCTCTCTCTCTCTCTGTCTCTCTCTGTCTCTCTCTGTCTCTCTCTCTCTCTTTGTCTCTCTGTCTCTGTCTTTGTCTCTCTCTCTCTGTCTCTCTCTGTCTCTCTCTCTTTCTCTCTCTATCTCTTTGTCTCTGTCTCTCTCTCTGTCTCTCTTTGTCTCTCTTTCTCTCTCTGTCTCTCTCTTTGTCTCTCTCTGTCTCTCTCTGTCTTTGTCTCTCTCTCTCTTTGTCTCTCTCTCTCTGTTTCTCTCTCTCTCTCTGTCTCTCTTTGTCTCTCTCTCTCTGTCTCTCTCTCTCTCTCTTTATCTCTTTCTCTCTCTCTCTCTGCTTTACTCTGGCTCTTTCTGTCCCCACCTCTCTGTCTCCCTCACATGTGTTTTGGGCCCCAGAAGGCAAGCCTCTTTAGAGAATGGCTTAGCCTGCATCGATTAAACCCAGGACATCCATCCTCCTGCATGGGACATCTGCAATGCTGCCTGACAGAAATGTATTATCTCTACCTTCTCCGGCCGTGGTTCCCTGGGTCTGTTTCTGCTGAGGAAAACAAACGGTCATTCCAGGTGGCCCTTGGGTATTTCTAGAGCCCTTGGCTGAATACCACCCCTAAACCATCTCAAGCTCTGCAGGTGTTCATTCATGGCTTGGGACGCATGCAAACCCCCTGGTAGAGGGTAGCTCAGAGAACATGGCTGTTGCTATTTCGTTTCAGCCAACGCTTGCCATATGGGAAGAGGGACCTGGCACCACCAGATGTTCCAAATTTCCAAGAGAAGGCAGAAATCTGGATATTTTTAAAAGCAAAATCCCTCAGCTTTTAAATGTTAAAACTAATTCAAATGAAAAAAAAATGCTGTGTGGGCCAAATAAAACCTGTCTGTGGGTTGGAGCTGGCTGGTTTATAAGCTCTGGTCTAGCCAGACATGGAGTAGTACAGGCATGAAAGGGACAAGTGGAGAAAGAGGGGCCCACAATGAGACTGAGAAGGAGCAGCCACAGGGATGGGAGGGAAGATTGGGGGAGGCAGTGATGCTGCCTCCTCTGGGAAGGCCTCCTGACCAGCTTCTGCTGACAGAAGGCAAGGACAGCTCCTGGCTGAAGGACTCAGCATGTGCTTCCCACGGCTTAAGCTTTGGGAGACTTGCCTGCTTAACTGAGTGGCTGTAAGAATGCCAGGAGAGATTTCCAACTGCTTGGTCCTGTGCCTAGCACATAGTAGGTTCTCAATAAATCAGGACCATGTGTGCTGTGCTAACAGCTGTGCTTCAATGATGTATCTGTTCCCCACACACGTATTGAGTGCCTACTATGTCCCAGGCACTGCTGCATGTTCTGGAGAAATGGGCATAAGCAAAAAAGACAAAGTCTCCAGTTGGCACAACTAAAACCGCTGGAGTACAGAAGGTAGAAAATTGAGGAATGAACAGGTGAGCTGAGTCTATACTATCAGGTAAGAGGAAGCAACACATAGATGTGAGTGGATGTGGTGGGGATGAGGTGGTCACTACTTTTTTTTTTTTGAGACAGAGTCTTGCTCTGTTGCCCAGGCTGGAGTGCAGTGGCGTGATCTTGGTTCACTGCAACCTCCACCTCCCCGGTTCAAGCAATTATCTGCCTCAGCCTCCCAAGTAGCTGGGATTACAGGTGCCTGCCATCACACTCAGCTAATTTTTTGTATTTTTAGTAGAGACGGGGTTTCACCATCTTGGCCAGGCTTGTCTTGAACTCCTGACCTCATGATCCACCTGCCTCGGCCTCCCAAAGTGCTGGGATTACAGGCGTGAGCCACCACGTCTGGTGGTTGCTACTTATATAATAGAAGGTGCTCAGGGAATGTCTCTCTCTCCATTTGGATGATATTTGAACAGAGACACAAATGAAGGACGCTCTTTAGTTCATGATTGGCATGACTAAGAGTTCATGCTTTGCAGCCACATTATCTGGTTTCAACCCTGGCTCAGCTCCTTATTAGCTCGGTGACCTTAGACAATTTTCTCAACTCTGTGCTTTCGGTTCACATAAATAGGATGAAAATAATAACCTTGGCCAGGCTCAGTGGCTCATGCCTGTAATCCCAGCACTTTGAGAGACCAAGGCGGGGGGGATCAGCTGAGATCAGGAGTTCGAGACCAGCCTGGCCAACATGACGAAACCCAGTCTCTACTAAAAATAACGAAAATTAGCCGAGCATGGTGGCACGTGCCTGTGATCCCAGCGACTCAGGAGGCTGAGGCAGGAGAATCGCTTGAATTCGGGAGGCAGAGGTTGCAGTGAGCCAGGATCGCACCACTTCACTCCAGCCTGGGCAACAAGAGTGAAACTCTGTTTAAAAAAAAAAAAAAAAAGCAAGAAAGAGCAACCTTAACCAATTCCACAGGATTGTTGTGCAGATCGAGTGAACACGCGGGAAGTGTTTGCTGACAAAGTGCTTGACAAGCGCTCGCGAATTATTACGAGGGTGACAGTTGTTGATTTTTAAAAATGACTACAGTGACATCTGCCAAATAGAAGGAAAGCAAAGTGAAGGAATTCACAAGTACATAAGAAAATGACCGGAAAAGGCATAAATACGTAAAGCTGTTCAGCCTTCAGATGTTCAGTCATCCTTATGATCTTTCCCTCCCTCCCCGCCTCCCTTCCTTCCTTCCCTCCTTCCTTCTTTCCTCTTTCCCTCCCTCCCTCCCTACCCCTTCCTGCCTTCTGGCCTTCCTTCCTTCCTCCCTCCCTCCCTCCCCCCTTCCTCCCTCCCTCCCCCCTTCCTTCCTTCCTCCTTCTCCCTCCCTTCCTTCCTCCCTCCCTCCCTCCCCCCTTCCTTCCTCCCTCCCTCCCTCCCCCCTTCCTTCCTCCCTCCCTCCCTCCCCCCTTCCTTCCTTCCTCCCTCCCTCCCTCCCCCCTTCCTTCCTTCCTCCCTCCCTCCCCCCTTCCTTCCTTCCTCCCTCCCTCCCCCCTTCCTTCCTTCCTCCCTCCCTCCCTCCCCCCTTCCTCCCTCCCTCCCCCCTTCCTTCCTTCCTCCCTCCCTCCCTCCCCCCTTCCTTCCTCCCTCCCTCCCTCCCCCCTTCCTTCCTCCCTCCCTCCCTCCCCCCTTCCTTCCTCCCTCCCTCCCTCCCCCCTTCCTCCCTCCCTCCCTCCCCCTTCCTTCCTCCCTCCCTCCCTCCCCCTTCCTTCCTCCCTCCCTTTCTTCCTTCTTTCCTTCCTCTCTCTCTCCCTTCCTTTCTTCCCTCCTTCCTTCTTCCTTCATTGCTACCTTCCTTCTTCCTTCCTTTTCCCCTCCTTTCTTTCGATTACATGTTTAATAGCTGCCAGGCTGTGTTAAGTAAGCCCTGGGATCTATTAATAATAAAGAAGAATCCATACATTCATTGGTTTGTTCATTCCCCAAGTATTTATTTATTGGACAGCTACTAGGTGCCAGGCATTGTTCTAGGCCCTGGGAATTCAGCAGTGAACTAAAGGGATGAAAATCTCTGCTTTCACAGAGCATGATAGAGATAACTCATTAGGCAAATGAGCAAATATGCAGATATAGCCAGTTTATTAAATAAGCTGATGTCATGGTTAACTTTATGCGTCAACTTGACTGGCCTAAGGGATGCCCAGATAGCTGGTAAGACATTATTTCTGGATGTGTCTGTGGGGGTGTTTCTGGAAGAGGTGAGCATTTGAATCAGTAGACTGAGTAAAGAAGTTCTCCCTCACCAATGTGGGCGGGCCTCATCCAATCTGCTGGAGGCTCGAATAGAACAAAAAGCAGAGGAAGGGCGAATTC